>NC_000014.9:53854137-54157167 GCF_000001405.40 Homo sapiens
CAAAAAAGACTAAGCCCCAAATGAGGAGGTACATCACTTTTACAGTGGCAAGAGCCCCATTCCACAAGTTACCCAGAAGAAAACCTATGACTGAGACACTTTCAGGTTTTGTTGTTTTTTTTTTAACTGAAATATAAAGAAATGTAGGGACAGGCATATCCTTCAGGGAGGGAATAAACCGATCATGTTCCTGTAATGTCTCTTCATGTGCAAGGACAAAGGAACTATGCCCAGTGAGTAGGGAGGGACACCAGATCTGGCAAAACTTTCCCTGCTGCAAACTTAGAGAACAGCCTAGTTGATGAGGTGAGTGGAAACCCTGGATTAATACATTCCAGCAGAGAAAGAGAGGGGCTGTGCCGGCAGGGCAAACATTTGGCACATGAGCTGAGCAAAATAGTTGTCCAAGTCTTCACAGATCCCTATATGGAAAGCTTCTCTTCTGAGGACCCTGAGCGTGACTCCTCATGGGAATCAGGGAAATACTAGGTGCTTTTTACTGTTGCTTTTTTTTCCTTTTTTTTTTTTAATGGACTGTTCTTTCTAAATACGCTGTGTCTGTCTGATTTGTTTCCCTGCCTTGAAACATTCACAGTGTGGTAGAACCAGGCAGGTACAAAGCAGTGACTCTTATCCCAGAGTCACCAATGAGGGGCAATTGGAGATAGAAGGCCCTGTCTCTGTCTGGAAGGGGCAGGGACAGCTTCTTAGAGAAGAAGATATTAGAGCCAGTTTACTGGGTGGAAAATTATAAGAAGGTCATTCTGGTCCTAGAGAAAAGGATGGGCAGAGACATAGAAGCAACAGCACCATCAACCAATTGCAAATAGTTCAAGGCTCTTGGAGAACAGAGTGAGATAAAGGAGTGGGTGGAGGGTCCAGATTATAAGGGGTCTGAAAGTCACTGAGGGCTTTTAAGCAGAGATGTGGCATGAATATCTTTGTTGTTAGAACCATCACCCTGGCAGCACTGTAAAGATCCCATTGGAAGAGAGATAGAGACACCATTAGGAAATGATTGCAGTTGTCCAGATAAAAAATGATGACTACAGGCAGATTCAAGAAATACTAGGAATTAAAATCAAGACTTAAAGACTGATGAATGAGGGGAAGTGGGCAGAGAGAAATAAAAGAGGTTAAAGTGACTCCCAGGTTTCTGGCTTAGGAAGACAATAGGGCCATTAACAAACTAGAGAATATTGGAGGAGCTGTGGACTTTGACTTTCTAGCATGCTTAGTCCAACAACAGGAGCTATAACAAGAGTGACTCATCAAAAGCATGTGGAGTCAGAGATTAGGATTCAAATTAGTAGCTCATCATAATCCCAAAGACACAATCCCAAATCTTGAAATCCCAAAAAATCAAGTTATCAAAAATTTGATTCTGGAAAAAATAATTTTAAAATTATTTAAAAGTATTTATTTACATTTTTAAAAGGGGTTTATTTGGAAAACATATAAAAACATGACAGAACACTTTGTAGGCTACTTTACACAATAAAATAAGCAATAATGACACACATATTTTTGCAGGCATGAACATTCAGGTATACCAACAACAGTTGCATGAGTACAACAGTTATGAGCTGGCAAACTGTATTTACAAAGCAATAGGGCCAGGTGCAGTGACTCATGCCTGTAATCCCAGCACTTTGGGAGGCCAAGGCAGGTGGATCACTTGAGTCCATGAGTTCGAGACCAGCCTGGGCAATACAGTGAGACCTTGTCTCTACCAAAAATACAAAAATTAGCCAGGCATGGTTGTGTGTACCTGTAGTCTCAGTTACTCCAGGGGCTGAGGTGGGAGGATCGCCACTTGAATATCAGGAGTTCAAGGCTGCAATGTGCTGTAATCACACCACTGTGCTCCAGCCTAGGGGACAGAGTGGGACCATGTCGAAAGGAAGAAAAGGAAAGAAAGAAGAAGGAAGGAAGGAAGGAAGGAAGGAAGGGAGGGAGGGAGGGAGGAAGGAAGGAAGGAAGGGGAAGGGAAGGGAAGGAGAGAGGTCAAAAAGGGAAATGTATAAATGCATATCAATATGTTTGGAACTGTGTGTACCCAGCTTTATAACTGTGGTCATCTAAAATACCAGGGTAACAATCTAAGTCTTTTGATGAGATCAATCAAAAACCACCATGGGTCACCACAACATATGCACTTGCCCAAAGAGTTGAGATCTCAAGAAATTTTATCTTTCACAAATGTAGATGTACAAAAAGGACCTCTCTTCATTTATTGGGGAAGTTTCAACACTTTTACATACGTACACTATGCTTACACATGAAGTCAACTTTGTAATAATGCACTTCTGAGGAGTCAAATTTACAAAAAAAAAATGCGTAAAATGAATTAGAAGTCTCTAAAAGTCTCTACACAATTTATACCTTCAGTATTGGAAATTATGTGAAGATGAAATACATAACAATTTATAAAAATAATGCTGAAAATTTAAAATAGTGAAGAAAAACTAAAAGAAAAGAAAAAAACTAAAAAGAAAATTCAGCCTATGAAAAAATATATGACGGGTAAATTATGGGCAATTACACAGAGATAGTCCATAAAATCTGGCCAACTTTCATAATTGTTAACTCTGTTTTAAAGTCTTGTATCCCAATGAATAGCTCCATTTTTTCTTTTCCGATGCGGCTCTCCTCAGGCAATACATTCACATTCATTTTCTACATGGCATTGTTCTTTTTGAGGTTCTTCTATTATTTGATATACACACCCAAAATAATGCTTTGCCAGGTTTCTAGGTATCCCTTAATCCAGTCAAGCTGACACCTAAAATTAAATCCACAAGTCCAGCCCTTGTCAACTTGGCATCCATATGTGGCTCCTTAAACCATGCTTAATAAAGACAATATAAAGACAATAACAGGGTAATAGTTCTACCTAACATGATGCAACTATCCTATGATTATGATTTTCTGGATTTTAGATATTAAGGAGTTTAAGGATTTAGACTTTAAGGATTTTGATCTTTCAGGATTTCAACATTTGAGATTATGACGTTCAAGATTATGATCCAAACCAATTCAAAGCTACCTTCTCCCCACCCATTCAAAAGCTACATGATGTTGAATAAGGTAGTTAGCCTCTCTGTGCCTTAATTTCCTAACGGCAAAACTGAGATAGTAATAGTATGCAGCTTATAGGGCTGATTTTGGAGATTAAATGAGAATGTGTATATAAGATGCTTAGTACAGCTCTTAGGACATTGTAAGCTCTCAATAATGCCAGCTACTTTTGAATCAATGAATACATTCTTTTTCTCTTTCTACAAAGTAAGTAACGGCATAAAAATGTATTTTATTCTCCTAGTCACATAAAACTCACTATTTTTATTTCACTAGTTTAACTGAATTTCTGCTAAGGCATTTATGATACAGCACATAAAAACTGCTCTTGAATGATCCTCCAATCTGAGGATTTACCATTGGCTTCATGACCAAATGGTCTGTAGAGCCTTCTGGGAACCTGACTCCTGGAAGCCCACACATAATGGAAGATTAGACCATACTCCTTGGCTTGTGCCAGGATCCATCTCAATCTAACCAGTAGTAAGATTTGACTTCATATTTCCTTTCACATAGCTCTTGTGAGCTATCCCTAACGATTGCTAGCAATGTACAAATTGTAAAGTCCATGGGGCAGATGACAGTGCTGTCTGTAGTATTCAACACAGAGCTTGGCACATAGCAGTTACTCAGTAAATTTTGGTAGAATAAATGCCTGCACTCCCTGCACCTCCACTCCAATGCCTACCCCTAGGAAGCATCATTGGCACCATGCTGATCCCTATACACTTCAACCTTCTACCTGACCCACGTGCCCTAAGCAGGAATATTTTAGCATGAATAGTTCTTTCTAGACCTTTCAAGGCATGTAACTGAGGTGTTTAATCTGCCAGTCATAAAATGAAGACTATAAAATAAATGTGCATTAAGAGACCAGTGTTCATATGGATACATTTCCTCAAGTAGACACTAATAAACAAAAATGTTTTTGTCACGTAGAGATTCAGCACACTGACCAAGTTTCTCCGTTTGAATGTGAATGTATCCATCCAGACAGCTCAACACAGTATGAATTAGCAGAACTTACGGGTGTTTGTGTGTTTTTCAAACCCTGCTTTAAGGATCTGTGATTTAATGTGCCTTTCAAAGCTGAAAATATATCCTACTGAGGTATAAAACAGAAAATAGATTTAAAATATAACAAAATAAAACAAAGCTAGTTTTGTTTCAGGGACACAGAAAGGTGCTAGAATTATTTACTGCTTTCTGGACTTTGCATTATGACCAAATTGATATTTTCCAGGTTTTTCATTAACTTAAAATGTTCTGAGGTAAACACATCATTTTCCATGATTAAATCCAAGCTGTTTCTGTAGCTTCCTTCTGAGCAGTTAAATATTAGACTGAGAGGTAAGCATTCTAATTGACTTCTTTGTTGAGGTAGCACGACAGAAAATGCATAGATTTCACCCAGCAACTGGACTGAGATTCTAACAGATACAGCAAGCAGAAGTTATAAAGTAGAATCACATGGTAAAATTTCCTAATCTAGAACTCTCACCTCCAGAACCAGAATTCATTGCACCGTATCTTAGAAATTCACACAGAGTCACCAAATTATAAAAAACTTGGAGTTGGCATACCTCACCCTCATACCTGTAACATCATCCCTCCATAGAAGGGCTCTTCAAGAATAAAGCTTCTACCACCTCTTCTGGAATGGTTCTAGCTAGGTCCAAGTTACTGAAAATATAGCTCTCAGAATCCATGAGTATTTCAAATGTCCTTCTCTCTCTGAACTAGAAGTATTAAATTAGCTTCTGTTAATAGCCAGTCTTTTAAAAGAGACGCAAGATCATAAGGATGAATAGAAAAGCCAATTCAGTACAGCCCTTTTTTCCTCTTCCTCTACATTCAACAACTTAGTCTTGGAGACAGGGACATCTCTAGGATGAGACTCCACTGGATTTTGTAAAGTCCATCTCGTGGACAAACACGGGATGCTATAAAACTAGCCCTCACTTGCCATCAATTTTAGATGCCCAGCTGGTCACCCAGCATGGCCTCGAGTAAATTATCTGGAGGAGATGGTGAAGAACACTCAACACTGGAGTGCCCAGAACACTTTTCAAAAAAAACCCTTTCCCTGATCCTGGCTACCTGATTTGGTATGCAGCCAAATTTTAAATGCTCATTTCTTGGCCCTTAAATAGAGTTTGAATCACAAGCACAATCCCTATTCATTTATCTTATAATTGCATCCCCCATACCTTACATTCACCCAAGACAAGGCAGACCTTTTTTTACAATGCTTGTCCAGAATGGATCCTTACTCTGACATTCTAAGACATTAGTATATATTGACTAATTAGAGTTCACAAACATTACTTGGTTCACACATATAGACAAAAACTTCTTAAGATTTCTGTGAATTTTTAAAAAATAACATTAATACAGGACAAAATATAAGTGGGAGACATTTTAAGGGAAGGGGGTGCATTTAAGATTATTTCATCTTATATAATATACCTCACAAGAATGCCCACTGCACAAATGGGCAAATTTAATTGTTAAACAGTTCTTTGTTTTTGAGACAGAGTCTCTCTCTGTGGCCCAGGCTGGAGTGCAGTGGCGCAACCTCCGCTCACTGCAACCTCCGCCTCCCGAGTTCAAGTGATTCTCATGCCTCAGCCTCCTAAGTAGCTGGGATTACATTAAACAGCTCTTAAAACTGAGATAAAATTACCTTTCCTAGGATGTTCAGCTTCTGCTCCTAATTCTGTTCTTTGAAATAAATCATGGTACCCTTTCTTATATGGAGACATTTTTCTAAGAAAAGTTTAATTCCTTGCTTGGCAACAGAGACTGCTCCTTTCAAAGTAAATCTGGAAATTTTAAATTAAGGCATTTGATGAACAACGAACCAATCAATCAAAAACACTGAGTACCTATTAAATGCCAGGCACTGCATTCAACACTAAGGATAATCAGCAGTAATTAATCAATCTATTCCTGAGGGATTGTTTTCCATTGGTTTTGTTGTTCCTATTTTGTAACGCCTGCTATGAAAAGAAAACGAATTAAGAAATAAATTAATTTGGGGGTAAAAAGAAAAAGTCACCAAAATAATGTAGTATGTGCTGGTTGCAAATGTAACCTGTAGGAAAAGTGGGCATAGGGAAAGGCTGCAAGGCATATTCATTTGGCTCCTAGTAATTCCAGGTGTGTTATATTCATTATTTTATGTAATTCTTATCACAACTCTGTGTGATGAGTTTTACTCCCAGTTTACCAAAAAGGAAACTGAAGTTTTAAGAGGTTATTTGAATTGCCCACAATGATACACACCTGATCTAATTCCAAAGGCATTATAAAGCTAATTCCTTTAGCTTTATAATACTCATCACTTACAAAGAAATCAATACCAGAGCATTACCACTTATCACAGGATTAAATACTGTATATGAATGGCTAATACTATGCCGCTCTCTGTGAGTTGTTTTATACACAGACCAACCAAAAAACATAATTATTTCTTTTTTAGCTTTAAAACATTCTTAAGCCATTGACTTGCAATATAATAATTGTGTATAATTTGCAATGCCATAAATATTATTTGATGTTTCCAAGTTGGCACGTCAGTAAACGCTTATAGAATGGTAATTCATAGTCAAAAATTTCAAAGAGAACATGCTGTGGCAGAGAACCTCTGGGAGAGAAAAATTATATGGCCATGTATTTTTCAGGAAATCTTAAGCCTATTAAAATCTATGAGTGTCGGGGAGGGTGAAAGTAAATTTGGGGGAAAGCAAGTTGCCTCACTGCACCCCTTTAGAGATGCGGGGGCTCTCTTACAGTAGAATTGTAGCTAAGGGAGTCCTGGTTGGTCTCATTTGGGTGGTTCCATTTAACTCTGACCAGGATTTTGTCTAACTTTCCTGTTTCTTTGCTGACTGGCTGCCTCTTACAGGAGATGGCTTAGGTCAGGCCACTCCCCGGCCCCATTTTCCCATGGTATTTATTTCTGCCACATTCTAAAAACAACCACCTTACCAGTGTGTTCAGGACCCTCCTCGCATTTTCCAGTGATGGGAGACAGATCCAGCTCTGCTCAGAGTCCAGGCACTTATGTTGCAATGTAAAAGAAGGGATGACAGAGAAATGTGGTTTTGCTCAATGTGCCATGCCATCTGTGACATTTGCCATGCAGACCTACACATTCCTCTTGGAGGGCAAGGTTGCTCACCATTTTTCTGACTCCATAATTATTTCCGATATGGGTGCCTGCAATTAACCTCATGTCTTGACATTACACATGGGAAGTGTGCAGAAAGGCCCAGTGGTGTTCTTAACTGGATCTTCTATCACAAACAAACAGCCAAGATGTGTGCAGATGCATGTTTTCAACTTCCCTCCACAGTAGAACACTTGAATGGGTCCTTTGTGTTAAAATCTCTTTTAAAGGCTTTAAAAGTGCAATATGAAATTAAAGGAAAGGAGTTCAACTTACAGATCTTTGCATTCAGCCCTGCAGAACATCTGCCTCGTTTTTATCTTAGAGGTCTTAGAGCTCTTAGAGGTCACATTATGAGGTGGCACAAGCAAAACCAAAATGGACCACGTAAGAATGCCAAATATAAGGCACAGCCCTGCATCCCCGGGAGCTCTGGTCAGGAGTGGTTCTGAGTGCTGAATGATGAAATAGTATCATCCAGCTCCACTCGTCTCTAGCCCACCAGCACCAGCTCCTTCCCTCGATAATCGTTGCTCTAGGAGGCTTTTTTTGGTCAAAACAGTAATTCTCACAGTCTGTGCATTCTTACTTACCTGACTCAGTCTCAGCTTGCAACCACAAAAGGCCCAATTGCTTTCTTGCCAGCAGAACAGCTATATCGGGTTGATGGAGTAAAATGGAAATGATATTTGTTGGCTATTGGTACCAAAATGTTCCTTGGTAGGTCCTGGGAATAGGTGTAGAGGTTAAGGTGTTCATTCACTTCAAAACCTTGGCACATTTCTACTATCATCCAGGGTTTGAGCACAGAAAAGAAAGTGGAACACAGTAAGAATGTATGCAGTAAAAGCTACATCTGATTCACAAATCACTTCCGCAGAAAATGTATTTATTGGGGTGCTTTTGGCTGTAACAGAACCTGTTTAAGCTAACTAAAGCTAATAATAATAATAGATTATGTGGACAGCGAGTATCTCACTGAGCTTAGAGCTGGGATGCAGCTGGGCCTTAAAAATAAGGAATTGCCATGTTCTAGTCTAGGGAACCCTCAACATCCTCTCTTTCTTTTGTCTTTTATTCTCTCTCACTGCAAAGCTGCATTCTCTCTGATTTAACTGCAAGGTAAAAAAAGCGTCACCAACCAACACCTTCTGAATTTACCCCTTCTCTGTTTAAAAGAACAGCCAGGTGAACCTGAAATTTCTTGGTCCTAATTCCAAGTGTGTTTAAGGGGCCTCCTTGGTCAGTTTCCCAGCCCTGGTTCAATTACTTGGGGCAGGGAGGTCAGGTCACATTGCTTAAATATGGCTTGCAGGAGCCCAGCGATTGTAACCATGCAGATGGGAGTGGGCTAGGCAGTGGAGAGGGGACAGTTACCACAAAAGTGAGGGTGCAGGAGAGACAACCCAAAGGATACTAATACATATATTCTTGACTTGACTGTCTATCCCACCCACCAACTTTTTTTTCAGTAGTAGGGTTCTCATTTGCAGATGAAGAAACTGAATTTCAGAGGGATTACACAGGTAGTAAAGGTAAAACCAAAAGTAGAATCAAGTTCTTCTCAGTTTCTTCATCAGCCCTTATGAGTCTTACTTTAAACACAAAGGAGAAAAACAGAAGACAAAGTTAAAAAAAAAAATAACAGCAACAACAATAAAAAAACAAAAAACACAGCACCTACCCCATCTTAAGAACATTTTAAATTTAATTGTAGACACAAGACAGATGCTCAAGAAAATAGTTTAATAACATTTTGGAAGTAATGCATAAATGCTACAAACTATTTAAAGAGGAAGATAGAGTCAAAAGCAACTAAAGTCAATCAGAAAGAACAACTTTGGATTCTTGTTTAGAAGGAACTTCAGAGAGAGTTTGGAAGAACATTTCAGATATAAGAAATGAGTGAAGTTACAGGTTACCAGCAGCAATTTATGTATCAATACTGCAGATGTGATTTACTCATCCCTCTAATATTTGCAAGAAGGCAAGGCTCATATTTTCAAAGCAATAAAAAAGGATAAAAGTAAAACAAGAATAAATCTAGAATTCTAGATTTCCAGATTTCCAAGCAAGTCCAGAGCACTGCCTCCAGCCTACCAGTCTCCTCCTCAAAGATAGCCAGTTTCCTAGAATTACTGGGTTTTCTGAGGCAGCTCACCACGAAAGTGCTATTTTAATCTCAAGCTCAATAGGATTAAAGCAGAAATCCTTCTCAGATCATCCACTGAATAGGATTCCTTTTGTTTTCACATCACTGCTCTCAAAACTAATTACTTCTACCAAAAAGTAATTCTACATGAATATTTGTGACCCATTTCCAATGCCATTTTCAGGACTCAGATTTGAATAAGGTAAAGTGCCCAATTATAGTGGAACTCACCTGAACAGTCAGTAATTTGGTCTGTTATCTCATCACACATTGTGGTCACATAGACCCAACCAAAACCCCAAGATGGAAAATCAGGGATTCTGGCTCCAGATTCAGGCTTTCAAGTCACCAAGTGACTTGAGGGAAGCTCTTTAACCTTCCAAGGCTTCAATGCTTTTCCACTCAGTTATCATCAAATATCTTTTGAGTTACCACTGCGTGCCAGGTTCTGTTCTGGGCTCAGGAAGTACACTAGAAGCCAAGCAAAAAAAAGTTCCCTGCCCATGTGGAATTTACATTCTATTGGCAAAAGACAGAAAATAAATATAAGTAAGTAAATTATATAAAATGTTAGAGGACGGCAAGTACTATGAAAAAAAATAAAACAAAGAAAGAAATATGGAGAGGAAAGGGATTATTATAATTTAACATAACATGACAAGGGTAGGCTTCAATGACTAAGTGCCAATTGAAGGATATAGGTGAATTGAAGGATGCAGCCATGCAGACATCTAGGGGAAGGACATTTCAGACAGAGAGACAGCCAGTGCAAAGGTCCTGAGGTGGAAGCATGCTTGGCATGATTGAAGAACAGCAAAAACACTGCTGGAGAAACAGTCAGAATAGGCAAGTAATATGATAGAAAATACGGTTGCTGGGCAATGAAAGAGCAGACAGCACAGAACCTTGTGAGGATTTTGGCTTTTACTTTGGGTGAAACAAAGGGCCATTGAAGAGATTACAACCGAGTGATATGATCTAAAGCTAGATTTGAACAGAGGCACTCTGGCTAATATATTAGGATTCAACTTCAAGGGGACAGGAAGATGAGTTAAGAGTGACCTGTTTGCCCAGAATAATTTTGGGCAATGTGTTTCAGTGCAATTGCTAATGCCCTTCTCCCTTTGAGTCTTCAAAATTATCATCCTGATTAAGAGGACACACTACTGGAATAATTCAGATGAGAAATGATGATGGTATGAGACAGGCTAATAATGATGAAAGAGAAGTGGTTCGATTCAAAATATATTTGGATGGGAGAACCTACAGGATTTCTTGGTGGATCTGATGCATGCCATAAGAAAAAAAAAGAATAGTCAAGGATGACTAAGATATTTGGGTCCTAGCAACTGGAAGGACAGAGTTGCCATTAAATACGATAGAATAGACTTTGCAGAAGTCCCAGAGTCTCATTTGAGGTGTGCAAACTCTGAGCAATCTCTTAGATTTCCCAGAAAGGTGTCAATTAGGCAGTTGGAAATATGACTGGAGTTCCAAAGGGAGATCTGGCCTGGAGGTATAAGTTTGTGAATCAAGAGTGCACAGATGGAATTAAAAGCTATAAGATTAGAAAGAATCATCAAATAATATGAGTGTGGAAAGAGGAGAGGTCCAAGGACAGAGTCCTAAAGAGCCTAGATGGTAGAAAAAGAGTAGAATCCAGCAAAGGAGATTGAGAAGAGCAGCCAGAGAGGTAGGAGGACAACCAGGCATTTCTTCATCTTTACAATAAATGGGTTGCACTACACCACCAGTGATTTTCTCTTTTATTTTTTTGTAACTACAGTCCAATAAGTACATTAGGAACAGCCATATAAAAAGGTGGACTGCAAGAAGCAGACAGACAAGGTGAATTCCAGTCTCCATCTCAGTTCAGCCAGAGCCGATCTGTGTTTTCTTGCTCCAAATAATGGACTTACTCCAAATAATGGACTTACTGCATAAGACTTCATTTATGGAAAAACTGTTAGAGAATGAGAGGAGGTAGATTCCTGCTGCCTAAAACATGAAACCCATTGCCCTGGATAATCTTTAAAGCCTACGGTTCTTTCCAGCTCTAAAATGTGTTTGATTCTACCCGATTCTAACAAAGAAAGAATTTTTTAATATCTAAAGCTACTTACTACAGTCACCTGGGAGACTTAAGGAAGAGATGGGGCAATTGTATTTTTTCTCTTGCCTGAGATTACCTGTTTGTTTTAGAAATTAAGTCATATGAAAACAGGAAGAAAAAAATAACAATTGACCTTGAGGAGTGGGAAGTCAGTTACGTTTTAAATATGAATCCAGGAAATGTTTTATTAAACAGCTAAGGCATTTACCGGCTTAGACTAGAGAATAATCCTACTCTAAATCCCACTAGCCTCATGAGTATTCCATTTATCTAAGAAAGCCACAGAAGCACATTCCAAGAAAGTTTCTTGCTGTATTACACTGACAGTGTAAAAGTAATACATGCTTTACCCACAATTGTTAATAATAATAATAAGTAGTTACTGTTTGCCATGCATTAAATGTGCACCAGGAATGGTGCCAAACTCTTTTTCACTCAACTTTCACAATCCCAAGGTAGTTGTTGTTAGGCACTCAATGAATATTTGTCGAAAGAATATCATGACTGAGTCTAAGAACAGTTAACTTGCCCAGAGTTACCTAGCCGGATAAGGATTAAATCCCAGGGCTCTCTTAGCTCCAATGCGTGTTCTTAATCACAGTACTTTGATTAATTCACCAGATTTTAATATTCAATGTGATGGATGCTGGGGTATGCTCCATGTAGCTCCTCTGAATTCCCCTAGCTGGCAGAAGCATAGGCTACTGATGGCTCATAGCTGAGTCTCTCTTTGGATGGTCCTTTCTGCCAAAAGGATCTGCCCCATCAGAGATTGCTTCCCCTCCTCAGAGAGACCTATAATCCATAATTGATAGATGCATGGCCCAGTCACTTGCTTCAATTCTAGGCCCTTCTGAAGGGCCATGCCAGCTCCAAAACTCCCAGATCAATTCTCACCCTGCCAATCCTGCTTTTTTTCATTCTCCACAAAACCACTCCTCAGTAAACCTCTCACACACAAATCTCTGTCTCAGGGTCTGTGTCCTTGGGTACCCAACAATGACATTGACATCTGAGATCTGCTTCACCTATTCTTTCTATTCATTTAATAATCAGAAAATGTTTACTGAGCCCCAAGTATATGTTTGGTTTCTTCTTTTGAGTACTGCCTTTCATAACATTTGTGTATTTTCTATCAGTCTTGTTTTAAAATTTACAGTTCTTCGATGAAAACACATGGACACATGGCAGGGGTACCAAACACACACTGGGGCCTATTGGGGCGGCAGGGGAGAGAGAGCATCAGGAAGAACAGCTAATGGATGCTAGGCTTAATTCCTAGGTGATGGGTTGATCTGTGCAGCAAACCACTATGGCACATGTTTACCTGTGCAACAAACCTGCACATCCTGCATATATACCCTGGAACTTAAAATAAAAGTTGATTTTTAAAACATATATAGTTCTTTTACACATTCTGAATACTATCTTTGTATTATTTGCATTGTGTATCTATCTCTCTGTTTCTTTTAACATTACTGCATCTTTTGTTATATAAAAGTCTTTATTTTGGGATTGCCGAATGTATGGATCTTTTGTGGCTCTTTCATACTTGTACTTCATGCATCTTCCCTATGGAAAATCAGAGAAATGCAAATTAAAGCAACAGTGAGATTCCATTTCACACTGATCATACTGGCAAAATGTTTAAAATCTGGTGATCACAAATGCAAGGAGAAATAGGAACCCTCCTCCCATCCTACCAATAGGAATGTAAATGGGTACAGTTTGCAAAGAATTTTAGCAGAATCTAAGAAAGCTGAAGATGGTCACAACCATAACCCTGGGATTTCACTTTTAGGTATGAATCCTATAGGAGCTCTCAGGTTTAGGTGCAAGGAGGTGAGTACAACAATGTTCATAGCAACTCTGTAAGAGCAAAGAAATGAAAGCAACACAAATGTCTGTCAAAAGGAAATGAATAAATAAATTGTGGAATATTCATGTAGTGAAATATCTTAAAGTTGCTAAGTGAAATAAACATGGATAAAGCTGCAAAACAATATGTAGAGCAAACCAATTGCTAACTTATGACTTTTTCTTTTTTTTTTTTTTTTTGAGACGGAATTTTGCTCTGTCACCCAGACTGGAGTGCAGTGGCACGATCTCGGCTCACTGCAACCTCTGCCTCCCGGGTTCAAGCCATTCTCCTGCCTCAGCTTCCCAAGTAGCTGGGATTACAGGCATGTGCTACCAAACCTGGCTAATTTTTGTATTTTTAGTAGAGACGGGGTTTCACCATGTTGACCAAGCTGGTCTTGAACTCCTGACCTCAAGTTATCTGCCCACCTCGGCCTCCCAAAGTGCTGGGATTACAGGAGTGAGCCACCATGCCCAGCCACTTATGACTTTTATATTAAGTTTATAAACCTGAAAAGCAATGAAATATAGTTTTGGATACACAAGTATGCAGCATAAACTTACTTATGTTAGGGATAAATACTGAATTCAAGATATTAATTGTCTCTGGGAGAGAAAAGGGGAGTGAGGAAAGTGAAACTGAGGTACCCAGCAGCTTCTACTCAGTGAAGTTTTATTTCTTGGATTTTAAAAAAGAAAGGTCTGATTCTTCCAGAACTAGAAAAAATTATTTTAATATTTATAAGGAACCAAAAAAGAGCCCGAATAGTCAAGGCAGTCCTAAGCAAATCGAACAAAGCTGGAGGAATCACGTTACCCGACTTCAAACTATATTACAAGGCTACAGTGACCAAAACTATACTAAAAGGCTACAGTAACCAAAACTGTACTGGTACAAAAACAGACACATAGACCAATGGAACAGAATAAAGAGCCCAGAAATCAGGTTGCACATCTATGACCATCTAATCTTTGACAAAGCTGACAAAAACAAGCAATGAGGAAAAGACACAATTCAATAAATGGTGGTGGGATAACTGGCTAGCCATATGCAGAAGAGTGAAGCTTGGACCCCTTCCTTTCATCATATATAAAAATCAACTCAAGATGGATTAAAGAGTTAAACATAAAACCCAAAACTATAAAAATCCTAGAAGGCAACCTAGGCAATACCATCCTGAACCTAGGAGTACGCAAAGATTTCATGACAAAGATACCAAAAGCAATTGCAACAAAAGTTTAAAAAATGACAAGTGGAATGTTATTCAACTTTAGAGCTCTGTACAGTAAAAGAAACTATCAACAGAGTAAACAGACAAGCTACAGAATGGGAGAAACTATGCGTTTAACAAGGGTCTAATATCCAGCATCTACAAGGAACTTAAACAAATTTACTAGAGAAAAACAACCCCATTAAAAAGTGGGCAAAGAACATGAACAGACACTTCTCAAAAGAAAACATACATGCAGCCAACAAGCACATGAGAAAAAGCTCAGTATCACTGATCATTAGAGAAATGCAAATCAAAACCACAATGAGATACCATCTCACACCAATCAGAATGGCTATTACTAAAAAGACAAAAATAACAGATGCTGGTAAGGCTGAAGAGAAAAGGGAACCCATATACACTGTTGGTGGGAGTATAAATTAGTTCAACCATTGTGGAAAGCAGTATGGTGATTCCTCAAGGAGCTGAAAGCAGAACCATCATTCAACCCATCCAACCCATTACTGCTTATATACCCAGAATAATATAAAGCATTCTACCATGAAGACACATACACGCAAATGATCACTGCAACACTGTTCACAATAGCAAAGACATAGAATCAACCTAAATGCCTGTCAATAACAGACTGGATAAAGACAATGTGCTACATATACACCATAAAATATTATGCAGCCACAAAAAAAGAACGAGATTATGTCTTTTTCAAGAACATGGATGGAGCTAGAGGCTATTACCCTTAGCAAATTGATGCAGAAACAGAAAACCAAATACTAAATGTTCTCACTTATAAGTGGGAATTAAATGATAAGAACTTATAAACACAAAGAAGAAAACAGCAGACATTGGGGTCTACTTGAGGGGGGAAGGTGAGAGGAGGGAGAGAAGCAGAAAAGGTAACTATTGGGTACTGAGCTTAATACCTGGGCAATGTAGCAATAAACTCTCGTGATATGTGTTTATCTATGTAACAAACCTCCACATGTACCCCCAAACCTAAAATAAAAATTAAAAGAAAAGAAAGATCTGAAAAAAATACAACATAATGTTGGGGTTTGAAAAAGCTGAATGGCGCATACACACTGCTCATCATGTTATTCCCAATCCTTATCTACCTGAAATATTATACAATTTAAAAAGCGTTAAAAGAATAGAAAGAAAAAATATTCACTAAAGTTGAGAGGTTTCTCGGTATTATTTTAAATAAATCTTGCTGGATCACAATGGTTTCATGGGAGATACAGAATATCTGTGTCATAAAGTCACATGGAAACATGAAAAATTACATAACTGGCTAAGGAGTTTTCACTTAATCAGATCAGCTAATGAGGCTGCTTTTGGGGTCTTGAGCAGGGGGTTATATGAGTGCTTCTACGCTGTAAGAAGATGAGTCTAGCTGGGTTGTGTGGGGAGGTACAGAGGAAGCAGGAGGAAGTGGGGAGTTGGAAAGTCTTCCTAGTGAGCAGCCATGAAACCTCCAAGAGGCAGCAGCCATGAGAAGGAAAGTAAACAAGAGATTTGCACAATCACATCCTATTTCACATTTAGACATCATTAATTAATTTGGAATCAATTCAATGAGGGCAATGGATAAGAGAGAGGAGTCAAAACTGGTTTCTGAATACAGCTGCCTAGATAATTATGGAAGCTGGTGTGATTAACCAAAGCAAAGACCTCAAAAATAGGAGGTGGCTGTGGGAGATTTTGATTTTGATTCTAGTGTTAACCATATTGCATTTGATGCACTAGTGGGACCTCCATGAAGAGAAAACAAGCAGGCAGTTGCACAGAGAAATCTGGAGTTTGATGAGGAGAGGTTAGGAGGATGTCTTGGGAAGTCAACTGCAGAGAGGTGGTAGGTGAAAACATGAGAATGCTAAGTTAGGAGCTTCAGACATGGTGGAAGACATGGAGCAGGAGCAGAGGAGAAAAACATGGGAGAATCATTAGGTTTTAAGCTCCATCCCCTCTTAGTGCACAGCAGGTTGGCCCCTGGCATCTCTTAGCCAGGACAGACAATGAATGAAGGCATCAAGCATTGGTCTACTCCCTGTGTTCCCACTGCTGGCTCCATCTTGTATGGTAAGAACCTGAGGTGCATATGTGTGGACACCCCACCCCTCATGTCCAAGCTCCATCCTTCCAACACACACACACACACAGACACACACACACCAGTCACCCCAGGCCACCTCTAAACCACCCCTCAGGAGGATGGATGAGGAAAGAGGCCTTCACAAGCCCTGGAAGAAGTACTATGGTCTTTTGGACAGGAATTCTGTAGTCCTAGGACTCACATTACAGGGCGATTGGGCATGAGCTCTGGGTGGACACTTATTGCCACAAGCACCTTTTGCCCCATGGGTTAGAGTCTGTGATGGTTAACATTATGTGTTATCTTGAGTGGCCACAGAATGCCCAGATTAAACAGTCTTTCTGGATGTGTCTGGGAGGGAGTTTCTGGATGAGGTCAGCATTTGAATGGGTGGACTCAGTAGCTTCCCCTCCCCGGCATGGGTAGGAATCATCCAAACCGTGAGGTCCTGAAGAGGACAAAAGGCAGAGGAGGAGGAATTTGCCCTTTTTTCCTGTCTGCTTACCTGGGACATCTCATCTTATCTTCTCTGCTCCTCAGACTGGTATTTACACCATCAGCTCTCCCGGATCTCAGGCCTTCAGACTTGGACTGAATTATACATCAGCTTTCCTAGGTTTCCAACTTGCAGATGGAAGATCATGGGACTTTTCAGTCTCCACAATGGCTAACAAAGTGTGTGTGTGTGTGCGTGTGTGTGTGTGCACGTGCATGTGTACACACACATATACTTATATATGTGTGTCACATATATATCACTGCGTGTATGTATATATATGTGTGTGTAGACACACAGGTTTTATATATATACTATATATATATAATAACATATAAAATATATTTTTATGTATATTTTATAGAATACATTTTATATTTATATATTGCATATAAAATATATTTATGTGTATAAAATATACATGTATACACACAGATTATATATATATGATATATATATGTATTATATATATAATCTGATTCTGTGTCTCTAGGGAACCCTGACTTAATACAGGGGTCCAAGCAGACGAGGGTCCAAGCAGCATCCTCTAAAGCAGGCATCTGGAACAGACACCTATTTGCCCAGGTCTAAGGCTAGTACTCCTCCACAGCCAATGCAGTGCTACCTTCATAGACTGTGTCTATGCTGCATCTTATATCACTTTCAACCCTTCCGTTCCTGCTTGGGTCTGCAGGAACATAAGCTGGAGCTCTGGTGGGACAGTAGGAAAAGAATAGAGATTCCAGGGCACCAGTAACTCATTAACCCTCTATACTTCTCTGTAAGTGAAGGAGAATGAATATTTGTTGATCATTCACTCAATAGCACTCTGGGCTTGGAAGGCAAAGGATAGTTCCCTCCTCTCAGGGCTAGTGCGAGACCTACAGCTAGTTTTCTCCAGGGGCCTCTTCCTCCATGGGAATCCCTGAGCTATTCTAAGCTAGCAGCTTCCCAGTCTTAGACATGAGCTTGCAGCCTACACAACAGAAGCTGGAGGTCTCAGTTCCAGACAGCCTAAAGTAAGCAATAAAAACAACCAGAGTGTTTTTCAAATTAAAAATTTTTGATGAGTAACCAATACTTATTACTGGTTTAATATACTGTTTAGACTTAAGCAAGAAAATTCACACCAAAAGGAAAACAGAAACATCTTTTCTATTCCATCACATGTCTTCGTAAAAGAATAAAATTAATGATCTTGGAAATGTATGTAAAAAAATAAAAATACACTAAACTTCTTTCCAAGAGTTATTTGTGGCTCAAGATACTAAAATTCTAATTTTTCTGTGCTGATGAAATGGAATATTTTCTCTATCATTATTCAAGTTTATGCTGCAATAGTAAGATACAGTATCTTACATTTTGAAGCTATGAGAAATTTTTTGGCAAAGACTCTTTGATGCAGATTATCCCACAACATAAATCAGAGCTGGTTAAACACACAAGAAACAGAGATGGCAATACAAGTAATTTTACAATTTGCTACACACAGTAGTAAGAAAAACAGGAAGTAGGTGTTTATTAGCAGTTCCAAATATACCAGCCAAAATACAACTCCCCATGGAGTCTGAGTTATTCAAAATATAGCAAAGAACAGAATTCCTACGATTATAAAAGGGTAATTAATCACAAGCAGTGTTCACAGACCAGTGACTTGGAAACTACCTTCTTATTGAAGATCTGGATCAAGAACAAACTTCAAAGCAAAATTAATTGATCTCAGATTCACTGCATCTGGCCAATAAACCCTCCCACGAAATGTCACTTTAAGCCCACTTGACAGTCTATCTTTATTACATAACAATTCTATATAGGGTGCATTAAATAGTCATTTTTCACCTACTTGGCTAGTATATCATTGCCTGCCCATATAAGCTGTTCGTGTTAAGAACACCACCTCGCACTGATACTCTGTTAACTGCATTCATAGGTCAGGCATATTGTTTAGGCTTGTTTCATAGGAACACACACTCCCCACGAAGCAGATTCACAAACTGGGAGGTCCCACTTCCTTGGACATCTAACATAACCTAGTAACTTCTAAACCTTGTCTTGGATAGAGTAATCTCTTTAAATATATGTTCCAATAGTTTCTGAATTAGGACAAAGGACCTTTAATATTAGTGGTAGTGACTCAAAAATGCATATTTTAAAATACATGAAACATAAATATACTTTAATTTTTTCAGAAGTAATGTAAGAGGGTTAAATGCAAATTCTGATTTGGTCTCATCAACTATTAGCTTATAGCTGATAAGATTGTGAAATTATGATTAAAAGTCCTAGGAACTTCTGGCAATAATAATTATTTGTGACAGTGAATGTGAACAAATTTCTTAACTCTTCTGTGATTCAGTGTCTCCCCTATAAGCTAAAGAAATTTGATGTTTGGCTCAGCTACTTCAAAAACTCATTAGAATGACTGTAATGACTCAACTATTTGTAAACTACCATTAGGTCCTCTGATTGAAGCTACTTTGAAAATGCAAAGAATTAGCAAACTAAATTATTTGTTTCAGTCGTGGAAATGGAAGAAATCAAGTAAGGGAACCTATGTGGATATTTAATTGGACTGGTTTGCAGGCATCTTATATCAGTCTATGTGCTCTTAGGAGTTTAGACTTACTAAGGAGAAGGATGAGAGTTCTTTGATAACAGCTCCATCACTAGAAGTGACAAATTAGCAATAGGCTAATTAGAGACAAATTTGCTCTTGTGCTCCAAGATGCATGAGACCTTCATGCTTCTTCCCTGATATGTGAAGACCAACCTCAGGAAAAGCCAGGTGACCAGCTTATTATCAGTTGGCCTCACTGTTTTTGTGGTTGGCCTTTTGTAATCAGCATGACAGAAAAAAAAAATTAAGGGAGAAGAAAGTAATTAAAATTAAATTTGAAATTAAAAATTAAGGGAGAGAGAGGGAGAAAGGGAGGGAGGGAGAGAGGAACATGTTGACATAATTCTCCCTTCTCTGCTCAGACAGTCAATAGGTGGTGTATCGGGATGGCTGTATGTTCACACAGATTGTTTCCTTCTCCAGGGTAAACAGCTTCCCATGTGACTAAGTTCTGGACAACAAAATGTGGCAGAAGCAAAGATTGCCACTCCTAGGCCTGGCTCCAAAACATGCCAATTAATCCTCCCTCTTTGTTTATCCCACCAGAGGGACCGCAGAGAAAGCCCAGGGAAGAGCCAAGGCCCTTGAGAGAAGGAGCTGGATCCCAGAATCTATGGAATTGAAGGAGAGTCCCACAGAAGTTACCTTCTGAGCACGCAATGGACTTTGTGTAAGCAGAAGAATAAACTTTTACCATGGTAAGCCACTGAGATTTGGGGGTTTGTTTGTTATAGCATCATGTAGCCTACCATATCTAATATAGACCAGTAAAGATAGACTCACTCAAATCAGTTCTCTTCAGCCAATCAACTCTAGGCTCCGAGGCATCTGGATAAGTTGGAAAAATGCCTTTCTTGTTCCCTCCCTTGTTTTTCTGGCACGTCAAACTTCCTGCTGACCAGCTCAACCGGTGGTGGCAGCCAGAGCCATAGCCTCCTCCTGGAACTTCTGAAATAAAGAAGGTCACAGATGTTCTCTGCAGGTCACACCCTGAAAATTTGCTCTATACTGGCTGGGATGCAAGGCCCATTTTTTCTTATTTCCCAGAATGATATCAGGCCTCTGTTCTTCACCCCTCCATGAGTTATAATTAAATCTATTTATGCCCAATGTGAGCAAGCCAAATCCAGAAGTCAGGGACTGCTGCCTGTTAGGATCATTCTCAGAGCATGGCCCAGTTGGTCCCCATGTTGATCACTGGACAGAAAGACCCACATAAAAGTATTTTACACTTGCTTCATTCATTCAGATAAATTAAACACAAACAGTCACCCCAAGGAGATTTCTAGCATGCTGCAGCTAACGAAAGGACTCATGTACCTGCTCAGACAAGGCTACAGAAGGCCAAGCGAGACCCTCTGTACAGAGAACCTCATGACTTTGCCTTGCATCTCTCAACATCTAGCCTAGTCACAAAGTGATATAAACCAAAAGAATTCATGAATATTCATGAATATGTACTGAAAATAACTTTCCCACAATCATTTTTTTTGTTGAGGTGTTTCCCCCAATACAGCCTCTGTTGTTTTCAGCTATGCTAGAGCTGTAAACTAGCAGACTGGGGCCACATCTGGACCACAGATATGTTTGTCTGGTCCTCACAGTGTTTTAAAAATAGCAATAGCAACATAAAATTTTTAAATGACATTTTTTGGTAATGAGATTTCACACAAAAGTCTAGATTTCTGGCTCCTCTTACAAAATAGGAAGATTGAGCAATACTGGACCAATGTTCTCCTCCTGGTGATACTCCCTTGGAACTAAGTTTCTGCTGCCCCTTGAAAGGGGGCCCACACTGCTCCTTAGCCCCCAACTTGTACACCACTCACCACACTGGCCACTCTACTTGCCTGTATTTTCTGCCTGACCTGGAAGGCGTTTGACTTACTACTTGGACAATACTTTTATTCATTTATGCCGCATACTTTTTCTCATTGCTAGCTATGTCCCAAGTACTGCACTAGATATGAGTGGTCCTTTCTCAAAGGGACAAGCATTTAGAAGAACAAGGCATGAGCAGGAAAGGACCTTCTTTCATCATGAGTGGCCTCTGCCCTCTCTTCTGCTGGGCATGGAGTGGAAAAGCCTGGAAAGCAGGAAGTCTTCCACTGGCCCTGGTTACTGTGTAGGTAGGCTTAGTAGTCTTGCTGTCACCAGGGTAGCAATCTCATCAAGGGAAGGGGCACTGAGCACATAGTCTCAACCTCCCCTTGCAAAACGTGGAGGAGTTCCTTTCTGGGCTTTGTCTGTGACTACTGCAATTCTCAGTCACCTTGGCTGGTGTCTGTGTTGGAAGGAAACTCCCCGAAGAATAGCAAACATCTTCAGTCTGACTCAAGCTTTGGCTCTCCTGATCTTCCCCCTGTACCCTGTCCATTAAAGAAAACCTATGTGATAGGGTGTCTGAAGATGGCACTTTGAATTCGAGGACCTGGACTGACCTTCTGTTGCTGAGGGTCACAGTCCCTGGGTTTCTTTTTGGTTTGTTCTTGGTTTATAATTTATGTTTTATTTTCTTG
Source organism: Homo sapiens (assembly GCF_000001405.40). Taxonomy (NCBI): domain Eukaryota; kingdom Metazoa; phylum Chordata; class Mammalia; order Primates; family Hominidae; genus Homo; species Homo sapiens. The sequence continues at coordinate 53,876,477 of NC_000014.9, forward strand.
AAACCTTTTGTCTTTCTCCTTTTGTTTTCTTTTTCCTCCTCCTCCTTGTTATTATTGTTAAGTGTTTTTTAGCTTCTGAAGATAGAATTTCAATTGTTCTTATTTGCTAATTGATAACTGTTTCAATGCTTACATAGGAACTCCAGGAAATACGAATCATGTCTGTCTGGCCACTGCCTGACCCATAATCGATGGGTCCTGTCCTACGTATGAGTGAAAAACATGAAGACCTAGTGGCATATTACAGTGAGAAATAAACTTCTTGTCAATATGTGGGGACATATAAGAGCACTTCCTTTTCTCCCTGTAAAGTCCGAAATACAAGCACATAGAGGTTTCATCGATGCTAGTCTACTTTTATGAGGCTCAAAATTTATGGTCTCTCACTTGCCCCAAGATTACCAAAATTCAGTATAAACTCACCTAGAAGCTGGTGCTGTGTCTGAGTTTCAGCATTTCCGATGAGACAGATAGGAGAACTACAAACCACCACTCAAGGAAATAAGAGAGGACACAAACAAATGGAAAAATATTCCACGCTCATGGATAGGAAGAATCAATATCATGAAAATGGCCATACTGCCCGAAGTAATTTATAGGTACAATGCTATCCCCATCAAGCTACCATTGACTTTCTTCACAGAATTAGAAAAAAAACTGCTGTAATTTCATATGGAACCAAAAAAGAGCCCATATAGCCAAGACAATCCTAAGCAAAAAGAACAAAGCTGGAGGCATCACACTACCTGACTTCAAACTATACTACAAGGCTACAGTAACCAAAAGAGCATGGTACTGGCACCAAAACAGATATACAGACCAATGGAACAGAACAGAAGCCTCAGAAATAACACCACACATCTACAACCATCTGATCTTTGACAAACCTGACAAAAACAAGCAATGGGGAAAGGATTCCCTATTTAATAAATGGTGTTAGGAAAACTGGCTAGCCATATACCGAAAACTGAAACTGGACCCCTTCCTTACACCTTATACAAAAATTAACTCAAGATGGATTAAAGACTTAAATGTAAGACCTAAAACCATAAAAACCCTAGAAGAAAACCTAGGCAATACCATTCAGGACATAGGCATGAGTAAAGACTTCATGACTACAAAACTAAAAGCAATGGCAACAAAAGCCAAAATTGACAATTGGGATCTAATTAAACTAAAGATCTTCTGCACAGCAAAAGAAACTATCATCAGAGTGAACAGGCAACCTACAGAATGGGAGAAAAATTTTGCAATCTATCTATCTGACAAAGAGCTAATATCCAGAATCTACAAAGAATTTAAACAAATTTACAAGGAAGAAACCAAACAGCCCCATAAAAAAGTGGAAGAAGGATATGAACAGATGCTTCTCAAAAGAAGACCTTAATGAAGCCAACAAACATATGAAAAAAAGCTCGTCATCACTGGTCATTAGAGAAATGCAAATCAAAACCACAATGAGTTACCATCTCACGCCAGTTAGAATGATGATCATTAAAAAGTCAGGAAACAACAGATGCTGGAGAGGATGTGGAGAAATAGGAATGCTTTTACACTGTTGGTGGGAGTGTAAATTAGTTCCACCGTTGTGGAAGACAGTGTGGCCATTCCTCAAAGATCTAGAACTAGAAATACCATTTGACCCAGCAATCCCATTACTGGGTATATACCCAAAGGATTATAAATCATTCTGCTATAAAGACACATGCACACGTATGTTTATTGTGTCACTGTTCACAATAGCAAAGACTTGGAACCAACCCAAATGCCCATCAGTGATAGACTGGATAAAGAAAATGTGGCACATATACACCATGGAATACTATGCAGCCATAAAAAAGGATGAGTTCATGTCCTTTGCAGGGACATAGATGAAGCTGGAAACCATCATTCTCAGCAAATTAGCACAGGAACAGAAAACCAAACACCACATGTTCTCACTCATAAGTGGGAGTTGAACAATGAGAACACATGGACACAGGGTGGGGAACATCACACACTGGGGCCTGTTGTGGGGTGGGGGGCTAGGGGAGGGATAGCATTAGGATAAATACCTAATGTAGATGACGGGTTGATGGGTGCAGCAAACCACCATGGCACGTGTGTACCTATGTAACAAACCTGCCCATTCTGCACATGTATCCCAGAACTTAAAGTATAATTAAAAATAAATAAATAAATAAAAATTTTTATTTTTAAAACACTATTCTGAATGCTGTGGAGAATATATGGAGTTGGGTGTAAATGGAAGGCATGAGAAAGGATGTGGAAATGCTGGTTAGAAGGCTGTAATGGCAGTCCAGATGCTACTAACCCAGGTGTGGTTAAGAGTTAGCAAGAATTTTAAGTTTCCAAATCTACCCTTATCTTCTATTAAATGTATTTCCATTAAATGTGCTTACTTTATTAAAAAAAGAAAAAAGAAGAAGAAGAAAGAAAGAAAGAAAGAAAGAAAGAAAAAGAAAAGAAATCATCTTGTGCACGTGAGGCCAGACTCTCGCTCTCCACAGCAAACTGCAAGCCCAAAATCCTTTTTCTCCTAACTTCATTCAAAAAAATAAAAAAGAAATTTGGAGGAGACTGGGTCTGTGTCTGAGTGTAACTTACTCCTATTTAGGAATTGAGCAATGTTCTCTCTGAGCCTCCTCACCTCAGTTGTGTTTTTATTAAGTGTGTGCCTCCAGAGAAATACTAGATGTCTTTGCCTTTATTTTAGTGGTTTACATGATGCTGGGCTACGGGCAGGGAGGTGAACTCACTTGACCTCAGGCATCACGTGACTGATATTGCTTTGGTTCAATTGTTGTCTGGGAGGGATTAGGGATTGGGTGTGACATAACAATATTAATGAAAACAATGGCCATTTAGTTTATATAGATTCTTTCTTCCTGTGATTTCAAAGCAAATTTCAGGCTTAATACAAATGACATTGGAAAGGAACAAGTTGAAGACTTGGCAACGGTATCTTGCAAGAGAATTCATTCAGTAAGCACGCCCAAGCACCCACCACCCTCGGGATGTTGTGGTGCACGGAACAGTCACAGACCTGCCTTCTCAGGGCTCACCATTCTGTGTTCTTTCTGGTGACACTCACTTTTCCTACATTGGTTTTTTTTTTTCCCCAGTCAGGTATTATGAGTTTCGTACAACATCAGACTCAGCGATCTATATTCTTTAGTAGATCATTTCCAGTTTCCTCAACAGAGTTTGTCAGAGAAGCCTGGGTCTCAGCTCAACGAAGGCATGCTCTTGGAAAAAAAAAAAAAAAAATCAAATTAGTTCCAAAAAAAAAAAAAGTCTTTCGGGACCAGAGTCAGTCAATAATACTTAGTGGGGATGAGAGGGGCACATAGGGAAAGGGGTTACGTATTTACAAAGCCCTTTCTCTTATCAGGCACTCAGTTAAGGACTGGGAGAGTCAGTCTGTGTAACGCTGAAGCCCACCCCGAGTGGGACCTTCCGGAACCACCCTCTGCCTAGTGCGATTACCTCACTTCCCTAGGATGTCTGCTCATTTGCTGTTCCCAGCATCATTTCTATATGAGCACCTTCCAGCCAAGTCAATTAAAAAAAAAACAAAAAAACTCATTTCCCATCTTTGAATGAATCCTGAGAACCATCAAATGCTAATGTTAAACACAGTGGAGCTGCAAATGTTTTAAGGGGGCAGATTGGGAAGTGAGGAAGTAAGGGTTAGCCATTAAGAGTAGACTCAGAAGTTGGGGGGTCATGACGACTTTGAGATGTGGCTCATTTACACAAACCAAAACACGAATCTGCTAAACACATCTGGGAGGAAAATAAGACGTGAAAGGCAGAGGAGGGCACAGAGAACAATAAAGGAGGGCTCTGTGGGTATTTTGCCCTTTCTGTTAGTTGAAAAGGGCACAAGTATGTAAAAATATATAACTCAAAGACCCCAAGAATTTGTTACCTTTAAGTTCAAGTGACCCTTCAACAGATTTTGCTGAGATTCTCTAAGGATTTATGCCTGTGCTCCACGAGGAACAAAAATGTTAATCCTGCTATATGAACCAGCGAAATATTTGTTCGGCATTTTCCTCCGTAACTGACTTGTAGACACCCCACCTCCCCATCCCAAGCCCCATTGTTTTTGCTTCTTTAGGCTTCTGCAGCCAAATATCTAGAGTCCCATCTCAAAACTCAGAGAGGAGTCCCCTCTCTAGTCTATATGTGGTCAGATCAACTATTTGGGAAAAAGTAATCACTTTTCAGAAATTCTCCACGTTTTAACCTATTATATTTAGAAAAGAGGCAATAAGAAAATTTCCAACAGCTCATGAGATCCAAACATTTTTCTTTCTTCACTGTTAAAGATTTATTTCAACCTGTTTTACGCAAAGATGAGTATTAAGAATCACAAAAACCTATCACTTCCTTAAATACCAAAAATTATTTTTCAATCCCCAACCTCCACTATGACATAATCTATATAAAAGGAAGGCAAGCCAAAGACATTCCAGAGGAAAAGTTAGCTCTGCACTTTTAATTATCTTCTGGTATTTCCTTTTTTTTTTCCCTTAAAAGGCTTAAATAAACTCACCAGTGTTTAATTTTTCTAGTGTTTCTCAAAATTATTGCTACAGCTTATTAAAATTGGGTAACATAATTTCTGTTCCCAGTTCTTCTCTGTGTCATCCAAATCCAACAAGAAATAAATAGTGTTGCTCTGAACAGAATTTTTTACAATGGATTGAATTTCATCTAAAAGCATGTAATTCTGCATAGCCAGAAGCAGTTTCTAATCTTTATATATAGGAACTTACAAGGGAAAGAATTCAAAGCCATGGGATTAAGTGAAAAATGTGAATGAAGAACCACAAGCCCCTGCTCAGCTGACACCAGAAAAGCTCTGTAATGTTTTCTGAGTTAATCATTGCTACGGGTGGGAAAAATTGTGGAATATGCCTAATAGGTCTTGTAGGTCATTATTTACTGAAATGCTACATTGGGTGGTTATTTCTTTTTAAATACTAATAACCTAGAAAGCCTGGCCTCATTCAGCAAGAGGGTCAGCACAGAGGCATCTGATTAGTGTCAAAAATGACTGCCTCTCTTTAGTAAAGGAATTTCCTAAAGGAAACATAATTCACAATGACAAATGTTGGCATTTTTAGAATTACAAACATTACCTACAACTTGAATTCAGGTTATGAACCCACTGGACAAAGTTCAGTGATTGTTTAGTAGCTAGCAGATGAGTTCCAGTTTAAAAAAAATGAGCACGTACGTAAAACTATAAATAAAGATAACAAAAGTCTCTAATACTCAAAATGAAAAGCAGTTTTGAGTTGTTTCCCAGTGTATATCTGAACTGACTCTTTCGGCTGTACTTTCTCAAACTTAATGAAAACTGGTAGTAGAAGGAGGGAAATGTCTGACACTGGCGAATAAAATTTTCCCATTCTAATTACTCATTTATTAAGCATATGAATTCAATTTCTTAGCTGCTTTTAGTTTGAGGGACATAAAAGTGTTGGTGTCCATTTCAAGATGATAAACTCGCCACTAATATGGTCACATGGCTGGGACCGGCTTGCTGCTCAACATTTTCTTCTTAAACAAAGACATACACAATAAGAAAATTACTTTAAAAACCATTACTTATATGTTTATAATTAACTTATTAGTAGACGTTACTGAAGAAAGAAACCCTTTGAAGTTCTCCTCAAGCATCTTTAGAGTCATCTGAGTGTCAACACACTCTATTTATGACACTCGTAATTTTAGAGGTACATTGTACACATGTAACATGCACAGGGTGTCTGCTGGCTTAAATACGTTCCTCTGGTAGATGATTATTTTACACATTGTCTGATATTGTAGATACAATGAACTATGTGGTTCAGAAAATTGTATGCATCTTTTTTTCTTAATGTAAGAAAAATTTAAAATAGAACATATGAAATATTAATTGCAAACACAACACTTATAACTCCTATTTTATTATATATTGTGCATTTCTAATTGATATTTCAGCTAAAAAGCACCTTTGTGTGATATACTTTGTGCTCAGTATATTAATCAATTTTTATTTACTGTACAACTTCAAAACTATCTTAATATAATTTTTTTAACCAGAAAGGAATTTGAAATCTGAAAGATGGTTCTAAATATTTTATGTCTGCAACAATACAAAAGGGGAAGTTTTAATTCTTAAAACTCAAGAAACTATTGTAACTGAAATGAGAAACAGATAGATACTGTACATCAAACTTGTTCTCACAGGTGTGCTTTCTTAATGTTAAAATACCCGTGTGAATTTTTAGTTTCCCATAATGTAATGGGAGACAATAAATTCTGAAGTTACCCCATTTGCCTTTAGCCCTAACCACAGAAGAAGTAACCTCTTGTCTATTTAGATTTTCTGAGTATACCCACGTCCTTCTGTGTGTCATAGCAAAGCAAAGGTTTGTGTTGCGAGCCAGAGCTTATTGCAAGATCAAAGCTCTGGGCCACTCACAATAAAATAAGAGGGTAAAGCCCAAAGAATCAAAGAAACAAAGGAAACGTTTAGGAGATAAGGATCAGTCTCAGATATATGACATTTCATCCAGATCAGATCCTGTGCAGAAGTTCAATTCAAAGTTCATAAGACAAAAATACAAAGCAATAAGTTTGAAGACTTGGTTGATTCCCTTTATCTGCATGTCACTGATTCTGATTTTATTTCCATTTTTTAGAATCGGAGAATGCCATTTGCTGAATAATGGAACTCATCTCATGTTTTAAAATCCTATGTGCATATAAGGTTGTGTGCGGATACAAGGTTATTTTTTTCATTGAAGTACCTCCAACCTAAAGCTCAGAAACAGGTGTGATATAGCACTCCTATAAAAGGTAAAAAAAAAAGAGTTTAACTAAAATTCCATTCTCTGATTATTTTGCTCTATTGGGTTAATACTAATGGAAGTCTTTACAAAATGTTAAATACAATTTTTTAAGATAAATACAAAAATGACATATGCTTATGTCAAAATGACAAGTACTTAAATTTCAAATTTTCACAGGAAATAAAATATAGATAAATATGCTTTGGGAAGGTATTTCAAATACTGTATTATGTCAACTGATTTAATGGCTTACTGAATGAGTCACTTGAACACAGTTCTAAAGCATGTTAATTCTGTTCTAGAAGTTCAAAATATGTTTTTAGAATGTATAATTTTGATTATTTTACTGTATACCCAAATATTAAAATATTCTGAGCTGCATGTGAACAATAAAAAGTCATTTCACAAAATTTGGAAAAATCTTTCCAAGTCATTGTTTTTCAAGATTCTATATAGCTTTATGAAACAGAGTACTTCAATTATTTTTCATCTTACACAATTAAATCAACTTGAGGCCAGGTGTAGTGGCTCACATCTGTAATCCCAGCACTTTGGGCAATGTAGGAGGATCATTTGAAACTAGGAGTTGGAGAACAGCCTGGGCAACATAGCAAGACCCCATCTCTACAGATTTTTTTTTCATTAGTCAGGCGTGGCAGCACATGCCTGTAGTCCTAGCTACTCCAGAGGCTGAGGAAGGAGTATCGTTTAAACCGAGGAGTTCAAGACTGCAATGAGCTATGATTGTAGCATTGTACTCTAGCGTGAGCAACAGAATGAGACCCAGTCACTAAAATATTAATAATAATAATAAATACATAAATTTGAAAAGCTTAAAAGGTACATTTTATATTATTTTAAATGTATTTAAATAGCGTTAAATTTCATAGTTAAGTTTATGATTTAACAATCTTAGGTCGATTATAGAATAACATTTATAATCATTCAAATACAATTTTCTAATGGAATTTACATTGTCTCACAATTACAGCTGTGTAAATTGTTTTAATGTCTGGTATTAGTACAGGATTTCCATACCCAACAATGCAAAAAAAAAATCAAAGAATTCTGGTCTAAAATCAGTGCATACTGGACCCAAAGCATAGGCATAAAATTATTGTCCAGCTTAGAATATTTTGATCTGGGGCCTTAGATATTCCAATAAGTATTTTACAAATATCTCTTTGGTAACTCTGATATTTTATTAGTTTCAAAGAGGAAACTTTTACATAAAAAGCTAGTGTTGTCTGAATTGCCTATACAATCAAGGTATTGATCACAGCTATTGTTTATTGAATCACCGATTGTTGACAACCTGGCATGTACTGTGGTAAGGCTTTTGCACTGGTAAGCTCTAGTTGTAGGACAAACCTGAAGAGTGATCATGTTGCACCTAGTCTATAGATGAGATAAACTAAGTCCCAGAGAGATTTGATGATTCCTGGAATTACATGCTGGGCTTTGGCAGAGCTCCAGTTTTTTTCTATTCAAAAGTAGGGTTTCCTTCTCCATAATGTCACTACTCATGAAGAGTCTAAGAGTTTATGTCACTCTATGAACATAAACAATATAGGAGTTTCTGCTTTAGATACTCTGTTTCTTCTTAGATTAATGGTATTTTTTTTTCAAAAAAAAGAGTTATAGTAGAGACTAGCAGTAAAGATACAGACTCATGTCAAATTTATGTCTAAAACATTTATTGTAACTATTTGGAAGGCTATTTTATATGTAATTAGAAGGTTAACCAAACTCTCAGGAAGTCCATTACTGTATTAAGATAACCTCTTACAAACTCTCACCAAGTAAAACATGCACATACAGAAAGTTGCCAATAAAAAAAAACACACAAAAACCAAGTAGAGCTCAAACACTTCATTTGATTAAAAGTTTTCTTAACTAACTGGAATGTTTCCTTAGATTTTCTCTTTGGAATCTAAAGCTATATTATGAAATTGCTTTTCAATTCCCCATACGGTGATTATTTAATCATGCCTTTACCAGCTGTGAACATAGCTTCTCTCTGATAACAGTTTATTTTTAAAGGAAATTGTCTTTGAAGAAAATATTTTGATACTATGCAGCAAAATAAGAGTTCATTGGAAGAAAAAAAAAACAAAGATCACAAAAAGAATGACTTCTAGTTGGTCTGTGGGGGAAAAGGAGGAATAGCAGCTACATAAAGATAAAACAAAACCAGCCACTCACATGGGAGGAAACAATTGGCTTGTTCCACATAAACAAAACTGACTGGCAGCTCCTTTTTGCCATGTTCCACTGGGTGCCTTGATGTCTTTTAAACACAGTCAAATATCCAGACTCTGTGTCCTCTTTTTCTTTCACGACTCCCTCTCGGACCTCAATCCTGTCTTAAGTATGCCATATTGTGCCAGTGAACCTCAGATCTTACATATTTGAAAAGCTTCACTTTTAGGGATATAAATAGAGAAACCTCAACTTTGTCAGGAAACTGGCAGAAATCAGGTATAGGGGGACTCCCCAAGGCAGCAAAGGAACGGAAAAGTGGAGAGACAAAAATAAAGGAATTACTCTTCTTCTGTTCCCGTGTGCACACTCACTAGAACCATGGAATGGGGAAAAGTGGAAAGAAAAAGGCATTGACCAAGAAGAGGATGGGACCCCCATGTCGGGGAGTACAGAGGAAAGGAGACTTCTGCCAAGGTTGTAAGGCATTTTGGACTAGATCATTCTCTGCTCTAGGGGCTGTCCTACGCATTGTAACGTGTTTAGCAGCATTGCTGTCCCCTACCCCTCAGGTGTCATTATCACCTCGATCCTCAACCCTCATCCCACTCCACCCCCTCACTGTGACAAACAAAATTGTCTCTAGACATTGCCAAATGTGCCCTGGTGGGACCAAATCACCCCACTGAGAACCACTGCTACCAGTATGGAGAGGTGCAGAGCCAATCAGAAGTCAGTATCATCTCTTCAGCATCATTTCTTTGGTGTCCTGTCCCCAGCCCAAGAGACTGTCTCATTCTCATTCAACATTTATTAAGCATCTACTTTATTTCAGGTTCTGGGCTGGGTGCTGGGAATTCTGAGTTGATAAAGAAAGACCGTATCCTTGCCTTCAGAGAAGCTACAATTTAGGAGAGACAGAAGAGTGAGAAATGCAACAGATAATCTTGCAAAGAGTGGGAACATAATGTAAACAAGGGGAAAACTGAAAATATTAACCATTGAACCTAAATGGACAGTGGCCAAAGTGCTCAAAAAGGGTTTAGGAAGCCTCCTGCTATTGCAGGTGATAACCCTTTAATTGCTGAATCATTGGGAGGTTCTGGAGGGAAGTCCCTGAGGCTGGCACTCCAGGGCCTGTGAAAATATTATATTATTTCACAACCTTTCTGGTTGTACTAGAAAATAGTCTGTAGATCCCACCCAAGCTAGCACAGAAGCAAAAACGAGATGAAAGTGGAAATAATGGCTTAGCGATAGAGATAATGCTTGGGCTGGGTCTCAAAGCGTAAGAGTTTATCTGGTGTACAAAAAGATGAAGGGGAGAGGAAACAGTATGCAGAGAAACATGGAGGTGATAATCACGAGAGAATGAAGAGACACTCTAAGAGAGCTGGTGTGCCAAGAGCTTAGACTACAGGGCATGGGGAGGGAAAAGATGGGTCTAGGGAGGTAGACTAAGCATGGAAAGTCTTGAATGGACTTTATCCTCTAGGTGATGAAAACTGCTGGACAGTTTTAAACAAAAGAGGAACAAGATTATTATGGCAGGAGTTTGGCAAATAGACTTAAAAAGTAAGGAGGGATTGGATAAGTACAGAGAAGAGGGATCTATTAGAAGCTAGGGACTAAGCACAGAAAAGACATTAGAAGGTAAAATCAGCCGGCCTCCCTGAGTCATGCCTGTAATCGCAGCACTTTGGGAGGCCACAGGTCACCTGAGGTCAGGAGCTCGAGACCAGCCTGACCAACATAGAGAAACCCCTTCTCTACTAAAAACACAAAATTAGCTGGGCGTGGTGGTGAATGCCTGTAATCCCAGCTACTCGGGAGGCTGAGGCAGGAGAATCGCTTGAACCCAGGAGGCGGAGGTTGCTGTGAGCCGAGATTGTGCCATTGCACTCCAGCCTGGGTAAAAAGAGCAAAACTCTGTCTCAAAAAAAAAAAAAAAAAAAAAAAAAAAAAAAAGGTAAAATCAACAGGAACGGGTGTTCAGTTCAATGTAGGAGGCATTACAGAAAGAAGAAAACAAACCTTAACAAAGGATTCCTTACACTGGCCTCATTGTGCTACTTCAGACAGTGATGAATTTATAACTGCCAAATTGAGACACACACAAAACCACCATATCTACATCAAATGTACTATGATTACACTTGGAGGTTTGAGCTTAATAAGAAAATACTGGCTGTCCATCCCATTACTGGGCGTATACCCAAAGGATTATAAATCATGCTGCTATAAAGACACATGCACACGTATGTTTATTGTGGCACTATTCACAATAGCAAAGACTTGGAACCAACCCAAATGTCCATCAATGATAGACTGGATTAAGAAAATGTGGCACATATACACCATGGAATACTATGCAGCCATAAAAAGGATGAGTTCATGTCCTTTGTAGGGACATGGATGAAGCTAGAAACCATCATTCTGAGCAAACTGTCACAAGGACAGAAAACCAAACACCGCATGTTCTCACTCATAGGTGGGAATTGAACAGTGAGAACACATGGACACAGGGTGGGGAACATCACACACCAGGGCCTGTTGTGCGGTGGGGGGAGGGGGGAGGGACAGCATTAGGAGATATACGTAATGTAAATGATGAGTTAACGGGTGCAGCACACCAACATGGCACATGTATATATACGTAACAAACCTGCACATTGTGCACATGTACCCTAGAACTTAAAGTATAATAATAATTTAAAAAAAAAGAAAAGAAAGTATTGGCTGTCATTAAAAAAACATATTATTTTTTTCAAAAACGAAAACCTTTGCGAACACATTCTAATTTATACCAAAGAACTAAAGTGCCAGGAAGACATAGGGACAATTCAAATTTGAGTTTGTGATGAGTGGCTATGATCAAATTTTGCATTATTCCTTAGATTTAATTTATCATCTCTGTAAGCAACAATCTTCAGGGCAAGGGAGAGCTTTTAGAGCCTTTGTTACAGTCAAATTTATCTAAAAGACAGAACTTTTCATCAAGGGAATTAAAGACAGCACGGCTTCTTCCATACACTTGGGTTAAGTTGGTTTTTTTTTTCTTTTCTTTCAAATATCAATAGCTTAAGACAGAAACAGCATATGGGAAACCCAGAAAACCATTTACACTCAGCAGATATGTCCAGCTGGACTTCACCCCAGCAGAGGTTAAACATTAACAGGTGCAAGGAGAGACTTTTGTGAAAATACTGTTTCATATGACTTCATCTCATAAACAGTTAATGTTCGTGGATATTTTATACCCCCTTAGGCAACAATTTCTTTTTCCTCCCCTGTTCACTTCAGCAGTCCTGTTTTCTCCACCCTGGCTTCCCTATTTCATCCCCCATCACATCCCAAGAAATGAATTCTCCTATCTTCCTCCTCTTTTGGCATGCCCCATTAAACTTGGAGCAGTCTTAGGTGATTTTGCTTCCTGCTTGAGAAAGGGATGTCATCATGGTGTATCTGAATCTGGAACTGGCAAATATATGCTCCATATAGACCCATCACTCCTTGTCGATGACATTGATAAGAAATTGTAGCACTTTTCTCCCCTGATTCTAGGTGTGCCTCCAAATTTTTCTCAATTCAGTATCCTAAGCAATCACTACCATTTGGTAGGAGCAGGTGCTTGGGGTGCAGGCTAATTGCCATCCCTATCTGAGATCCTGGTCATGTGCTTCCCTCTTCTGTAGGTGGAGTTCTACTTTTACAGCTCTTAGCATCAGTGTTTCAGGATATAATAGGTGGTGTGTGTGTGTGTGTGTGTGTGTGTGTGTGTTTAAAAAAAAAAAGTAACCCCCTTTTCTAAAACTCAACTACAACCTTCTTAACAAACCAGCTCAAAATATGCCAACCACCTACTTATACTAACTTTTTTTTCCTTCCTCTCCCATTTTGTCTCCAATTTCTTCCTCCCCACCACCCCATCTTTCCCTCAGTAATGGTGGTGGTCGTAGCTCCAAAAGGGAGACCATTCTAAGAACCTAATGAATCTGAGAATGTGAAGGTTTATAGGAACTTCCTAAATTAAAATGTGGGCATTGCTTCACCCCAGAATGTCCTTGTATCCTTTCTGAAAGACAGTGCAAGCAGAATGCATCTCACCTGTTCCATGCAGCTCCATTCATTTGGGGTCCTCTTCTGCTACCTGGGGAACCTGGCAAAGTGTACTTGTATTGTGTACATGGGGCCTCTGGGCTTGTCTCACAGGCCATGGTGGGAGGTAGAGGAAGTGGAAGGGAAAATATTCCTACCCAAGATCTGGCTACTGACCTCTTCTAGAGTCTGTTGTACCCAAGCTGTACAACAGAGTATGAGAGAAAGAGAAAGAAGTGAGGAAAGTGGTGGGAAAGGGAGGTGGTGGGCAGAGTAGAGAGGAGGCAAGGAAGGTTGGGGAGGAAGGAGAAGAGAAAAAGAGGAGGAGGGAAGGGGAAGAAGAAAAGGAAAGAACACAAGGTGTTGCATATGGATTTTCTCCTGTAATTTTCACAGCAAGCCTGGGAAATATACATAACCATTATTGCTGTTCCTTTTCTCTTCAGATGAGGAAACTGAAGCTTAGAAAGTTTAAGAAACTGGCTTAAGATCTCATAGGTAGTAATTCGTGATGCAAGAATTTCATCCCATGTAGTCTGAATCCAGAGCCTGCTATTCCTGCAAGGAGTAAAAGAAGAACATACAAACTAAAGATGGTAAAATGGGCTTTCTAAAGAAGTTTGAGCATCTTTGGAAATAGGGAAACAGAATTAATGCTGTGTTTTAAAAAAAGTAGACCAAAGCTACAGGGACTTTGGAGATCCTCTAGTCTAAGTGGATTATTTTCAGAAGATGAAACTGAGGCTAACAGAAGCTAGGGAGGACCCTCTCTCCTCCCAACTCCAAGTCCTGGCTTCATAAACAGGCCTTTAAAAAGCGAAGTTATTGCCGTCAAGAACTGCTTAGATTTAGTTGGGAGAAGAGAGCAGGAAGGGAGAAGGGTTGGAACTGGCTAATTGTCAGTTGTTACCCACACTGGGTTAATTTCAAGTCTAATGGTACCTGAAGTCAGTTCCTCCTCTCCCTCCTGGGTGGGGGTCAGACAGAGACTCACTTAGTGAATGCCCGGGGGTCCATTCAGTGATGGTGGTTGAGACAATGCTGGCTGGTGCAGATTGCTTGTTTTGGAACCAGCATTCCAGGGCAGGCATTCCACACAAGTGGCCACAGCATTCTGCATTCTTGGAAGGGACCACTACATCCCAGGAATGGATGGCTTTGTTATGTCTTATCTCCTAATCTGCAGTTGGAGATTTTCCTTCCTTTTGCAGGTGCTCTCATTTCCTTCATTATTTGTTTATTAGAAAATCTTGTGGCCTTCCAAAGTTATTCTTATGCTAAGGAAGGTCGAATGTGATAACATATTTGTGTTGGCCAAGAGTGAGGACATAGCAAACACTGAGAGTCACATAATCATGAGTATAACTGAAAGTGGTGCTTCACTATAAACAAAAGTTCCCTGCCCCCAACAGTGGGGGTCATTAAAGTTTCAAAAGTAGAGAGAGAAGGCAAGAGGTTGCTCCTTCGTCTGCTGGTGCTACAAATCTAGTTGCTTGAGCTCTGTGGAAGTTGTGGCTGGAACTATTTTTAAGATTTAATTCAGGGGCTACAGAGTTCAGAGAGCATTGCCAAAAGAATGCCTGAGAAGGCCTAAACTGGACCAAGGGTTCTGCGTGGGAAATAAGTTTTCCACACTTTTACATCCCGAAACCTAGGGAAAAACAAAGCAACACTGAGTGTGTGGGGCCAGAGATGAACCTCACCTTATCTTTGCTTCCAAAAAATAAAAGGATGACCAAGAGAAAAGCCAAAAAATCTTTTTAGCAAAGCATTATTCAGCTGACGTTCTCATTTCTCACACACCCTCTAAACATTAAGTAGACATCAGAAGTCCACATTTCAATGGAATTATGGGATCTTATTTTGCTAGAAACCGAGAATCTCAGTATGAACATCAATTCTTATCATTCCTTCACTGTGAAAAAAAAACACAAATTTAAAAGAAATTATTATCATATGAAAATGTTGCATTCCTGAAATTCTAATCCTTTATCTACTACCCCCAGTATATTAAGGGCAGTTAATATGAGTACTACTTTTTAATAACCTACCTTGCTGCCAAATGGACTTACAATATAGCAAAGGTCACATAAAATATGCAATATAGTAAACAAAAGGATGGTAAAGGAAAATAAGGAAAGGGGTATAAGTTGTAAATGGGAAGTGGCCAGTTCACAAAATATATACCATGAAGTCCTACACATCTGCTAAATGTCGACCAAACTTTGTTTTAAAGCTTTATAGCAGCCAACAAGGACAGGAAAATATAATCAGGTACACAGCCCACAGTGTCCACTGGGTGAGAGCAAACCAAATGCTCAGGAGAGACATGGTTGTTTGCAATGCTAAGACCACAAAAAACATCTCCCAGGAGACCTGAAAAAGGTAAACCCAAGGCTGGGTGCAGTGGCTCACACCAGTAATCCCAGCACTTTGGGAGGCCAAGGCAGGTGGATCACTTGAGGCCAGAAGTTAGAGACCAGCCTGGCCAATGTGGCGAAACCCCATCTCTACTAGAAATACAAAAAAAACTTAGCCAGGCGTGGTGGTGCATGTCGGTAATCCCAGCTACTCGGGAGGCTAAGACAGAATCATTTGAACCCGGGAGGTGGAGGTTTCAGTGAGCCGAGATTGTGCCACTGCACTCCAGCCTGGTGACAGAGCAAGACTCTGTCCCACCCCACCTCCACCCCCCCACCCCTGCCAAAAAAAAGGTAAAACCTGTGTAGTGTATCAAGCAATGTCCAGGTCTCATTCATTCATTTGACAATTCCTCACTGACCTCCTACTAAGTGCCAGGCACTATGTAAAGAATGGAGGGAGATACAACAAGATACAAGAGCCGGAGATACAAAGGTGTCCAAACACCTAAGAAAGGTGCTCCAAACACAGACTGGTCCCTGCCTTCATGGAGCTTAACATTTAGTGAAAGGGAAAGACATTAGTCAAATAATCACAGAAGTAAATGTACAATACAACTGTGGCAAGAGCATCAAGGAAAGGGAGGCAGTGCTATGAGAACATCTAATAAGGAGGATCTGACTTAACATCCTTACAGTAAACTTAGCGCTTGGTTTCAGAGGACTGTTACAGTCACCAGTGTCTCACCTCCCTTATTACTTTGAGAGGAAACACACAGAAATTTTATATCATGCAAGCATCAAATTAAGTAATGTCTGTGAAAGGCTTTGAAAATTATAAAGAATGATGTAACTATAAAGTACGTGAACCAAGAAAAGAAGTCTCAAATATCATGAGTTAGAAAAAAAAATTCCTATACCAAATGAAGAAAGAATCTGAATAAGTAAAATAAGTTGCATAATTCTGATTAAGTAAAATTAACTATAGTAATTGAATTATTATACATTGGTAATTCTGTGTAAATAGAATAATTGTATAAATGTTACCTAAGCAGTGTAAAGCAACCATAATTCAGCTTTTCAATCACCTTAAACACCCATTTAAAAAGTATTCCAGGAGGGTCTCTTGAGCCCAAGAGTTCAAGGCTACAGTCAGCTATGAGCTATGATCATGCCACCGCACTCTACCCTAGGCAACAGAGCAAGACCCTGTCTCTTCAACAAAAGAAAAAGTATACAAATAATACTTGCTACAAAAATGTGGTTACAAAATAGGCTTCTAATTTGTTTAATTGTAAACTGTTGCATCAACCTCATATGATATGTCTCTTTTGTCAACTAATGAATCCTAGGTAATCAAAAATGGTTCATACAAAAAGAACTCCAGTTTATATGGTTTTATCAGAAACATTATTGGAACAAAATAATGACTTTTTCTTCCATACCATCTTCCACTTACCAGCAATAACCTGCTGTTTCTAAAATTAAAAAGAAAATTAAAGTGCGAAAGGTGCCTTCAATTTGCATAGTACTTTCTCAGTTTCTAGATCTGTTCACAGAGACTACTTAGTTTATGTTCACAACCAGTCTATGAAATAGGCAAAGTAGAAAACAGGAGTTCAGGAAGGTTAAGTGGCGAGGTCAAATAGCTGGAAAGTAGCAAAGCCAAGAAGAATATGGCCACCAGGTCTTTCAGATAAGGTCTTTCCACTGTACCACTCTGTAAGTTACCCACAAAACTCCCCAGAAAGGATATTATACATCAGAAAGGGGGCTCACCAATAACAGGAGTGAAAGGCAGGGGCTGAGACGGTCCCTCCTAAGTACACACTTCACCAAGGACTTAAGTACTTGGGTAAGAGTCCTTTCACTGAGAAGCGATTGGTGAGTTTAGTTTTTCCAGGTCATGTGTTTTCTGGAATGCATTATGCACCATCTTTTTAGCCCTGGGAGCTTCACCAACACCCCATCCCAGTTTTTCTCACACACCAGTGGGCAAGCACCAGTCAAACAATTCTAGGCACATCTTCCTGAAGATAGTGCATGCCTTCACTTGCGCACTAGATAAAACAGCCCCTCACCTCCTGGCATCATTCTGTCTTTTCCTTTTCAGTAAAACTCCTGGGGGATTCCTTCACAATGATCCAAATGTATGTGGAGTAGAAAGCAATTGTTGGTTACAAAAGGCCATATTTAGGGTATTTCCACTTGTATGTGCAAGGGGGAAAAAAATCAAAGAATGAAAACAAATGAAAAGAGAGAGTCTTAAGCACAAT
This sequence comes from Homo sapiens, assembly GCF_000001405.40. Taxonomy (NCBI): domain Eukaryota; kingdom Metazoa; phylum Chordata; class Mammalia; order Primates; family Hominidae; genus Homo; species Homo sapiens. The sequence continues at coordinate 53,894,267 of NC_000014.9, forward strand.
AAAACTGTCTGACAAGCATAAATAAACATCACTCTGTTAGATAAGCATTCTCTACCAGTTTTAAGGCTTTAGTGTATGTTCATTTTACTTGTAAGCAAAACTAAGAGAAGAACAAGTAAAAATTACAGAGAACCAAAAGTCTTGCGTTAAAAGCTAAATAGCCCCAGCCCCTTCCAGTTGCATCTTCTCCTTCCTCTAGATATGCAGTGAATTCAATAGACATTTCAAGTCAGAAGGTAGATGAGAGTGAAACTTCCAAACTAACAAAGCTGAGGGGCAGGTGATGCTTCACCTGCCCAGCAGAACCAATGCAGGGTGTTGCTTTCAGAGCACAACTCTGTGAATAGAAATTCTCGGAGCCATAAAATCAGAGCTGGTTTTTTTTAGAAGTGGTGAGAGGACAGGATGTAGAGGAAGGAGTTTTGGTTACGGTTTTAGTTCCACTGATATTACTCATCACCAGATATTTTTTGACAATGTGCAAGGCACTGAGCTAGATGCTGAAGAAAATCCTTAGAAATAAAAAAACATAGCATCTGCCCTTGCAGAGGAAAGAAGTCCTGCCCTTGAACATTTGTCCTGAAATCTCAGAAGGAAAGTCCAGAGATTCTCTTGAGGACTGACTGTTCTAAGACATGTACCTGCTGATCACAGATATCAATAATCACAGCCACATGGCACAATTCTCTCCTCCTTTTTTATTTTTCCTTTTCCTTCCTTCCTTCCTTCCTTTCTTTTTTCTTTCTTTCTTCCTTCCCTCCCTCCCTCCCTCCCTCCCTTTCTTTCTTCCTTTCTTCCTTCCTTCCTTCCCTCCCTCTCTCCCTCCCTCTCTTCCTTCCTTCCTTCCTTCCTTCCTCTCTTTCTTTCCCTCTTTCTTTCTTTCTTTTCCTTTCTTTCTTTCTTTCTTTCTTTCTTTCTTTCTTTCTTTCTTTCTTTCTTTCTTTCTTTCTTTCTTTCTTTCTTTCTTTCTTTCTTTCTTTCTTTCTTTCTTTCTTTCTTTCTTTCTTTCTTTCTTTCTTTCTTTCCAGGTCTCACTCTGTTGCCCAGGCTGGAGTACAGTAGAATGATCATAGCTCCCTGCAGCCTCCAGCCCCTGGACTCAAGTAATTCTTCTGCCTCAGCCTCCTGAGTAGCTAGGACTGCAGGCATGCACTTCCACAACCAGCTAATTTTTTAAAATTTTTTTGTAGAGATAGGTTTTGCCATGTTGCCCAGGCTGGTATCAAACTCCTATCCTCAAGCGATCCTCCTGCCTTGGCCTCCCAATGTGCTGGGATTATAGGTGTGAGGCACCACACCTGGCCCCAATTTTTATTGTTCCAGGTGACCCTAAGGAATTCTGGGGTTATTCTTGATTAAGTTTGTAGAGGAGAAAATGTCCTCCCGCTGGGACCTCTGGTAGGGCAAAATATCCTTGCTCTATTTGTCTTCCTTTAACAGAGGTTAAGGTGTGGGTTTTAAGTAAGTCAGACCTGAATCTCAGAGTTTGAATCCCTGTTCTGCTACATTCTCACTGCAAATTAGGACAGGTTTCTTAACCCTTCCAGGAATTATCATCTGTAAGATGCAGACATTAATTGGAGTGTAGTTGATAGTTGTGGAGAAGCAATGAGATAATGCAAGCAATCCCCTAGTACAGAATCCGGCCGGCGTCGGTGCTGGGAAGATGTCAGGTCATCAGCACTGCCATCCTCATCTACCCAGTGCATATCACCAAAGATGAGACGACTCTCTCATCTTCTGCCTCTAAGACACACTGCGGTTGGTTCCACTGTGGTACAAACAGCCTACAGCTCCTGCTAACTTGCTACAGTAAGGTGATCTCCTCTAAGGTACCTCCTATACGGTGATCTCTTCACAAGCACCAGTCAGGCCATTTTAGAACAGGTCTGGGATGTTGATATTTTCCTTCCAAAGAACCCTGATACTCTACATATCCTCTCCCTTCTCTGCTACCATGTTCTGGCTGAAAACATGCTTTCATACTGCCAGTGTTAAGAATAATTCTTTAGAATGCATTGTTATATTGTCTTGCAGATTATAAAGCACTTTCACATCTGCTATTTCATGTGATTCTTGCAACAATTCTCTGAAGTAGGGAATTCTCCTTAGGATGCACAGAGTGATTTCATGACTTGCCCAGTGTCACACTGCTGGCAAATAGCAGAGCAGGAATTGAACCCACATGACCCCAAACAGCGCTTTTCCGTCACAGCCCGAGGGGTCAGAGATAGACTTTTAGGTTCTTCATCTGCAAGATGCTCAAGTAAACCCTTGGGTCCCCAGTAAACCAGTCAGAATCCAGGTGTTGCCGGCCCTGCTTATAAAACAGACCTATTTCTCTCCAGGAAGGCATCTCAGCAGAAATATATTTCACTGTCCCCTCCAACCCAGGCCCCATCCACATGGAATGCCTGGAAGAGCCAAATAAACAGATTTAACTGACTTAACATGTTTTCCTTGCCAAACATTATAAAATGAAGTAATGGGTAACCTGCATTAATTCTGTTGGATTCTCAGACTTTCCTTTCTCCCCCTGAGGAATGGAAAATGATTTGAACGAGATGGGAAACCAGCTTTTCCTCTCTCTCCTTCAAAACTTCTCAAAACACATTACTATGCTACTGGAAGCCATTCAATTTAACTAAGTCATTAAGTTAAATCATCTGCACACATTTTCTCAGTAAGATGAGTCTGCATGGTGGACTGATTTCATAGAACAGTTGCATGTAAACATCTCCAGGGAAAACCAGATGGCAATGATACATCAGTACCTAGTTAGTCCTACAAAGAGCAGGGCTCTGGTTCTGGACATGATCTTTCCAGGAATCCTGTAACCTAGGGTGGAACTTCACTATGGAGCCCAGCTGGTGGGTTGTGGTGGGGGGGCAGTTTTTTCCCCTCTTCCAGAGATGTTTTTGTTCATGGCTCTATAGCACTTACAGCAAAGAAGGCAGGCCAGGCCACCCAGTGTTCCCCGGCTAAGATTTCTGGAAGTACAAGGCCTGAAATTCAACAGAGACCACAAGGCCCTAAGGGGATGGGAGAATAAAACCCCTGGACCCCACTGGTTGTTCCAATACATCACTCAGGAAGGTGGGCCAGGAGAACAGAGGGCCCACTGGGAACAAAGGTCCATTAATTGCCAATCTCAAGGCACAGGGAGCCTTCAGAACAAAATGAGGAGGAGAAGGGAGGACCATGTGGCTGAACTGACCTGGCCAAGAAGAACTCCATAACGCACTTGCTTAATTAGTCATTACATTTTTTACCATAGTAAAGATATTATATATTTTTGTGTGTTGTATAGATCACAATAAACATAAAACACAAAGGAGAGGCAAACTGTGAGGGATTAGTCTAATTAGTGAAAAAAACATTAAACAGCTGACCCTGTATATATTCACTTTAAAGCCTAAAACTTAAACAACATGTTACAAATGTCTTCCAGGATCTGCCAGGGTAGAACAATAGGCCACCAATATAGCGTTCTTGTACCACTGTTTGCAATTGTGTAGAGTAGTACAGCATTTTCAATAAAGACAGGATGGCCTCGGTATCTGGAAACAATAACCAATGTGTTAAGGTTTAAAGGTACGTTAAGAACTCAATGCCCTTGGAACCAAAACAGAGTCCCAGGAAATGTGAGTGATTAGCAAGACCTTTTCAGTGGTGGCAATTTTAACAACGGTAACACTATTTTTAAAGGTTGAATCTCCATTATTAAGCCTAAGAAAGAAACCAATAAAGTTAACAAATCTATAGGACTAGTGTTGTGGGTAAAAGAGAAGTAGAAACCATTAGCCCTGGCCTGAGGAAGCTTCCAATAGAACCAAAGCAAACTTCAGGAAATCGTGTATCACTCCCCAAACCTGACCAGTTCTGTTATTCATGGGCAGGTGAAAACTATGAAAAGCAATATGGAAATCAGTGCTGTTTCTGTCTTCCTATCTATATTTATAAATAATAATAATAAAAACAGGCCAGGCACATTGGCTCATACCTGTAATCCCGGCATTTGTGAAGCCAAGGCAGGTGGATCACCTGAGGTCAGGAGTTTGAGACCAGCCTGGCCAACATGATGAAACCCCATCTCTACTAAAATACAAAAATTAGCCGGGGGTGGTGGCACACGGCTGCAGTCCCAGCTACTTGGGAGGCTGAGGCAGGAGAATCACTTGAACCTGGGAGGTGGAGGTTGCAGTGAGCCGAGATTATGCCACTGCACTTTAGTCTGGGTGACAAAGTGAGACTCTGTCCCCCTACACACACACACACACACACACACACACACACACACACACACACACACAAAGCAACTTTAACTTGGTGAAGCACCATGCTTTTTCTCTCTCTTCTTTTCACCTCTGGTAGAGATTCCAGTAAGTGCAGGAAGATCTGCATAGGCTAAAATAAGTTGTAACGCAGGTAAATGAGATGTCTATGAAACAAAACAAAAAGATCCTGACTGAGCAAAGAAGCAAAGAGGATTCCAAGCAGCCAGAGACACTCCCTCTTCGGAATCCTGAGTGTATAGATATCTTTAAACGGAAGACTACGCAGTCTGGCAACTTTATTTGGCTGTGCATAGCATATCTTCGGATGCTTCTGACTGGCCTAGATGCTGACATCAAAATTAATTAGGCAATACAGAAATAGAAGGCATTCATATCTGGAAATTTTAGGGAGAAAGTCTGGGCCCAGGGAAAGTTGTAATTTTCACTCGAGGTCAATGACTCTGACAATTAAAATAATAATGATAATATAAATTGCTTACATTTGTGTGCAAAGTCGAGAGTGTGTGGCAAGATTTAAAAGTAAGAGAAAAATAAGAGGAAGAAGATGTGTTTTTTGAGTTTTTACTGTATGCCAAGCCCTGTTTTAATACCTTTAGCTACTATGGAGGCCGAGAGTTAAACTTCACAACTATCATTATCTTCATTTTACAGGTGAGGAAAATGAGACAGAAAACTGAGGCAGCATAGCTAGACTGGGAAGCAGTTTCCTTTCCGATTCAATGGAGCTTTATCTCCCTTTCCTTTGCCCCTGCCATCTAGCTGCTTCTACCACCACTCACCGGTGCTGCAGGAAATCGTCCCTCCTCCTCCTCGCATGGTACACGTTCTCTTTGACTTACCTGCAGACACGGGCCTTGATGCTCATCTCCCTCTGTGAACTGCCCTCTTCTCCTCTGTCTTGCTCCAGTGGTTCCTCTGGCCACTCTACCTTGGTGTGCCACACACCATGATCCCAATCTAGACTTTCTCCTAAGTGCAATCTTCAGCCCTACTCTCTCTATATTTTGGTACTGTTGCAAGGCCTTCGCTGAGACAGAAATAACAAAGGCGAAGACCAAGGGTAAGGTAGTTGCTCAGAACACTTGGACAAGTGATCAAAGCCTGGTCCATGAGCCCAAAGAGAAGTCAGGAGCATGGCCAGAGGAACACGGTAGAAAACACACAGACAGTGTTCACAAACAGCACTTCTCCCCAACTCTTCCTACGTGGTCTGCAAAAACCACCTGAAGGAGCTGTTTTGTTTTGTTTTGTTCTGTTTTGTTTTGTTTTGTTTGAGACAGAGTCTCGCTCTTTTGCCCAGGCTGGAGTGCTGTGACATGATCTTGGCTCACTGCAACCTCCACCTCCTGGGTTCAAGCAATTCTCCTGCCTCAGCCTCCCAAGTGGCTGGGATTACAGGCGCCCGCCACCACACCTGGCTAATTTTGTATTTTTAGTAGAGATGGGGTTTCACCATGTTAGTCAGGCTGATCTTGAACTCCTGACCACCCACCTCGGCCTCCCAAAGTGCTGGGATTACAGGCATGAGCCACCAAGCCTGGCCAAAGAAGTTTATTTTTAAAAGCAAGGAAGAAGAGAGAAAGAGAGAGAAAAAGAAGAAGGAATGAAGGAAAGAAGGGAGGGAGGGAAGGAGGAAGGAAAGAAGGAAGGAAGGAAGGAAGGAAGGAAGGAAGGAAGGAAGGAAGGAAGGAAGGAAGGAAAGAAAAAAAAAAGAACAAGGAAAGAAAAAGGCAAGAAAGAAAGCTTTCCAGGTTCTACCTCTGGATGCTAATCACCAGGTTTGAAACAAGACCTGGGAATCTGCACTGTTACCGGCTAAGTTTGAGACTCCATGCAAGTCGGAACATGGAGTTCCAGAGCCTTCAGACAAATCTGAGATCAAAGCTGGAAGAAATTAACAAGACAAAGTATTAGAACCATCATGTGGCTGTGTTCTTCAGAGCACTGATTCCTTAGTCCACTTATTTTGAAGGCCCAGGGCCCCAAGTCAGGGTATTACTTGATTTATGATCCCACTTGCTTCCACAGTTGTCGGCCTGGGGGGTGCAGGAGTTCCCAGAGGAAGCCGTGGTAACAGGCTGCCTCTCGTGAGGACAAGGGTGTCACAACACTTTTCCAAGCTTCAGGCCAACACCCCTCCCAAGCCACCAGATGTTGCAACTGGACTCATGCCTGCGAGAGTCCAGCATGGCTTAAACTGGGTTCTCAGGCTCCCCATTCATCTTGTCAGGGTAGAGGAGGCTAGAACATGGGATCCTGTTGGGGGTAGGGTGGGAGGGAAAGCAAGCTGATGAATGCTAACCTTGGCATGTGGGTTTCAAGTGGTTCATAGTGAAAAAACAACAGCGCAAACAACAGCACTCTGTATTTTCCCTTCAGCATGATTGCTTTAAGGCAAATCTGCTGCTGCATCTTCTCCCAGTTCTTTGTTTCTCTTGAATAGGGTGTATCTGAACCCCATCACTGAGGGTGACCTAAGGGTCTTTGTGACCCAGGAAGAACTTAGAGTTCTGCAGAATATTTCTTCATACTCTTCAAAGCTTAGGTTTATAATCAGATAAATCCAATTCATTAGATCAGCCAGGTGCAAGACACCTGGGAAGTTGCTACTAGGTACACGCAACAACTGTCTGGCCTTTTCCATGACTCTTCTGTTTACTTCATCCCTCTGTTTGCCTCTCCACTTCAGGTGGAGCCTAATATCAGACATCTGGAGCAAGTTTAAAATGTACTGACGCAACTCAGATACACAAAATCACTATACTTTATTTCTTGCTAACTTAGATAGCACACAACTTAGATCGCAAGCCAAACTTCTGGAACTCTTAATCTTGTGAATTCAACTTGTCCAAAGGGGTCCAGGACTCTGCAAGGCTGTCCTCACCTTTACTGATCCATTACACAGGCATTGCTCTGTGGGTCTTCCACGCTCCTACTAAACCCTGGGAATTAGGGCAATTATCGTTTCTGCCCTGGGATTCCCTCTGGGATTCAACCCCCGGAACACACAGTTTGCTGGCACCCCTTCTGAGGCACCCACTACGTCCTCACCTCTCATTGTGTCTCCTCCGATCCTTTCTTCCTTGATGTTAGTTGAATTCATATTTCCTTTCAAGCTGGAAACCAGCTGTCATTCCCAACCCCCCTGCACATGATAAAAGCTCTGTGCTCTCAGTCTACCAGGCTTTTGGCTTTCGATATTAAAAGTGAAGGGTTTGGAATTCAAAGTCCTTCTCTCCACTAAGGGCCTGTTTCTGCCCTGAAAGCTGTACTATTTGGGTATGAAATACTGAACTGGTTGATTTTTTTTTTCAGCAGACAGTTATTGAGGGCCTGCTTTATTCCATTCACATGATCAGACATGCAGAAATGAATTTAACAGGTCCTTGCCTCTTCACTCAATGTGTAGCCCATTGATCAGCAGACTGGCATCATCTGGGAACTCACTAGAGAGAGAGCATCTCAGACCCCACCCAAGACCTGCAGAATCAGAATCTGCATTTTAACAAGAAGCCCAGCAAATTCAAGTGCATATTAACATTTGAGGAACACAGGTCTCTTGCCTTATTCACTAGCCCACAATATATACACATATTTGACAGATATGGAAATGAGGCCCAAAACCAGATGAGAACTCCACCTGGAAGCATCAGGTTATAATTGGAAATCCAAGTCTCTTCCACCCAATGCCCTTCCCCTACCCCCATCTTTTGGTCCAGAGGGCCCATACATTTCAGTCTCAGGCCTTAAGCAAAGCCAGGATCATCATTCTTATTCCATCCCTCTTCAGTTCTGTGCACAGCAGGGAGCTCTGGAAGGCCTTGCTGGAGCCATCTGAGACCTGACACAGCATCTGTAAAGGAAGTGCTCTCCAAATCCTGTTTGAAATGTGTTTATTTATTTCTAATCCATAAACATTTTGGAGTGCTCACCACATGCAAAGTCTTGGGCTGGATGAATCAGAGAAAACAAAGTGGAATATAACAACCTCAGGACACACCCCAGGGTCACAGTCTGGTTGGGGAAACAGACACTATCAATATACAATTTGCGGTGGCTTTAGTGGAGATTACATGGGGTTTTATTTACTTTACTATGGAGTAGACACTTAAAACATTTATCCCTAAAGGTAACTATTAGATTAGTCAATCACACCAGACTTTTAATACAAACATTGAGAATCAATTTTGAGGTTAAAGCAGGTAGAACCTGAATCTGTGGTGAGAGGAGTACAACTTTTAGAAAAGAAAATTATTCGACTACATAATCAGACGTTAATGGAGAAAGCATATTACTAAACCTGGCGGGGGCGGCAGTGGTTTTTTGTTGTTTCTGTTGTTCTTTGGGCTTGAAATAGGATATTCTGGCTATCTAGCGTTCCGGCAAACTAAGAGTTACTGTATAGGAAGTGTGAAAACAAAGTCAGTAAGATTGATTCCAAAAAAGACATTATGAAATCCATGTTCAGAACATTTCATTTATAGTGAATATACCTTATTAGAAAACAATCATTCTTGGCCAAGTGTGGTGGCTCATGTCTGTGATCCCAACACTTTGGGAGGCTGAGGTGAGAGGATCACTTGAGCCCAGGAATTTGAGACCAGCCTGGGCGACATGGCAAGACCCTGTCTCTACAAAACATAATTTGAAAAATTAGCCAGATGGGGTAGTGCATCCCTGTGGTACTACCTACTCAGGAGGCTGATGTGGAAGGATCACTTGAGCCCAGGAGTTCAAGAATGCCGGGAGCCATGAGAGTACCACTGCACTCCAGCCTGGGTGACAAAGCAAAACCCTGCCTCAAAAAAAGAAAACAATCATTCTTAATCCTGAAGCTAACCTGAGTATAATTCTCTTGTAATGCATTTCTCAAAGCATTTTGAAACATTACGAAATGTTAGGATCATTTTGTAAATATTAAATATAACTAAAGGAATTCTATATTTAAAATATGATTTATCTTTCTAGTGACTTGGAGTCCAGAAACTGATAGCTTACTATATCTAAATGCAACTTCACAATGAGAAGCTAATGTATTTGTTGACCAAAAAGTGTACAAAATCCATAAAACAGACTATATTCCAATTGGCAAATAATTCATTGATAACCTTTTTTTTTTTTGAGACAGGGTCTTACTCTGTTGCCAGGCTGGAGTGTAGTGGCACCGTTACGGCTCACTGCAGCCTCAACCCCCATGGAGATAAGCGATCCTCTCACCTCTCAGTCTCCTGAGTAGCTGGGACTATAGGCATGCACCACCACCCCCAGCAAATTTTTGTATTTTTTGTAGAGACTGAGTTTCATCATGATGCTTAAGCTGCTCTTAAATTCCTGGACTGAAGCAACCTACCCACCTTGGCCTCTGAGAGTACTGGGATTATAGGCATGAGCCACCATGCCTTCATTGATCATCTTTAATAAACTGTGTGAGCCATCACTTGGTCCCTTTCCAGGTCTTTGGAAGAGGATCATGCAAATGAGGGGTCCTAACACATCAGCTTCATTAGCTTCAAAATGTCTATGCTTCTCTGCCCAGAAGGGATGCTTTATTTGTCTAATTTGCACACACTCCACATAGGCTAACAGTGATCCTAGCTAATCTAAAAACATATGAAATTTACTACTTATATGAGTATTTAAAAGTTGGAGTTTATTATCCTTGCAGTTCAATAATGTTAAATCTTGGTGTTTCTTCTGTTAAAAAAATTTAAGCAAAAACCATATAAACCATCACTTTTTTAGCACCCTCTAAAACCAACTCAATTTTAGAATCACTTTAAAAGGCAAAGCTCATACAGTAGGTAAGAACTTGGTATAGACATCTAGACATGGTTAAATCTGATTTTTAATCAAAAAGAGTATTCATGGGTAAATGGGAAAGATGTATGGACTTTTAAAAAAACATTTTAGCAAAAAAAAAAAAAAATGGGAATGATAGAAATAATGTTGGCAAAAGGTTGATAATTGTTGAAGCTGGGAATGGATACATAAAGAAGCATTACATTTTTGTCTTTTTTGCTTATACCTAACCAAGTTTCTTTAAAAAATCCCAGTTCTTTTTTAAAAATACCTTTTTGAAAGATGTATATCAAACTACGCATTGTAATAAGCTCAAAAAAGCAGATTTAGGGTTCAGAGGATGAAAATAATCTTGGTTCTCCACTTTACAATTTGAGGAAAGAATAAATCATTAATGATTTGATCTGTGCATTGCCCTTATTCACAATGTATATATTATCTGTCAGTAATATCCAATATTATTATTATGAATGTTGTGCTATTTTGTTATTCTTATGTCCGCCAAGTTATATTAACTCACAATGTGCTTAATAACAAATATCTGATGAAGAATATATTTAAAGTTTAGATTTTTAGTAAGTGTGAAATGAACTAGGAAAAAATATAGAGATACCTGGACATCTGTAGTGAAGTCTGAAGAAAATAAAACAGTGAGAGAAGTAGCCCTCTACAAGATCTTCTTCTCCATCCTAAAACAGCACTCTGCATTATTTATTCACTCAACAAATATTTATTGAATGAGTTCTACATGGCGGCTTCAGCACAAAGGTGGACAAGACTAAAAAAGAACCTATTGTCTTAAGAGTCAAATCCTAGAAGAGGATTTTTTCTTCCAATGAAGATGAAATAAACAGGGGCCAACTTTGCACTCTCATCTTAAACAACTAGAGAACTGACAAAATACAGGAAACAATGGTTTTAGATACCGGACAGCAAGAAGTGTAAGACTGTGATCCCTGAGAATGGGGAAATAAACAAGGTGAGGCTTGCAATAAAGCAGCTTATTGCCTAAAGAGGGTTTCCATGTTGCAGGGCAGGATGGGGAAACAAACACAATCTAATGGTCTCACTGAGGTGGGGAGACAGAGACAGGAGTTATCAGGAGGCCAAGACAGTTAAGGCAGAATGCCAGACAGAGAGCTCTGAAGAGTGGGAGAGGGGTACTGTAAAGTTTTCATTTACTACTGCCCTCCTTATGCCTGAAAGAAAACTACTTGAGAGCAGAGAAAAGGAAAGGAAGAAGCAAATTTCTAGCATTTACACAGGGCTGAGAATAGTTCAGGTTGGCCCCATTCAGGTTAGCAAAAAAACTTCATAATACACAGGATATTGGGAACAATCCTCAGAGGATATTGCCTTAGTAGTGTGGTTAAATTAGCCCTAGACTAAATATTGCTCTAGACTTACACTGATAAGGTTTAAAAGCAAGCTCAAAAGTATCCAAGTGATTCTGAGTGACTTCACTATGCACTAGAACAAATCACAACATTATTCAAAGGAATGTAACAAAATCCAGCAACAAACAATGAAAAATTTCAGTACTGAAGAATTCAGTTTGCATCATTCACTAAGAACACGTTACCCCCAAAGAATTTGTCACTCAATTTTCTCATTGTATTTAATGAGGTGGTAAGAATTGTAAAATGTGTCAACAAAAGTGGTCTGAAGACTTGTGAACCAATCTTTGATGAAAATGAAACCATTTATGACTGACTTACACAGAAAAGAAATTTATTGGGAAGATTTCAAGGAATCAACAGAAAGTATGAAGAATCAGATTCAGAAAACAAGCAGGAAACAAAGAGATCTGGGCAATTAATCCCCAGGAACACCCTGCAAGGACAGTTTCGCCATCATCATGGACATTACACACAACTCCTGATCCAGCCACCACTAGACACAGGGTGCTGTTAATGCCATTTAAATTAATTCTAAACTGTCACCTACCTCTTTGTGTAACTGCTTAGGTTCAAACCCCTGGTTGGAAGACCCTGTTGTTCAAGCTTAGATTACGTGTCCATGCCTTAGCTGGCTAACTTCCGTTTCCATTATAGGAGCAGGGAGCTAAAAGCTCACACAGTAGCAAACTACACAAATGCACAAAGTAGGTTCAGATGATGAGAAATCAAAAGCAAATAACAATCCCTACTGCTTCACTCCCGTTACACAAATGTATAACAATATTTAATGTAATTCTGAAAGCATATTGGACTATACACAAGATGTTTAAATCAGAAGAAGCTCATCAGAAACTATAACCCAGATGCTCATCAGAAACTGAAGACATTTTAACAAAGAGTAAAAATCTAAACTAGATAAATTAATTTCTTGTTTGTCTTAATGCCTGGGTGCTTACAAAGTTGACTTAGTTAGCAGACATTTTCCAATGTTGGGTGCTTTCAAACACTACAAAGCACAGCTGAGTGTTTTACTTCATCTGCACCTGACTGATGTGCTGAAAGTAAAGTTTTAGAGCTGTTTGAAGAAAGTTGTTTAGGAGGAGTATCATCACGTATGTGTGATTAAAAGTCAATGTTACTGGTAAGATAAATAAATAAATCTTTCTTCATAAAAAGCAACACTTTGAGAATTATTTTCCTGAAACCATAAATGAGAAAGACCAGTGATTCGAGAAGCTTGCAATTTATCAGATCACACAGGAAAAAACCCACAGCATTAAAATACATTCAGCAAAATTCCATACAAAAGTAGCAAAATAATATTCTGTGATGTTAACACTTTGGCAACATACTGTGCACCTCTCATACTTCATAAAGAAGTGAAAATATTTGAAGTTTGTACCTACTCATTCATGTAAGTGTGAGTTCTTGATATATTGTGATACCAAGAAAAAGAAGGAAAACTGTGTATATTGAATCTGATAATCAGTGTTTACTTCCTTTTTGCAGCCCAAACTTCAAAATCATGATATTTCAGAACAAAGTGATCTTATCCATTAACTATAAAATAGAAAAGGCTTTCCCAAAGATATTTAAGACATCATTTGATATTATAGCATATACACATGTACTATGGAGAAAAATGCAAATAATTTTCTACTTGTGATGAGCCCCAGAGGTTCACTTCTACTGCGGTTAGGAATACAATAGTGAAGAATGCACTTAGAAGCATTACTCGATGTAACCATGAGAGAATTTGATCAGTTGGAAAGTATAGCTGCCATGTAAGATCAAGAGTCAGGTTGAACAGAGTTAGCCACATGTGAAGAATGAAGTGAACTTTCAGGCAGAGTTTAGAAGGAAAGACTTTTTCTACATCTTAGTTGACATTTTGACTGAAATGGACCTGCCTCAATGCCCACCTCACTTTGGAGGTAGGATAACAGGGGTTGATGCAGTTTGTAAAGCCCTGAGTTGGAAATTGTTGTCCTCATTCTGTGTGGTCTTGGGTAAGTCACTTACTCTTCCCAGATACCGAGGTGTCAGTCCCCTTTGCTTTGTAAAATCTGGGCTTTAGAATGTATATCACCAAGATTCCTCCTTGCTCCAAACGCTATGGCCCCATGGTGTGTCTCTTTTCGTAACTTTTCCCTTGCTCATCTGATGTGTGATGGATGATCGTTAACACTGTAGCTATAAACCTGACCCTTCATTTCCAGTCTGAGATTAAAAAACGAAACACGGATACATCTCATTCGCATGTCTTCCCACCCACTGAGATTGTAAGCTCCTCCACAGTGAGCATTGTGTTGGTCACCGAGTTTTGAATAAATATTAAATTGTTTAAATGAGAGAAATGTCTTGAATCAGTGAGTACTTTTAAACAAACCTTGCCTCTTGATTAGCCATCTTTTTACATATTTCTAATGTTAAAAATCTGCAACCGTGCTGTGCATAAAAATATGTGAGCCACATATGTCATTTTAAAATTTTATTAGGCACACCTTAAAGAGTAAAGTGGTCGAATTAATTTCAGTGTATTTTGTTTAACCCAATGTATCCAAAATACTATCATTTCAACATGGAATCAATATAAAATTATTAATGAGATATTTTACATTTTTTACACTACATCTTTGGAATTGAGTGTGCATTTTATAATTACAGCACATTTAAGTTTGGGTTAGCCATAGCTCAACTATTCAATGACCACAAGTAGCTAGTGGCTACTGGACTGGACTGTGCACGTCTAGAGAGCATAAGAGGGGGTAAGTAAAATGCATGATGAAAGATGCATGTTATCTCCTATATTTCACAATTTTAAAAAATTGGGTTTAAAGCCAAGTTTAAAGTGAAAGATCAAATGTTCAAGGCCATGTGTTAATAGCTATGACCTAAATAAACAACTGCAGAGGTCAGAAGTGGTGCCTGATGTTGTATACTGACTATGTGCAAAGTGTCTCAGTACCCGTAGTGTGGTAGGAGCTCTGCAACATTAAGGCTGTGCCCCAGTTTGGATAGATAGCTTCTCAGGCAGTGCCACATCATAAGCCTAACCACCACTATAAGCCATATTTCTAAAGTACCTACAGAGCCACATGTTATATTAGTGATGGCATTTTCAGGGACCTGCCGATTATCTGAAAGGTAATTAAGACGTCAGGTAGATGGCTGGGCGAGGTGGCTCATGCCTGTAATCCCAGCACTTTGAGGGGCCGAGGCAGGTGGATCACTGAGATCAGGAGTTCCAGACAAGCCTGGCCAACATGGTAGAACATAGAGCCTAGACAACATAGAGAAACCCCATCTCTATTAAAAATACAAAAATTAAGGAATGGTACCAGTTCCTCCTTGTACCTCTGGTAGAATTCGGCTGTGAATCCATCTGGTCCTGGACTCTTTTTGGTTGGTAAACTATTGATTATTGCCACAATTTCAGCTCCTGTTATTGGTCTATTCAGAGGTTCAACTTCTTCCTGGTTTAGTCTTGGGAGAGTGTATGTGTCAAGGAATGTATCCATTTCTTCTAGATTTTCTAGTTTATTTGCGTAGAGGTGTTTGTAGTATTCTCTGATGGTAGTTTGTATTTCTGTGGGATCGGTGGTGATATCCCCTTTATCATTTTTTATTGTGTCTATTTGATTCTCCTCTCTTTTTTTCTTTATTAGTCTTGCTAGCGGTCTATCAATTTTGTTGATCCTTTCAAAAAACCAGCTCCTGGATTCATTGATTTTTTGAAGGGTTTTTTGTGTCTCTATTTCCTTCAGTTCTGCTCTGATTTTAGTTATTTCTTGCCTTCTGCTAGCTTTTGAATGTGTTTGCTCTTGCTTTTCTAGTTCTTTTAATTGTGATGTTAGGGTGTCAATTTTGGATCTTTCCTGCTTTCTCTTGTGGTCATTTAGTGCTATAAATTTCCCTCTACACACTGCTTTGAATGCGTCCCAGAGATTCTGGTATGTTGTGTCTTTGTTCTCGTTGGTTTCAAAGAACATCTTTATTTCTGCCTTCATTTCGTTATGTACCCAGTAGTCATTCAGGAGCAGGTTGTTCAGTTTCCATGTAGTTGAGCGGCTTTGAGTGAGATTCTTAATCCTGAGTTCTAGTTTGATTGCACTGTGGTCTGAGAGATAGTTTGTTATAATTTCTGTTCTTTTACATTTGCTGAGGAGAGCTTTACTTCCAACTATGTGGTCAATTTTGGAATAGGTGTGGTGTGGTGCTGAAAAAAACATATATTCTGTTGATTTGGGGTGGAGAGTTCTGTAGATGTCTATTAGGTCCGCTTGGTGCAGAGCTGAGTTCAATTCCTGGGTATCCTTGTTGACTTTCTGTCTCGTTGATCTGTCTAATGTTGACAGTGGGGTGTTAAAGTCTCCCATTATTAATGTGTGGGAGTCTAAGTCTCTTTGTAGGTCACTCAGGACTTGCTTTATGAATCTGGGTGCTCCTGTATTGGGTGCATATATATTTAGGATAGTTAGCTCCTCTTGTTGAATTGATCCCTTTACCATTATGTAATGGCCTTCTTTGTCTCTTTTGATCTTTGTTGGTTTAAAGTCTGTTTTATCAGAGAAAATTTTCGCAACCTACTCATCTGACAAAGGGCTAATATCCAGAATCTACAATGAACTCAAACAAATTTACAAGAAAAAAACAAACAACCCCATCAAAAAGTGGGCGAAGGACATGAACAGACACTTCTCAAAAGAAGACATTTATGCAGCCAAAAAATACATGAAAAAATGCTCATCATCACTGGCCATCAGAGAAATGCAAATCAAAACCACCATGAGATACCATCTCACACCAGTTAGAATGGCAATCATTAAAAAGTCAGGAAACAACAGGTGCTGGAGAGGATGTGGAGAAATAGGAACACTTTTACACTGTTGGTGGGACTGTAAACTAGTTCAACCATTGTGGAAGTCAGTGTGGCGATTCCTCAGGGATCTAGAACTAGAAATACCATTTGACCCAGCCATCCCATTACTGGGTATATACCCAAATGACTATAAATCATGCTGCTATAAAGACACATGCACACGTATGTTTATTGCAGCATTATTCACAATAGCAAAGACTTGGAACCAACCCAAATGTCCAACAATGATAGACTGGATTAAGAAAATGTGGCACATATACACCATGGAATACTATGCAGCCATAAAAAATGATGAGTTCATGTCCTTTGTAGGGACATGGATGAAATTGGAAACCATCATTCTCAGTAAACTATCACAAGAACAAAAAACCAAACACCGCATATTCTCACTCATAGGTGGGAATTGAACAATGAGATCACATGGTCACAGGAAGGGGAATATCACACTCTGGGGACTGTGGTGGGGTGGGGGGAGGGGGGAGGGGTAGCATTGGGAGATATACCTAATGCTAGATGACGAGTTAGTGGGTGCAGCGCACCAGCATGGCACATGTATACATATGTAACTAACTTGCACAATGTGCACATGTACCCTAAAACTTAAAGTATAATAAAAAAAAAAATACAAAAATTAGCTGAACATGGTTCGCACAAGCATGCACCTGTAATCCCAGTTACTCAGGAAGCTGAGGCAGGAGAATCGCTTGAACCCAGGAGGCAGAGGTTGCAGTGAGCCAAAATAGTGCCACTGCACTCCAGCCTGGGTGGCAGAGTGAGACTCCATCTCAAAAAAAAAAAAAAAAAAAAAAAAAAAAAAAAGACAACAAGTAGCTGAAAAGTTTCGAGGCTCAGAACACACAATTAGTTTTTAAATTTCCCCAGCTGTCACCAAATACCATCTCCATATATATATCAAGTGTAGGTTGTGTCTTGCTCTCATGACCGTCTTTCTCTTCAAACTTGCCTTCAATGATCATTTTAACTTTACTTTATCTATATAAATATTTGCACTGGAGGGGCAGGCAGGGTCTTCTCAGAACTATATACCTCCCAAGTGCAGGTTCTTTATTTTTTGCCCAAATAGACTACAGACTAGTAGCTTCATGTGACCTTTACAACAAGTCTGTGCTCCCTTCTCTAGACCTGTTTCTTTCCCATCATTCTTTCTGGAATTCAATCTCTGAAGGACTGTTGGTAAAATATGGAGGTAGTTCTGGAAATTGACAACACTGGGAGTGGGGGACTGTGATGGAAACAATCTGAAAGACAGGGGCAAAGTGGGAACAACTCACAGCACTTCGCTACTATAGAGAGGTCAAAATGTGGGCTACAAATCAAATTTGTCCTTGGCTGGATCCACAATTATAAGATACCTGAGCCCAAGGGCTTTAGAGCATCTGCCTGCCATTTGAGCCCAGAACAAGCTGCCTGGATATGGAGACTGGTCCTCCAATTAGCTACAATTGAGCTCGGGATGAGAGCTGTGCTATCCTTTTTCCTCTCCTCAATTTTGTTATTCTAGCAGCTGTCATCACCATTCACTTCCACTCACAGACTGTACATAGTAAAGGAGCTCCATTCAAGTTTTGTATCCAAATTAACTTTGCAGCCCAGCTAATGTGAATTTATGGGAACCAATGGTAAATATAAATGCTAGCTGCCCTCCCACTCAACATGGGCTGTTAGTAGATATTTACATTTAGAAGTTTAACACATCCTGGCTTTAATCCAATATTCTCTAACATTCTCTAAACAGTCCCAGTTTTCTAAACCCTATGGTTAGCATGTATAAAGAGAGGACCAAAGGGGGGAAACATTAGGAAGCAGCTATAAATATAAACCACCTTTAAAGATTTACACAGAGATTTTGTTAGTAAATTTAGAGAGCTGTGTACACTAGAGCTAAATTTTTACCCATACACTTAGAAACTAACAGAAGCACGCAGGGAAATCATCTGTTGTGTTAACTCCCTCCCACCCCTACTCTTTCTGACTTTTGAATTAGGAAGAAAAGGAAGCCAACCAAGAATCAAATGCAGTTATAACTGCATTCGTTTTTGGAATTAACCACTAGTGAAACACACATAGAAAGTAAGAACAAAAAATAAGCCTCCCTGGCCATATCAGTATTCTAGCTTTTTCCCCAAATGAGCTTAAATCATTAAATAACAGCAGTTTAGTTGTCAATATTTACATTATGCAAAATACTTCCTCTTCAAGATTGTTTTGGCTATTCAAGGGCCTGTGCTTTTCTATATATATTTTATTATCAATGTATCAATTTTTATAAAAAAAAAATTCTCTTGGAACTTTGGGCTTACATTGACTCTGCACGTCAATTTGGGGAGCACCTATATGTGAGCTCCATCAGACTCATGACCCATGAACATGTATGTCTCTCCATTTATTTAGATCTTCTTTAATTTCTTTCAGCCATGGTTTGTAGTTTTCTCAGCAGAGTCCCTGCATGCTTTTTGTTAAATATATTCCTAAGTATTTTGTGATTTTTGAGTTGCGGTAACTGGAATTTTTTGAAGTTTCACTATCTAAATGTTTGCCTGAGAAAAAGAAATCAATACCCTGAACCCTTCTACAACCCTTTCTTTGGGCACCCTTTCTGCCATGACCTTCTTGCCCTCCTAATTAGCATGAGGGCCAATTTCTGCCTATCCCTTTGGCCCTATTTCTCTACTTCATCTGTAGCTAAATCCCACCTAGGCCCAAACTTTTGCTGATCCAGTCTCCTCCTCTCAGTCCGCTGCCAGTATCTTGGGTTTTTGTTGTGTTTTGTTTTTGTTTGGTGGGAGGGCATGCACAAGCATCCTCAGGTCAGATGAGAAAGACTCAAAAAGCACTGCTCTAAGGAAACAGGGTATTCATGTAAACATATTCCACTGCCTTTAATGGATGCATGCTAGAAGTATCTGATCAAATTAGAAATGCCCTCATTAGTGGTGCATTTTGTGGAAAGAGCTCATTTCCCATCACATGTGTGCCCTTAAATATCCCTTTGTTGCCTCTACTCTCTTTGGAAATGATGATGAGATCATGCATTTGGGTAGAAGCCACTCACCAGGTAGAATAGAGCAAAATATGAAAGATAAAATGGGATTCTCAGGCTCTTGAGTTTACATTTCTACAGCTAAAGTAAGGTTTGTTCATTTTCTTCCTGGCCAATAATTTTTCTCCCAGGTCCAAATAAGAGCCAACTGAGAAGCAAGGCCAAAGCTCCTAGTTAATAGTATTGTCATTTTACATGCACTTGTTCATGGACCTCCTAGCTCACTGAGCATTGGTAAAGGAAGAACCCACCTTCCTGCTCCCCACTCTGATTACATACACTCTCACACATGCTCACACATTCTCACAATGGAACACTCACACATACACACTTCCACACTCATGCATTTCACACACTCATACTCATATACTCTCACACACTTGCACATGTTCACACTCATACTCATGTATTTCACATTCCCACACTCACATATATTCACACTCACACACTGTTGCACACACACTCACATACTGACACATATACTCACACTTATGCATATGCACGTACATAATACACTCTCACACTCACACATACACATACACTCACATACTTTCACACACTCTCACACTCATGCTCACACACCGACACACACACGCATATACTCTCCCACTCTCTAACAGCCCATGGTGAGTGGGAGTGCAGCTAGCATTTATATTTACCATTGGTTCCCATAAGTTCACATAAGAGAAGGAGGGAGAAAGAGGCAGAGATACAAACTATCTCACACTCACATATTGACTGGCACACTCTCACACTGACACACTCACTCTAATGTCTATACACACTCACAGTCTCACACATGAAACAGGACAGAAACAAGCAGCTTTCTGGACTCCTGATACTCCCAGTTGTCACCAAGGCCAAAGCTGTCCAAGAAACTACGCTGGTTGGGGCAGCTGCTTAAAGTTTTGAACCCTTTGGGAACATCCCCTCTGCTATCTCAGTACTCGAGGCCCTCTGCCTTGACAGCTAGTTTTCATTCAATATCACAGAGAATCCTCTTTTGGGAACTGGTTCAACTCCCAACTTTTGTTTGACATTTGTAGCTAATGCTTACTTCTACCACCATCTTTGTGACCTAGAGAGGTGAAATTATCCCATAATGAGGACAGCTAGCATTTATGTAGCACTCCCAATGTGCACTCCCCTAAATCCTTTTATAACACCTATTTAATCCTCACAGCAACACCATGAAGTAGCACCATTAAAACCCTTATTTTGCCAGGTGCAGTGGCTCATACCTGTAATTCCAACACTTTGGGAGGCTGAGGCAGGCAGATCATATGAGGCCAGGAGTTCAAGACCAGACTGGCCAACATGGAGAAACCCTGTCTCTACTAAAAATACAAAAATTAACCAGGCGTGGTGGCACCTGCCTGTAGCCCCAGCTACTTGGGAGGCTGAGGTATGAGAACCACTTGAATCCAGGAAGCCGAGGTTGCAGTGAGCTGAGATCATGCCACTGCACTCCAACTGGGAGACAGAGTGAAAAACTGTCTCAAAAAAAATTATTATTTTATACACACGAAAATTGAGGCACAGAGAAATTAAGTAACTTACCCAAGGTTCCACAGCTGAAACATGGTACAACAGGGATTCAAATCCAAGTTATCTGGCTCTAGAGTGTTCATTCCTAAATGCCGTTATGACACTGCCTCTCTCTGCAAATAAAAAAGATACTGCAAAGTTAATCTAAATAACTTTCTCTCTTACAATCATCACACTTGACAATTTATATTCATAAGCAATATTATCACAGATATTTGGCACCAGATGTAGAACCACTAGAAATATTTTGACCACGAGGACTTTGAGTGAGCAATGCCTTCAGACCTCTCTGTGCATGCCCAGAGTCTAAATAGAAAGAGAAACTGGGTAGTGAGAAGAAGGGAGAAAGACAGAGGCAGAGACATAGAGTAATGGCCTAGAGACACAGTGAGAGAAATGGGAGAAGCGGACCAGTCAGAGGCCAGAGAGGACAGCAGCTAGAACTATCAAGGAGATGCCCAAAGGGAATTTGATACAAACATGAAAGAAAAAAAAAAAAGCCTGGCACACACACAAGCACGTCTACTAGGGAGAGTGTATTAGTCCATTATCATGCTGCTATGAAGAAATACCCAAGACTGTGTAATTCATAAAGGAAAGAGGTTTAATTGACTCAGTTCCACAAGGCTGGGGAGGCCTTGGGAAACTTACAATCATGGCAAAAGGGGAAGCAAACACGTCCTTCTTCACATGGTGGCAGGAGAGAGAAGTGCAGCACAAAGAGGGGAAAACCCCTTATAAAACCATCAGATCTCATGAGAACTCACTCACCATCACAAGAACAGCATGAGGGAACCGCCCCCATAATCTAGTCATCTCCCACGAGGTCCCTCCCACAACATGTGGAGATTATAGGAGCTTCAAGAGGAGATTTGGGTGGGGGCACAGCCAAACCATATCAGAGAGCTTCCAGAATGTGAGACTGGACCAGGGGCAGTGGCTCACACTTCTGATCCCAGTGCACTTTGGGAGGCTGAGGCAAGAGGATGGCTTGAGCCCAGGAGTTCAAGATCAGACTGGGAAATATAGGGAGACCCCATCTTCACAAAAAAAAAAAAAAAAAAAAAAAATTAATCAGGCATGGTGAGCACCACTGTGGTCCCTGCTACTCAGAAGGCTGAAGTGGAAGGATTGTTTGAGCCCAGGAGGTCAAGGCTACAGTGAGCCAAAATTGCACCACTGCCCTCTAGCCTGGATAACAAAGCAAGACGGTGTTTCAAAACAAAATTAAAAATTAAAAAAAAAAAAGAATGCTCTATTTGAACCTGAGGTCAAAAGAAGAACAATGAAGGAACTGTACATGAAAGGGAACCAAAAATGGTAATAGATTTGGGAACAAATATAGACATACTAATTATTAGAAGACTATCTAAGTAAGGGACTGGTACCTCCTATGTTGAAAATAAACCTCTTAGAAATATGTGACCTGCCTACCTGCATTCAGTTCTTACCTGGCAAATGCCCACTCACATAGTAGCCAGCTCTGGACTGAAGCCATCAATCGAATGGCATCATATATGCATCCTCAAGGGGAAAATGCTGCCTTTGCAGGCCCTGGACCCAGGAGCACACTCTTGAGTCCTCAGGTGTAGCGCAGCAAACAACAGAAATCTATTTCTTGGGGTAAGTTTGTAGGCTTTTGATCATTGAGATAATACCTACAGGTTTAAAGAATGACAAAAATAACTTTAGGTCATTTGGGAAAATGTGTAGACATTATACAGAAAGCAAAGTCTGGCATGAAACGGACAACAATGTTGTTGCCAAAACTGGATCAGGCTACCATAATCTTTTTTCTTACATTCCACTTTTCTATCTTTTCCAAATATTCCACAGTGATCATGTATTAATTTTTCTCTTATTTTGATGTTGCAAATATTTATTTTATTATGGAAAACGGCAAGCTACATATGGGGAAAAAGAAAAATTGAAATTATGCAATGGCCTACCACTCAAGAGATAATTATTAAGATTGTGGTGTACTTTTTTCTATATACTTTTTTTTAAAGGAAAGGATCTTACTCTGTCGACCAGCCCCTCACCTCCTTTGACTAGCTGGGATGACAGGCACATGCCACCATATCCAAGTAATTTTTGTATTTTTTGTAGAGAAGGGGTTTCATTATGTTCAAACTCCTCAGCTGGCCTGCTTGATCCGATGCTTGTTAGCCTTGACATTTACAATGAACACAAGTGTGTTGCCATCTTCTGTCTTCTTCACAGACAACTTAGTAGTCAGGGGAACTTGATGATGGCCAAGTGGTCAAGCTCCTCAGGGCTGTCTTCCGTGGATACTTGAGCTGCCCCAGGAGCCACAGCGTCTCAGGCAGCTGAAAAGTGAGTGACATGTAGGGGTGTGTGTGTGTGTGTGTGTGTGTGTGTATGTGTGTGTGTGTGTAGCTGTAGACACCTCAGCCTTGCCTCCTTGGCCTTCACAGCCCTTGCTTTAGCTTTGGCTTTGAGAGAGGCAGAGGCTCCCTCTTTTGCCCTCACTGTTATCTTGGTGAAAAGCCAGTTTGGCAGTTTCTTTTTTTAAAAAAATGCAAGTATCATAACTCAGCAATCACATTTGGGGGCAATTTATCCCAGAGAAAGGGAAATTTATGTTCACATAAAAACCTGAATTACTTCAAGGAATGTTATTTAACAAACAGGTTTTCTCACTTAACTGATTATATTCTTGATGGATACACAAATTAAATCTTAATACAATATCTCCAGTGGATCCTCCAAAGTTGTATCTGTTTTCATGGGCCAGAATGAGGGAAAGTCATTCTGGCCATTCTCTTTTGCAGAGAAGGTCATTCTCTTTTCTATATGAGGAGCATCTCTCAACTGCAAGGTGCAGCTCAAATATCTGTCTATGTATAGATACGACTTTCAAAGTCTAGATAGGAATGGCTTGAACATACCATCCACATTTTATGGAAAATCGCTTGTTTCTCTTTTCCCCTGTCTTAATCTGTTTGTGCTGTAAACAAAACAAAATACCAGAGACTGGATAATTTATAAACAGCAGGAGTTTATTTCTCACAGTTTCAGAGGCTGGGAAGTCCAAGATCAAGGTGCCGGCAGGCTTGGTGTCTAGGGAAGGATCATTCCTTATAGATGGTACCATCTAGGTGTCTTCACATGGTAAAAGGGAAGGAAGGGCAAACAGGGACCTAGTTGGTCCCCGCCAGACCTTTCATAAGGTCACTAGTCCCACTCATGGAGGCTCTACCCCCATGACTTGATTTTTTCCTAAAGGCCCCACCTCTTGACACTGTTGCATTGAAGATTAAATTTCAACATGAATTTTGGAGGGAATGCAAACATTCAAACAACAGCACTCCCTCATCTATAGATTTCTACAACTTTCAGATTATTGCAGCAAGTGGTTCCATCTGTAAATCACTTGGCTAGCTTATGTGTGTTGTCTCTCTTCCATAACACATCAACCCAAGATTTCCAACAAAAGAATAATAACTTAAAACAACAACAAAAAAACTCACTCACACAAAGTATGTGTATAAGCAGGTTGTACTCGAGTTTTCGTGGAATAAAGATGTTTTCATTTGCAGATTTGCAAACAATATGAGATTAAAAGTTAGCCACCCCCGCCCCTAAAAGTCTTCCTGTCCACCACCATTTTTCATGGCCAGACTACCCCACACAGCACACCAGAGAAATAAGCACAAAGATCAGAAATTTTGAATAAAGTCCACATTATCAAATTTTTTCTCCTATGGATTTTGATGTCATATCTAAGAACTATTTACCTAACCCAATATCACAAAAACCTTTCCTTCACCTGCCTCTTATCCTTTTCCATTGTTCTACATCTGTCCTCCACCATTGTCCCCCTCCCCACCAAATTACTCTAACTAAAATGACCTAAGTGATAGGATAGAAGTAGCTTCATTGTCTTATTTTTATGTACCAAATCTTCTTGTTCTAATTATGAACACTCCTTCAGGACAGGATTTGAGATGCCAATTAGAGTACCTCAACCCCTTAGTTAAAAGGGAGACACTACCTGTGATTCCTTGCAACAATGTTTTGGTCGTATCAAGTGACATACATTTTATCCTTATTTATATTTCTGTTTAATCCCACTGTCACAGTTTTCCAAATAGCGATACATGATTGAGAAAGTACACTAAGGTGCTAACAGCAAAAAGAAACCTGAGGTTTTTTTTTTTTTAATTGCAATCAATTTTTGTATCTTTGTAAGTTAAAAAGAGGTTGCTTTTATGTTCTGGTCTTTTTTCACTCTCTCCTGTCTTTTTTGATTAATATAAGGTAAGGTTTGAAAAAAGCTTCTTACAATGCTAAGGAAGAAGTCGAATTTGACCGATGGAAAGAGGAAAGAAGGGGTGTGGGGAAGGAGAGAGAGAGAGAATGAATTACAGTGAAAGCCCATAAGACAGGCTTATTATCAGACTTAATATTTGCACAGAGGTTATTCTTTTTTTCAACAGTAACACATTTAAAGGGTCATTTTCTTCAAAAGGCTACAGGCCAAATTTCTGTGGGCTGTTCAAACCAAGAATTAGAGTGATTAAACTCATAACTACTACCACCTATAATAATCAAAATATCATGGCAACTAATGATTCTCCAGCTGAAAGTCAGAGCTCAGGGGTAAAAAATTATTTTCCATCAAATAATAATCATTCTCCTAAAATCTTAGTCTCGCATTCCTTGAAATTAAATTTTTTCCTAAATTTTGTTTAAAAGCTTTCCCATCAATTCCAGTTCCCAGAACAAAAAAAAAAAAAAAGAAAACGCGTGTTCTAATAATCAGAAGTCTTAATGAAGTTGAAGACAATATAGAAATTTCTTGCACTTGCTTTTTTTCCCCCCAAAATGTTGGGATTAAATAGATCTAGCTACCCTCCTGCAAGTTTCTATACCCATTATAACAAACAAGCAGAAATATTAAGGAAGTTCTTAGCCCCAGAGTTGGATTAAGTTGCATGCCTGATTTTTATTTCTCTCTAATCAGCCAAAAACAAAATTATTTGATCTAACACTCACGTAAAATCTGTTTACTAAGCTCATCCGCAATTAAATAAATACAAATAAAAACAACAGAGAGATACTTTTGCCATCCAACAGATTAGATAAATAAGGTTTGGCAATACTCAGCAATGGTGTCAGGATGTGAGCACTCTATTAAACTATACATGGGAATACAAAGTAGTACAGCCAATTGAGAGTATAATTTCAGGATCTATGAAATTAAAAGAACACATATCTAGCAATGTCACTTTTAGAAATCTCACCTACACATATAATAGGAATACATAAACATGTATTATAAAAATATTCTTTGCAGAACTTTTTAAATAGAATATTAGAAAAAAAAAGCAATGTGTCCATTAACAGAAAAATAAATAAATAAGCTATGGTAAATCTATGCAATGAAATACCATGCAAATATTAGAAGACTGAGAAAAATCTATATTAACCGCCTTAGAATTGCCTTGAGTCTGTTTATGACTCGGTCAAATTAAAATTCTCAGTATAAAGGTATTGCAATGTTTTGTACAACTAACCAGAGAAAACTCACTCATGGTCACAGAGTATTAATTCACAGAATTTATATTGCAACCCAGAGATGACTGTCTCTAAGATCATTTGCTTCCCAGGCCCTGCTACCTTCTACTGTGTATCACTAGCACTGCTGCATTTTGTGACAAGTTCACAGAAAGGCTCTGTTTTTAAAAATTCACTATTTGAAAAGCTAAATCTGCACAATAGATTAATTGAGAAGTAACTGTCTATATCACAATAATTTAGTTCACTTTCAAATGGATTCAAACGAGGATCTTTTAAAAGGCAAAATTTCTTGGTGCTTTAAAAATATGACTGCATTTACATAAACTTTAGAGGAATATATCTGTTATGTAAATCGAGGAATGCAAGCAATCTAAGACCTCTGACATTCCCTTTTCAAAGAGCATTGTGAACAACCTGTCTAACCTGTCATTCTCAATTTGCAGGTACAAAGGAATTACACCATCATCTCTGCTCCCTAGAAGCTTACAATTCATCCTGGTGTACTAGGTAGGGCAAGCGCACTCTCAACATTTAGAATTAAATGCTTAAATCTCATACTGGGAGCCACACAGGCCATCACTTATCACTCACTCAAACATAGAAGCAACAGAATTTCTGATATGTCATGTTTTTACATTTTCCCCTGTCCCCTTTTGTTCTCCCTAAAACTTGTCCCTAAAAAATAAGCTTCCATAAACTGAGCTTTTTGAAGGGGACCCGTGAAGTCCACATGAATCACAAAACACATTAGCTTCAACTTTCTAGGTGTTAAAAATCAAATGACAAAAATCCATTCAATCAACCATCAAGGTTACTGCTGAGGGGAGCAGAGATATTAAATACTATTCAAAGAGAGTGTGATGCGGCTGAATTAGACATCAGAAATGCCTAGGTTCCAGGCCAGGCATAAAACATCCCCCTCCTCTATGGCCCTGGGCAAGGCATTTAACAACTAACTTCAGTTTCTTCCCACCTATAAAACAGATAATCATCACCTTCTTCTGAGATGTGTATAAATTAATTATTTGAGGTTTGGAAAGAGTTGTGAAGGCAAAATGATATTCATAAATACTAAATATTAGCTGATTTTCTTTTCAATTTCATGCCTTTATTTTGGCATTTTATATTGAATTACATAAACTGAGAAGCAGGAAATATGACCACCATGTATCTGATTATTCTTTCTTAAATTACATAAGGGCTAACCTCAGGGATTAAAAACAGCTCCAAAGGACTCATAAGTCATCATACATTATTAACAGGAAATATTATTTGCAAGGCATCTTAATATCCTATAACATAGCCTAATATTTTTATTAGCTATGTTTCACAAACACTCTCGGGGGTGGTATCATAGATTTGTCACCATCTTACCACTTAGGAAACAGGCGAAGATTGAACACATGCCTTGCACAGGAAACTTCCCATAATTAGAAGTCATGGTTTCTAAATTACCAATCTCTCCTATGAATCACATCTTCCATACAAAAGAAATTGTCCAAACGTGCATCCATAGGCATCTATGCCTATGGTGCATGGTTTTAGAGATTCTGTAAATGTTAGAAACAGTTTTAGCCTATAAAATGGCATCAGCTCCAAAGTTCTCTCCTGATGCTTTGAAGCTAGGCTGTGCATATGCTAGAAATTGTCTTTTGAAAAAATACTTTTTATCAGAAGAGACTTTATTAATCCGTATCACTATTTAAATTGCTAAGAGGTGATTTGTTACCTCTGTCCAGAGCTAAGCAAAGGCCAGATGATGAAGAGCCCTGAATGCCGTGCTGGGGAGTCTGGACCTTATTCGAACAACTAAGGAGGGCCCGGGATGGGAGGGAAAGAAATGCTCAGATTTACATTTGGGAAAACTCATTCTAACGTCATGAGGAAAGATGGTCTGGAAAAAGGTAATACCATGTGCAGGAAGATAAACTAGGGGAGCAGAGCGATTGTGAAGGGTTATGTTGGCTTGAATTAAGAAGGAGGCAGTGAAGGTGGAGCCGGAAAAAAGAATCTAAGAGGTGTTGAGTAGATAAAATCAGTGGGCTAAAAGGAAGCCAGAGGGGATAGAATCCAGAGCCCAGGAGTAGGGATTGACCTTATGTACAAGGAGGAATATCTTTACTTTTTGTTTTTTTGAGACAGGGTCTCACTCTGTTGCCCAGGTTTGAGTGCAGTGGCACAATCTCGGCTCACTGCAACCTCTGCCTCCCTGGTTTCAGTGATTCTTGTACTTCAGCCTCCCGAGTAGCTGGGGTTACAGGCGTGAGCCACCACGCCCAGCCCATCTTTTTAATCATGATAGGGAAAAAGGAGAAGAACAAATATTTGTTGAAGAATGAAAAAGGAGCATGCCAAAGCCATCAGTGGTCAGTAGAAAGTGAGAGAAGAGTGATCAGAAGACGGAGGTCAGTAGAAAACAGCGACGGATAGAGATGACCTCAGAGGAACGGGGCTTTTCACGACTGTGTAAGGACAAGTGGGAAGTGAACAGAAACCTGGGCAAGCAGCCTGCATTGGGAAGGCCCCCAGCAGAAGGAAGCCTGGGGAGCAGCCAGGTTTGAGTTAAAGCAGGAAACAGAGGGAATGCTCTGACAACCTGGGGATGCATTTGCCATAGAACAAAGTTTTGCTCTGCTAATTCTGCAGCTCCTATCAAAATGACTCTGAAGTCTAATTCTGATCTCACATGTTCACTTGTAGCTTTCCTTTCCAAGAAAGTGTCAGCTATAAATTAAATAGGCAATGTTTTCTAGTTGTACTCACCGTAAAACATATTAAAATACTTGGCCATGGGGAATGGAACACCAGGCTACTCTTAACCCAAAGGTGGCAACCTCAATTCCAAGATCTGTGTACTCTGGGATATGCAGTCCCCATGCATTGATCACTAGGCATGACGAGTGGTCTCAAAAGTCTTCTAAAGTCACCCAA
Organism: Homo sapiens; assembly: GCF_000001405.40. Taxonomy (NCBI): domain Eukaryota; kingdom Metazoa; phylum Chordata; class Mammalia; order Primates; family Hominidae; genus Homo; species Homo sapiens. The sequence continues at coordinate 53,923,733 of NC_000014.9, forward strand.
AATACAACAAATTTCAGACGTAAGGGTGTGCACAAGCACACACACATGCACACACAAGGAATAGTGTTATTCAGGCCAGAAATAAAACATGTTTTTAAAGACTATGAAAATACTAACTACGTACCCTTGTGACACTATTAAATGCTTTGTATTTGAAGTATAAATATAGACCAATAATATATTATCTTCTTAGGAAAATTTTATAATGTAGCATACATAAAGTGAACATTAAAAGTTCTAAATTTGTTTCAAATATCATGTATGTCCAACAATCTCCCCAGGTTAACTTATAATGACCATGAGACAATAGGATGCCAAGGACTCTGTAGAGAAACCTATGGCACTCCACTCAGAAAAATATAAATTATGTGTTTTTTCCATACCACAAAAGCCACAAAAGGTCATCAATCCAACCAAAGTATTCAAATAAAGGTTCTGCCAGGCCACTGAGTCCATTATGGCAAACTGGGCAGGTGGCTTCAGCAGAAACCCTTCCATCTGAAAACTTTCCCTTAATATTTATCTCCTTTCACTTAATCTCACCAACCCCAATTTCTCTGAGCCAAAACCTACATAGCCAGGAGATGCTATTTGTAGAAATTTTTTCAAACCTTAATCTCTATCCAAGATGAAATTGTAATGGTATAAATGTTCTTTCACCATTATATATATACACACACACACACATATATATATAGATATGTATCTAGATACATACATACATACATATCTATCTATATATCTTCCCTAACTCTTCTGTCCACATTTTTGTGCTCTGGAAGGCTTCCTATCTCAGGACACATAGCTTACATACCTAGGGCCAGATACAGAAGCTCAGCCATTGTGCAGGAGAAACTGTGTAAGGCCATGTCGTCTTATTTGTTTTCCCTGGCCAGCTTCCCCAGAGTACCTGTCTAGAGGGAAAATGCATACATCTCATATACAAAATGCAATAACAACCCCTAGAATTTTACTTTCTTTTTCAATTATTTTCTAATCTTGAAGAGCAAATTCAAGATAAATATGACAATGGTGTCCCTTCTCAAAATCAGTTCACAAGCACAAATAAGCTTTTTTCTGAGGTCTTAGAGAAAACTCCAGTGCTTCTCCACAAAGAAAAGGAAACAAATTCCATGCAGCCACGTGATTATAAAAGGAAGTTTTACTCATGTCCTTCTCTATGTAGATTTACGAGGGTTTCTGCTGACACGAAGTATGTTCTCTACTGAATTCCTCAAGTGAAGCAAAACCACACGTATCTGGTTCTAAAGCAACATATTGAGTCACTAGTTTACATAGCAAATGTGAAATAGTCATTTGGAAGCCTGAGGCATACCTGTGAAGTGGATTGAACCATAAGAATTGCCTGGGAAAAGAAAAGAATAAAAAAAAAATGCAAAAAAACAACAACAAAAAAAACTACATTTAAAAAATCACCAGTCTAAAATTCAGCTTAGCTTACAAATCACCTCAACTACTTACTCATAGGTAGGTGCCAGCAGAATGCACACTGGACAGAAAGCAGGGAATCTGGGTGCATGTATTTGCCTAATGAATGAACTCTTGCAGCTGTTGCAGAATGGACACTTGATGCAATCGTTAATTCTCCCTTAGATTCTAATGGTGGCTATTCTGACGTTGTTTGCCAAGGCGTTGTGTTTCTTTTAGTGTTTGGACCTAATAGTCGTCGTGGTCTGGTCTCTTTCTGTTGCTGTCCTGGAATCGGTCATCAAACTTTCAGCAGTGCTACTTCTGTAATCTTACCCTCAAGTCCATTTTTTCTTGCATTCCCATTGCAACAACCCAAGCTCTGGCTCTCATTATCATTCCCAAAGGTTACTGCAATCTTCCTAGCTAGTTTTTTGGTGCCAAAGCTTTCATTGCACACCAAGGCCAGATCAGTTTTCTCAGAACACTGCTTGGATCATGGCTGGAAATTTCAAGTTTAAACTCCATAGGTTCTCCCTGCTCTGCTCTTCCTTCTTCTATTTCTCAAGAACATATATGACCTCCCCAGTAAATGCCTTACCCTCAAGCCGATTGGATCATTGGTTATTCCTCAAGCTTACTCTATTTATTCTACCTTTATGCCTTTGCTCCTGTTTTTCCCACTGCCTAGAATGCCACTTCCCATCCATGGAAAACTGCACCATCTGTGAACTGCCAACACAAATATCACTTTCTGTGTAAAATTGTCAATTAAAAAACCAGGGCCCAGCTCAGTGGCTCATGCCTGTAACTCCAGCACTTTGGGAGGCCAAGGCAGCAGGACTGCTTGAGGCCAAAAGTTTGAGACCAGCCTAGAGACCCTGACACCACACACACACACACACACACACAAATTAGGCAGCATAGCAACTCACAACTGTAATCTCATCATTTTGGGAGACTGAGGTGGGAGGATGACTTGAGCCCAGGAGTTCAAGACCAGCCTGGGCAACAGGGCAAAACCTTGTCTCTACAAAAATATAAAAATTAGCCAGGCATGGTGGTATGCACCTATAGTTCCAGCTACTAGGGACGCTGAGGTAGGAGGATCACCTGAGTCCAGGAGGTCAAAGCTGCAGTGAGCCATGATAGTGTCACTGCTCTCCAGCTTGAGTGAAAGAGTGAGACTCTGTCTCAAAAATTATTATTAAATTAAATTAAATTAATAAATTAGCCTGGCATGGTGGCATACACGTGTAGACCTAGCCACTTGGGAAGTGGAGGTGGAAGAATCGCTTGAGTCCAAGAGTTTGAGGCTGTAGTGAACTATGATCATGCCATTGCATTCCAGCCTGGGTGACAGAGGAGCTGTCTGTAAAAACAAAAAAACAGGATAATTTCTCTCTCTCTCTTTCTTTCAATATCCACTGTGCTTTGTTCAAGCTTCCACTTGTGATGTTTCAAAATACTTTCTGATATTTGTTTTTTAACTCCCATCTTATTTATGCATTCAATACATGTACATTGAAAGCTTACCAAATTTAAGGCACCGTGCTAAAAGTTGGAAGCACAGGGGAAAATAAGCAGGAATGTAGTCCCTGCTTTCATGGAGGTGTAGTCTCACAGAGAAACAGTTATTGCATAAACAATTGCAGAATAATAATGAATTATTTACATAATGAATAACAAGAGAAATTAGGACTACAGTTTCAGGCTACATAATAGGGGCCCTCAACCACAATAGGGGAGCATCAGGCAAAGTGTCCCAGAAAAAGTGATGCTTAGGCTGAGATAAAAGGGATTTGCAAGAAGTATCCCAAACAAAAATTTGATCAAGGGTGTACCAGGCCAAGGAAATTGCCTGTACAAAGTCTCTGAAACCAGAAGGACCCTAAAGAAGCCCAGTGAGATTTGGCCATAGAAGAAAGTGGAAGAAAAAAATACTGCTTAGAATAAAGCAGCAGAGGAAAAAAGGGACCAGATGATACAGGGGCTTCCAAGCCATTTAAGAATTTTAGACTATGCCAAGTGCATTGAGAGCCCACTGAATGGTTATAAATGAAAGGATGATGTAATTAGGGCCGCATGTTTTAAGAAATCATGCTGAAGACAGTTAAATAGTGGAAGAAGGGGGCCAACGGCAGATGCAGAGGGCCCAGTACAAAAGGCATTTCAGCCATCCCAAGAATGAGTGTTTGGACCAACATGTCATCATTGGAATAGGGAAAAGTAAACAGAGTTGATAAGTATTAGGTTGAGTCATCCGAAATTGCTTTTTTGTTGTTGTTGTTGTAAAAATGTGGTTCCTAATCAGCAATTGCATATAGAATGCAGGTTTGGCAAGACTTGGTGCTTCGTTGGGTACGGGAAATGAAGGAGAAGGAACTAAGGAGAATGCCTATTTTTCTGGATGTACAAATGACAATGTCATTTACTGGAATGGAAAAGACAGGAGGAAGAGCAGATTTGGTGAAATAAGTCATGATTTTCATTTAGGATACGTTGAATTTTATGAGAAGCCTCTGAGCTACCCAAAAATGCAATTGTATATAGTGATCTGTATTAAAGGCAAGCTCCGGGATGGAAATTTTGATTTGGAAGTCATCACTGTATGGACACCTTAGGAGAGGATAAGATCACTAGAGAGAGGGAGGAAAAGAGAGAGAGAAAGCATGCATGTGTCATAGTTCTTAACAAGGGATGTACTAAGAAATACTCATGAAATTTGTCTCAAAATACAAACACCAAAGGCCCAATAAATCAGAATTTCTGGGGTCTGGATGTGTGTAGCTTTAAAAAAAAAAAAAATATATATATATATATATATATAACTTTCCAGGTGTTTCTGATTTTTATCCCATGATTAACATTGCCAGAAAAGCAACGTGAGGAAAGGGAGCCCAAGATAGAGCCCAAATAAAAGCCAACACTTAGATTTGGTAAGGGAAGGGAATGTTGGCCAAAAAACAAAAGACCAAGAAGGTGCAGCCAGGAAGTAGAAAGGAGCAGAGTGGAAAATGAGGACATGGCTCCATGTGTCAAACGCTCTCAGAGACAAAATGAAGGTTCAGAGGACTACAACATGACTGCTGAATTCACAATGTGGTCATCTCACCAAGGGCAGATTGCATGAAGTCCAGGGTACAGAATGCAGAGAGAAGAGAAATAAAGGGTGAGTCCAAGGTGGGGGAAACCAGACTAGGAGTGAAGAATTAGGGTAGGAGTTATAGGGGGCATGGGATCAAGGTGGGCATGTAGTTTCCATGGGATTATTGTTCCTTCCTTGGCAACAGGAATTAATTCTCTCTAGGACTTCTCTGCATCACCCATAATGCTCAGCATGCTGCCTTATACCTAGCTCACACACATGAAAAAAAAGAATTAATTAAAAAGCTGGGTGGCCAAGCGCAGTGGCTCATACTTGTAATCCCAGCACTTTGGGGGGCCAAGGTGGGTGGATCACTTGAGGCCAGGAGTTTGAGACCAGCCCGACCAACATAGCAAAACCCTGTCTCTACTAAAAATACAAAGATTAGCTGGGCATGGTGGCACATGTCTGTAATCCCAGCTACCTGGGGGCGCTGAGGCATGAGAATCACTTGAACCTGGGAGGCAGAGGTTGCAGTGAGCCTAGATCATGCCACTGTACTCCAGCCTGGACAACAGAGTGAGACTCTGTCTTAAAATAAAAAAAAAAAATAAAAATAAAAACTTGTAAAGTGCATCTTTTACAATTTAGAGGATCTCTTCAAAAACACAGACTTCAAATCAAATGGATTCCATTACCTTTAATTATTCCAAGACTAAGTATGCCCCTAGTATATACCAGACACCCTGCTCACCACTGAGGATACAGACAAGACATTGTCCCTGGTCATAGGTTTATAAATGGGGGCTATATAGGCTTAGAGGAATGGGTTCTTGGGGGAGAGAGGTGATTCCTCAAGGGTATACACTGTAGAACCTAAGTTGAGGGGTCATTTAATTTTATAGCAAGCCACCAAGTCATGTAAGTGTACAGACTCTCTCTATATATATCTGTATCTATATATCTATATCTATATCTCTCTATATATCTATATCTATATATCCATCTATACCTATATCTATATATACATGTATACATAGTGTATATATATATATAGATATATACATGTATATACAAATATAGATATACTTGTATATATAGATAGAGATATAGATAGATATATAGATATAGATATAGAGAGAGGTATCATGGCTCACTGCAGCCTCAAATTCCCAGGCTTAGGTGATCCTCCCACCTCAGCCTCCTGAGTAGCTGGGACTACAGGTGTGCACCATCACGCCTGGCTAATTTCTTGGATTTTTGGTAAAGACAGGGTTTCACCATGTTGCCCAGGTTGGTCTTGAACTCCTGAGCTCAACCGATCCTCCTGCCTCATCCTCCCAAAGTGCTGGAATTAAAGGCATGAGCCACTGCTCCCAGCCCCAGACTATATTTTTATGCTTCCTAAACTTTTCCATGAGGAGGTCTAGAGGAAATTTGGACTCTTTCATTCCCTCCTTCTGACGTTGTGCAGGCAGAATAAGACACCTAAAGCCAGGAAGCTACTTTGGGGAGCCCCAGCTCACAGCTTTCAGCACATTAATGAGTTCTCCATTCCTCACAAACAGTGGAAATATCCCCTGCTACTTAGTTAAAGGCTTCAGTGATCTCCCTTCTTCTCAGCTGGAGAAACTGCTGGGCTCTCTCTTCCTTTGGGAGCTTGCAGAGGTAAAGGCCAGGACTCTCTGAGAAGTTTTTAAACCAGGGAATCAGGCTATATTGGGGACAAATAGTCCTCTACCATAGTTCAGAGAGCTCTGGAGATAGGAAGATCCTTAGGATCCTCTCCCCAAGAGGGGGCACTCAGCACCTGATTGGGGTCACCTGGCCACTAGGGGGCTTTAGCAACACACTGGAAGACAAAAGGATTGAGATCAAAAGCACTTTGTTTTCTTGAGAACACTGTAGCCCTCTCATTTGATAACACATTCTTATTTCTCCACCTAATCAAATCCTCCCAATACTTAGAGGTGTCAAAATGCTCATTAAAAATATAATGACAGTCAAAACCCAGTGTCAGAATAAGCACAGAGCTTTAAACCAGTACTGTACTAAATCGTTTAGGATTAGCACTTCTCCAAGGAACGATGAAAGTAAAGTCATAGACTGTCCATGAATAAAACTGAAGAAGGTGGAGGACAGCCAGGAGCTGCATCCATTCACTGCTTTTCAAGAGAGGAAACAGAAGAGTACAAGAGACTTAGGAAGCTTGAATGACAGTAAAGAGAAACTGAGTGGAAGATGCTTTGGTCATCCCTGGGGAATTCACCACTCCAGGGCATAGTTTGATTTCAGAGGCATTTGGAGTTAAGACCCTTGCTTTATAAATGAGATCCAGGCAAATCTAAGTGCTTACTTTAAAAACATCCTTTCCTAGCTGTTCAAAAGAGAACAAACTTAGGGCCTGTCATAAAATGTGCCTGGAAACTATTAATGTATCAGTGGTCTTAAATGAAAACATTTCCTGTAAATACACAAGATCCAACACATGTTAACTAAAAGTAACTTTTTCTTCCAGAGGATTTCATACTTCATAACTATCAAGTAGCTACCATACCTTTGGTAAAATTAAACCTTCATTTACAAATATGCCTTTACATTCCAAAAGGTTTAAAGCTTTACCTAAAACCTTGAGATATTGTTAAATAAAAATCACTACATGAACAGCATTAGAACTATAAATTTTAAAAGGCCCACCAATTAAAGAGTAGTTTACTTTCTCATTTTTTAAATTCTCCAGAGTGTGAGTTTTTCCTTCCCCTATAAAAAGTCGTATATTACATTAAAACAATACATGAAACAAAACAGTAGGCTGTTCAATTTTTCAAGAAACAGCCCTGATTAAAATCATATTTCTCTTCAATACTTTCATCTAATGAAAATTGCAGAATTCCACATGTATGTATATAAATTTCAAAATTTCATATATACATAGATGTGGAATTTTTACATATAATATGTAAATTATAAATTATAAAAATGTATATAAATGTAATATATTATATATGTTATATAATATATTATATAAATTATATAATTTTATATATAAATTTCAAAATTTATATACGTAGGTGTGGAGTTCTGCAATTCAGAATTGCTAAACCCAGCCCAATCTAGGGCTGAAATAATTTCAATTCTTTTGTGTTATTTTTAGACTTTTACCTTTGATGATTTGTTTTTAGGTGTAATATGGTGAATTTGGTACATACTGGGCACATTTTTCTTTTACTAACTTGGGCAACTTAATAAAATTCGTTCAAGACCATTCATGTAAAATATATTTAAATAACTTTGAAATGTTATTGAACAAGAACAACACTCCCAATAGAAAGTACAGATGAGGGAGGTTCACTTGTACTCGTTAGCTAGGGCTTCCATAACAAAGCCCCACAGATGGGGTGGCTTAAACAACAGAAATGTATTTATTCTTCATAATTCTGGAGGCCAGAAGTCTGAGATCAAGCTATCAGCAAGGTTGATTTCTTCTGAAGCCTCTCTCCTTGCCTTGGGATGGCTTTCTTCTCCCTGAGCTCTCACATGGACTTCCTTCTACATGTGTCTGTGTCTGTATTTCCTATTCTTATAAGGACGCCAATCAGCTTAGATTGCCCCACCCTAATGACCTCATTATAATTCCCTCTTAAAAGACCCTATCTTTAAACACAGTCCCATTGTGAGGCACTGGAGGTTAATAACTTCAACATATGAATTTGGGGGGACAAAATTCAGCCCATGACACTTGTCTTCAATGAGTATGTGTCATATTCCTAATTTAATTGGCCACTATTGGAATACTTCATGTTTATTAAAAGGGAAGTTCACAATACACTACAAATCCTTTAATAATATTCTGAATATAAGAGTTATGCTTATAAATAAAACCAACATATCTGAGCAAGACAGAAGTTTATGGAACTCTTTGGGTAAATGTCTTGGCCCTAGGAAGCATATTTTTATCCAAAAATATTTTAACATACTTTTTTCTAATTATAAAGATAATATGAAGAAAATGTTTAGTCTTTACAAAAGACTAAAGAAAGTAAAAACACTCAAAATCAGTAGAAATTACCCAAATCCCATCCTCCAGAAGTTATCATTGTAACTATGGTGCTAGACATTCTGAACATCTGTGTACATACAAAGACATACACACACAAACACACACAACTTAATATTGATGGAATTGTCCTTCCTACAGAGTTGCTTTCTATTGCATTTTTTTAATTTAAAAATAATATGCTATTGAAATATCTTTCCATGCCAGTGACTACAGTTATGACTGATTCTTTTTAGTGGCAACATACAGTTTCATTGTATGAATGCATAATGATGATTTTGATCCATCCTTTATTGATAGATGCTTAAGTCTCTAGTTATTTTATTCCAACTATTTCTAATGCTCTGATGATTTGTATATATATTTTGGTGTATTTGAGATAAATTACCTGAAGTGGAGTTTTAAATTTTGAAATCCAGTATCAGGCTGCCTTCCAGAAAGTTGTACAAATTTTTATTAATAATGCCTAATTATTAATATGCACTTTAATAACACAGTGAGAAGTCAGTCACCTGCCCATCTTCACACATTCTTGCAAATATATGATATCACCAATCTTTAAATCTTTGCCAAATAGTTAAGTTCAAATGTGATAACTAAATTTTGCTTTATTTGCATTTCTTGAGTTACTTCTGAGTGTTCTTTTATTTTTGTATCTTACATAAAACATTTATTCTCATTGCATTTATTTGAACAAAATGTCATTTCTAAGCCATCACAGAAAAATAGGCAATAACAAGATTATGAAGTATTTCAGGCATCTAAATATATCCTGTCAAATTACCCTTTCCCATCCATACCTTCAATGGTGATAACTTATGACCTGGTAGGAAATGAATCAACCAATCAAATTCTATCTCCCTGCTGTGTTCACCAGGATATCCTAAGAAATGTTGCCAGTTGGCACTGGAGCTGAATGTTAAAGCCTTCCATGGGATAGGTCTTGGTTATCACCAGTCACAATCATGTGTAATTTAAAATCAGAAGAAAAGGGAGAAGATACAGATACAGTTTTTTGGTAGCAGGGGAATGTCTTGTTTAAAAAATTACAGGACCTAAAGTAGGAGTTTCAAAACTTTGGCTAAATCTTCAGGTAGCTAAAGAGCAGCTGAAAAGAAGTGTGTGGGCCTAGCTCAGTGGCTCACCCGTAATCCCAGCACTTTGGGAGGCCAAAGCGGGCAGATTGAGCCCAGGAATTTGAGACCAGCCTGGGCAACATGACGAAACCCATCTCTAAAACAAATACAAAAATTAGCCAGACATGGTGGTGCATGCCTGTAGTCCCAGCTACTCAGGAGGCTGAGGTGGAAGAATCACCTGAGCCCAGGAGGTCGAGGTTGCAGTGAGCCATGATCATACCACTGCACTCCAGCCTGGGTGTGGGAGTGAGACCCTGTCTCAAAAAATAATAAAATAAAATAATGAAAGAAAGAGAGAGAGAGAGAATATGTGGCTAAATTTTGAGTCTATTTCTTAATCTTGGTTGGCTGGGGAGGAACTAAATGAAAATTAGTGGAGAGAGAGGAGTAGACAAATTAATAATAATTAGGTGTATAATGATATAATTGATTGACTCCATGTGGGCTGGAGGGTCTAGCAAGTATGAGATGGTTAGGAAAACGCTCCTCTTCCTTATGAATTTACTCAGGGATTGCAAACTTGAATATGTCTAAAGGCCAAACAGGAACTGCAAATGTGAAGAAGAAGCAAGTATCTGTTCCACCTAAAAGGCATTCAGATTTTGTTTTTTAAATATGATGCTGGCTGAAAAGAGCATGTCTATAGGCCTAATTCCATCTATGATTTGCCATAGTGACACCTGCTTTAGACTCTAATAATATTGAGAATTGATGTGTGTCCTAGTCCCAAGACAGTTTGAGCTCACATAAAACTTTGTTAATCCTTGCCTTACCCTCATGTCATTGTTATAGACTAAGTTGTCCCCACTTCCCCCAAATTTGTATGTTGAAGACTTAACCCCCTCAGAATGTGACTGTATTTGAAGACAGACCCTTTAAAGAGCTGATTAAGTTAAAATGAGGCCTGTCGGGTGGTCAATTTGACTGGTGTTATTATAAGAAGAAATTTGTTTGGTTTTTGTGTTTATGTGTGTGTGTGTATGTGTGTGTGTTCTGAGACAGGGTCTCACCCTGTTGCCCAGGCTGAAATACAATGACAAGATCATAGCTCACTGCAGCCTCAACCTCCTGGGCTCAAGCAATCCTCCTACCTCAGCCTCCTGAGTAGCTGGAACTAAAGGTACACACCGCCATGCCCGGCTGTATTTTTTATTTTGTGTAGACATGGGGTCTTGCTATATTGCTCAGGCTAGAAATGCGGACACCCAGAGATGCCAGGGATTCTCACACACAGAGGAAAGACCACAAAAGGGCACAGTGGGAAGGCAGTCACCTCCAAGCCAAAGAGAGAAGCCTCAAGAGACACTAAACCTGGTGACACCTTGATTTTGGACTTCTAGCTTCCAAAAGTGGTGAAACAATAAATTTCTGTCGTTTAAACCACCCAGTCTGTGGTATTTTGTTATGGAAGTCCTAGGCAAGTAATACAGTCATTTTGTATATACATGTCAGTATCTTCAAATAGACTGTACGTTCCTCTAGAGCAAAGGCTGAATTTTACTCAGTATGCCTTCTGCCCAGCAGAGTGCCAGCACATGGGAGTATTTACTCAACAACTGTTTACTGAGTGACTGAGTGAAGAATTTTCAGATTAAATAGTTGAACAGAGACAAAATGAATGATACCAAAGAGAAAATGTGGTTCTTTTTTCTGTTCAGAGAGACCAGCTGTTAGGAGATGTGCTACAATGAACTTCAGACCTCCTCATGTCAGCCCTGACCCCGACACACTTGAGCAGTGCTTCCTCCGTGGTAGGGTAGGAGGCCATGTGCCCCCTCCCACCACAGTAGGCAGCAAACAATCAGCATCCTCTCTGGGCTGATGGGAGGGAGTGGCCTGGAGTTTAAACACCCCACCAGTCCCTACAGATGATGAAACTGTTCAAGTACACCAAAGCAGAAAACTGATGCTGCGCGCCCCAGCCACTGATCTGCAGTCGCACAATTACCTGACTCTAGGCCATATTTTCCCAATTTGTTGAGAACTATATCATGTGGGAAAGAATTAAAAGGTTTACTAAGGTCAATACAAACATAATTTATTGCTTCCCCTCAGTCAACCAAGCTCATCTACTTAGGTCTGTGACTAGTTAGCTAAGTTGGTTATAGCACTGTCTGCTCAGGGGCAAGGTCAAGGTATCAATTTACAAAATTGGTTACTTTCCCTCTGTGGCACAGTTACAGACTACTGCCCTATTAATTCAGCATTATTTTGGTCCCAGGAGGAACCTGTAGAAAAAAATCTGTATAGAAAAGCAACACAAGTCAAGGACACTGGTGGAAAATGGCCTCAGCGTCCAGGCTGAGTGCAGCAGGTCAGGAACTTCTGAAGGGATCTGTCTTAATCGGTTTGGGCTGCTGTAACAGAATACCATGGCCTGGGTGGCTTAAATAACAGCCATTTATTTCTCACAGTTCAGGAGGCTGGCAAGTCCAAGACCAAGGCACTTGGCAGATCCAGTATCTGGAATGGGCACTCTTCCTGGTTGGCTGATGACCATCTTCTCATTGTATCCACACATGGCCAATAGCAAAGAGAGAAAGGAAGCTCTAGTCTCTGCCTTTCCTTATAAGGACACTAATCCCATCATGGGAGCTGTCATGACCTCATCTAAACCAAATTATCTCCCAAAGGCCCTACCTCCTCATACCACCCCATTGGAGAGTGGGGCTCCAACATATGAATTTGTAGGGAGTAGGGAGGGATAAACATGCAGTTCATGATAGGACCCAATTCACAGTCTTTAAGGACTAATTCAAATTTTGCTTGCCCTAGCAAAGCTTAAATTTAAGACAATTTCTGATAAACCTGAAAATTCCCACATATTAAAGTTAAATTGGCAGGCAGATTAATTCACTTTTTAAAAAATACACTTATTTTACTTAGGCATCTCATCAGTCCACCCTAAATTCTTCAGAATGTTTGTTTCACACTTTCTGGTGACTTCACCTAATTCTTCTTTGACCCTAGGGTGTTAATCATCAGAATGCATAGACTTGAATATTGCCAGATCAATGATCTAAACCTACACAAGTTCCTCTCTGTGCGGGTTCAGTTTTCTGTCCTCCTATCGTATTTATTATCTATTCTGGTTTCCATTTCACACTGACCAAATGTAAAAATCTAAGATTGAAAACAAATAGCCTGTTATGTACTACAAACTAGCTCTTCTCATCAAATTGAAGGTTTCAGTTTCTCTTCTTGGTTTGATCATTTTTTTCCTTGGGCTCTTCTAATTTTATACCTAACACAACCACAGTCTTCATAGGCATCTTTGGTTACCTGGCCTAATTCCCCACTTTGCAGCATTCCAGTGATAGTAGTCAAAAACATTCTTTAATTTTATAAATTGTAAATACTAGAACTTGCCATTCAATATGAAATAATTCAATAAAATGAGTTTTCCAGTATTCTTTGACTCTGTCCAGATCAGTCACTTTGTAAATGGATGATATAAGATTCTCTGTAACGTCTTCTTACTTCCATAGTTTAACAAATAAGCTAGAGTTTTATAATGAAAATACAATATAAAGAACAGAATAATTTGCACACCCGAAAAAAGAAGTGTAAAGAGCTGTCAAGTAATGTAAATCAAATGTAAGCAGAATTGAAAATCGGCACTAAAATGCTTAATGTCTGTGGTCTCCGGTACCAGAATGTTTCTTCTTTTTTTTTTTGAGACGGAGTCTCGCTCTGTCACCCAGGCCGGAGTGCAGTGGCGCAATCTCGAGTCACTGCAAGCTCCGCCTCCCGGGTTCACGCCATTCTCCTGCCTCAGCCTCCTGAGTAGCTGGGACTACAGGCGCCCGCCACAACGCCCGGCTAATTTTTTTGTGTGTTTTTAGTATAGATGGGGTTTCACCATGCTAGCCAGGATGGTCTCGGTCTCCTGACCTCGTGATCCACCCGCCTCGGCCTCCCAAAGTGCTGGGATTACAGGCGTGAGCCACCGCGCCCAGCCAGAATGTTTCTTTACGTTTTAGGTCTGCTGCTAGATGTGTTTAGCCTAACGAAAATGCTTATGAATGAACAAACCACTGAGTTAGGCCTCTGTTACAAGAAAATTAGTGTAATATTAAGTATATTCTAAACATCTCCTGAAATTACAAAGAAAGGGCCATTCTCAAATATTAAAAAACTATTATTCTAAATTAAATAGGATGATGCTACCTTGTTTGCCAAGTAATACTCATTAGAACACCGGGAACACTGCTCAACAGCTAAAAACTGTGTTAATCCTATGTCCTACACAACACCTAGAACACAAGTTGACAAGCAAGAAAAGTATGTATCAGCTAAAAATTTATTCTCAAGCTATGTTACACTTAAAAGTACAAATAACCTACTAAATAAAAATGTTTCTGTATCATATGTCATGTAGGTAAGCCACTGGTATTATGAATATTGTGTGCACTTTAACTTTGCAGCTCTAATCATATTTCATTTCTGCCTTCAGTGTTCAAACAATCTTTTTTTAAGACAGCACACAAAGTATTATCTAGCTAGCTAGCTATTACATTAAAATTATAAACAAATTGCAATTGATAGCACTTAACATATTTTTATATTATAATTTAATTTTTAAGCCAAGAAGAAAAATAATATTTGAGTAGTTCAAATATTCATTTCTAGCCACTATATTTCTTTATACTGGGGAATAAATTATTCCTGGACTGTAAGCTACTATATTTTACAGAGATTATATTTGCTTACTATGCATACTGTAAATAAGCTATAAGTGAACTGGACAATTAATTATATTTGTTCCTTGATGAGAATGATGATGATGATGTTTGACATACATTAAGCCAAGTCAAATCTCAATTCTTCAAGTTTATATGTTGGCAAACTATCTACCCTACTTCAGATAGAGCTGACTCATAGGTAAGAAATTTATGCAAAACTTTCAAAGGAATTAAAATCAGTGTTTACTTTACAATGATAATATTTCTGCCCAACCAGCTCTGATTTTTAGTTTAAGATAACATCATTTCCCGAACACTTTAACACATTACCTTCACACAGTGCTTTTCTCCCATGAATCTTGTTATTCATAAACATTAATTAATTCTCATTATCCTTATGACACCTACTTCCCAGTACAAACTTTTAGGCTAGGCTGGGTGGTGCATCGGACGCTGTGGATGCTATAATTACATAACAGTTCTCCTTTGACCAGTGCTCATCCACGTACGTCACGTACACACCAATGGATCCTTGTACTGCAGATCAGACAGCTTCGTCTGCAAATACTAAGATGAGCACTTTGGCATTCATTCCTTACCAGAACAGGACCACAGTGTCTTCCCTAAATATGTGGCCAGTCTCTTGCCCCTTAGCTAATCCTAGAGTGGCCAGGTATGAGAAAGTTTTTGCTGTTGAAAGTTTTCAACAGCAGGTGTTTGTTAACCTTTGAAACCAACAGAACAAAGCTAATAAATTCAAGGTTGTAAGAACAAATGTCTTCCATGTAATTTATGCCAAAGCACCCTACTTAATGTAAATACTTCATAGTACATAGCAACCTTCTGCTTCTCATAGGACTTACAATAAAGTGAATTAGGTGAGAAATAAGAATGCCTTTGAAACCACAGGTCCAGACTCACATCGAAAGGCTGAATAGGAGAAGCTTTGCCACCTTTATTTCAGGATATTTAAGTCTTTTCTCTGTTTCCTCAGACAAATTAAAACATGTACAGAACCAGTTTTCCCTCCACAGTGCAAGCAAGTTCCAATCTCTTTTCTTTTGTCAACTTTTTGATGTTACAGAGAAAATATTGCAACAAAAATATGAAATGAAATGTAATTTGCTTTATTGCAAATTAAATTTGTCTAGCTATGATTAGTGTAAGTGTGCATGTTTTACGTTGGTGTCATTGAAGAGCACATATTTTGTGTTTTACTCTTTTCATTTAATATGGTATGATAAACACAAGTCCAGATATTGATGTAATTTACACTATTGTCATTTTTAATAGTCTAGAATGATTGTTTCCAATCTTTTGCTATTATAACCAATGTTTATATCAATCTATTTAAAAAAACTACCATTTTCCTCTTCAGATTATTTCTGTGAGGTGTATTTTCCAAAATGTCAAAGAGCATAAGCAATTTTATAGCTCTTATTTCAGCTTACTTGTATTCTCCAAAAAACAAATTGAATCATTTACAGAAACATCAGCAATTGATGGATGTAATTACATGAGCTGCTTAGAATAACCTTTGAGTTGCAATGTAAACTTTAAGTTGGATGAATTTGCATTGTAACTGCTAGTGACATTATGCATTTTTCAAGTAAGAATTTAAAATTTGTGTTTTCTTTTGCATAACATAGTATTTCTCAAAACGTGGTCTGTGTAATACTTTCTCTCCCTCCCCCTCTCCCTCACCCCTACTCCATCTCTATCCCTTTCTCTATCTCTTAAAATCTCTCTGAATAAAATTATATTGCATTCATTTTATGTGGCAAGCACTTCAGTTAGAGACAGGATGTTCTAATAAAGAGAAGAGGGGCAAGGTCCCACCCCTCATGGAGCTTTCATTGCAGTGAGGAGATGCTACACATACATACACATACACGTACCCATACACAGAGAGAAAATTTCATAGAACGTTCCATGAAGAAAACAGTACAGAGGCATGCGGGTGAGCATGCTGGATGGAGGAGTCGTTTTAGAATAGCACATCAGAGAAGGCCTCACTGGGGAGGAGACATTTGAGCTGAAAACTGAATAACAAGAAGGCCAGCCTGTGAAGATCTTGCAGAAGAACCTTGCAGGCAGAGGGGACAGCAGACAGAAGAACATCCAAGGCAAGAATGAATGAATGTACATGGTGGTTAAAGAACAGAAAGAAGGCCAGTATGGCTGGAATGTAGTTAACAAGGAAAGAAGAAGTATCAAGTGCCATCGGAGAGAATAGGCCAGGGCCAACTGTGCATTGGCCTTGCACGGTTGGGAATGTGAGGGACAAAAAGGAGTACTGAGGTTAGGTAAGTTGAAGCATCACTGGGTTGGTGAAAGCCAGGCAGGTTTCTTACTATGGGATTTCTCGAAAACTTTAAAATATAATGCTCATTGTAAATTTTCAAGTCAGTAATACAGATCACAGCATTTTCCAAATACATTTCATCATGACATCCTTTTTTTCAGAAACGAGCTCTTGAGACTGTTGTTTCAAGGAAAATGCGTTGGGTTACACAGGTCAAAAACAAAAACAAGCAAGGGCTGGTAACCTATAGCTTTCAGGCCAAATCCAGCCTACCACCTGTGTTTTACCATCTGTGAACTAAGAATAGTTTTACATTTTTAAACAGTCTTTAAAAATCAAAAGAATATTTCACAGCAAGCAAAAATTATATGAAGTTCAAGTTTCCGTGTCCATAAAGTTTTACTGGGACGCAGCCACATGCATTTGTTTACTACTCTCTATGACCAGTTTTGTGCTAGGACTGGTAGAGTTGAGTAGTTGCCACAGAGGCCTATGATCCATAAGGCCTAAAATATGGACTATCTGGCCCCTTATGGAAAAAGTTTGCCAACATCTGGTCTAGAGCATCTGTTGTTACTTTAACTGTAAATCTTCATATGACCTGGGATTATAGCCATAATTTATACATTTTATAGTAAATATTTATCAAGTACTCATCATGTTTCATACTCTGGTTTTTGCTTTTTACATTTGTTTTTATTACATTTTGCTATAATTTTTTTTAAAATTCTACTTATCAAACCTAGTTTCTTTAAACTTCTGATAACACCCTCAATTTCATAAGTAGTCTGAATGTGTGTGTTTATTTGATAGATTTGGATACTAGGCAATTCAATTTTCCCATACTTAAAAATAGAGCTTCCTATACTTAAAAATATGATTAGCTCTTTAATATGTTTAGACATTTCTGAAGTTTAGTGTAACATACACATCTATATTAAATCACTTTTGCATGCTATCTATTTACCAAGTATCATTTCTTAGTAATTCTTATAAGCCTGTCTTGCTCCTAGTGTGTCAGATGTTAAATTCTAATCGTATTTTAAATATATTTCTGAACTATCTGCTTATCCACTGATCTATTTTTTTAATGATAACCTAATAACAAAGACTTTTAAAAATTGTCATTTTGTACACATCTGCCAAGACAAGGAGACTATTGTTACCTTAAAATTTGGGGACATATTCTTCCCCATTTGTTGGTCCATGTGACTATCTTTCAAGTTCCATTAAATATGTTTAAAGAAATTTTAGTTAGTGTTGCATTAAATTAACCTAGGAAGCATTTTCTTCTCATTATAATATAATTTTCCCACCAATGGCCAGATTTTTGTCTATGTACATATCCATATCTTTAAAACAAAACAAAACAAAACAAAAAACTTTCCCAGCATTATAACACAGAGATAGAATGAGTTCTTTTTTAAAAAATTTTGTGGGTACATAGTAGACATATATATTTATGGGGTACATGAGATGTCTTGACACAGGCATGCAATGCATAATAATCATGTCACAGAAAATGAGGTATCCATCCCCCTAGGCACTTATCCCTTATGTTACAAAAATCCAATTACACCCTTTTAGTTATTTTTAAATGTACAATTATTATTGCCTATAGTCGTCCCGTTGTGCTTTCAAATACTAGGTCTTATTCATTCTTTCTAATTAATTTGTTTGTACTTATTAACATCTCTCATTCTCCTCCATGGAATGAATTCTTTATAAATGCATGTTTATGTTAGTAAAAACTTCGCTATTTAAAATTCTGTTAGGGGAGATAAATTCTGTCAAAATTCTATATTTAATTATAGATATACAACCTAAATACATTTTCACTGTAAACTATTCTAGGGAAAACAGAAGACCCCTCCTGATTCTCCCCTACCCCATCACATACCGAACACAGAGCCCTGCTTCTCCTAGAGAAGCCTAGAAACTTTGTCAATGGGCTGAATAATGCAGAATAGACCACAGACCATTTTGTTTTGCTTGCTGTTCCCATCCGCCAACATTTTCCTAAATTTACTTTTCTTCGGGTCACTATGACTTGTTATATAACATTAGTGATCTTAGGGAGATATAGCTAGAATTATATTCTCCCACAAATGCTCAAAATGTAAGGTTATCTTCCAGCAGCTAAACTTTTGTATTTTTACAATTGCCCCTTCTTATCAATAGGGCTTATTAAACGTCCAGTTTCTTCCCTCAGATCCCTGTGACTAATCTCCCAATTTGGAAAGAATAGACACTTAAAAGTAACTACCAGTTGATTCCATGCTAATTAGGACCCCGGATTGTTCAATCTTCTAGAATGCTGAAAAGTCCCCTTTATTTACAGTGTTGGGTCTCTAAGGTGGAGCATATTTGGTTAAAATAAATTATGAGCTAGTTCTTGAGAATTGCTAAGTGACAAGCAAATAAACAATAACCTACACACAGTGTAGGCCCTCAGAGACTGTGATTTAAGTGCATAGATGAGTTTGGGTGGAATAAGCAGGACAGCCAAGTGGGAAACATAATACCAAGGTAAATGTGTATAATTCCCATGCAAAGTGTCACGAATCTATTAAAAAGCACCTCCCTGATTTATTAAAAATAAAAAGTGATGCCTGTAAAGGGGAAGAGGGATGTTGGTGGAGTCTGCTGTTTGCTTTTCTGGAGTCTTCACCTGCAAGTCTACACTAACTTGCCAAAACAAACAATGTTAGCAAAACTGTCCTCTCAGCAGCTATATACTAAATCCTACAACTCTTCTATCCGGAAAACCTGGTCAATTTCAAGATAGATAATGAGCAAAATAGTCTGACGTTTTGGGGTTTAGGGGAGGGGAAAGGTTGATCAAACCCACTTACCACATTGCTGAGTTTTGAAAGACGTGGGAAAAGTGACTTTCCTTGTTAACAATCCCCCACCCCCTCCCTCGAGCTAAATGGAATGCTTTGCTATGCAAATAACAAGTCTGATCTCAGAGGAAGTAAAAGACTCAGGATAGTAAAAGGAACTCACCTTTTGGAGGTAAATTAACTCTTCTAAGGCACCATTGAACAAATTACTTCTCCATGCTCTAAAAATTCTCTTAGTGCCCTAAAACCTCAAAATCGCCTGAGATTAATTTGCTCCTTCGAGGGTCAGGCCTCATAAAGAGTGAGTCCCACTGGAAAAACATCTTTTGTCTGCCCTTGTTAAGGTACACAAAAGAAGCATGTGGAAATCACTCAGCAACTCGACATTTGTGGCTGACCCCAACCAACTGGAATCTGAAGGTTGAAAGTGTCAAGGTCAGTCTGAACCTAGTAACCTAGCTGTTTGAATAGGTTTCAATTTGGTAATTACTGTATTTAGATAATTCTGCCTCCCTTTCCCACTACCCTTCATTACCAAGAAAACCAGTGCAAAAAATCAAAGCATGAAAATGAGAGACGCACATTGAGTCAAATAGGAAATTGCTCAACTCAGTGGCTTCTGAGTGCATGAGACAGAGACCTTTTAAGCATGTCCTTCCTTCCCCAGGTTGCAACTGACTTTCTCCAGGGAAGGAATATATTCCCAAGTTGATCAAATCGTGTGGATGCAAGTCTTCCAATGTGCTCAGTCAACAAAAATGTCTGAGCCTGGGATGTCAGGTAACCCACTTTTCAGAATACTTAAATCACACAAAGGAGCATTCTGTTTAGTACTGGGACCACAATGCTTAAGCTGAGCCTTAAGAAGTCAGTAAGAATCTTAATAAGATTTGGACATGATGCCCACAGCCCTGATACTATGTCCAGGCAGCTTAAAATTGCTTGAGGTTAAACATTTAAGTTTTATACCCAGCCAACTTTCTCACAAAGGAGTGGAGGTGATCCACACTGACATATGTATAAACCATACATTTAGGATTTAACATATGTTAAGGTTATAATATTAATCCGAAATTAAGAAAAACAGAACACAAACGCTATAGGAAAACATAAACATATGAACAAAGACTAGAAGAAAACAAAAACCTAAGTAGTTGTTTTAGGAGGATGGGATTGTAAGTAAACTCGCTTTCTCAAAAAGGAATCTGAATGTCATTTTACTACATTTTAGAAACAATAGAAGGAAAAAGTTGTGTATATCCAGCTGGAAGGAAACATTGCAATTGGACATTAAATGCTTGGGTCTGAGCTTTCTGGAGCTAAGTTAACACTTTGGGTTATGTAGCTTTTACTGACCAATCAAAGAAGGTGTATAAGTCAGTTCTCAAAAGATAGACATTTTTCTACATTTGAATTATAAATGAATTCAGGGAACATTGGGTGTAGCCTTAACCATACCACCCCTCATCTCTTTCTCTCTTGTAAGGTCCATATCTTTGGCCTCTTTGCCTAGGTCCTACCTCAGAAACAAACTGCTTTGAAAACCAAATGACAAGGATTAAAAGATTAAATCAGCATGAAGCTTGAGTTGAACACAGTTGTACATTTTCTTAACCCAATCATGGACAACTATATGCAGGATGGAATCACTTGCTGGTACCTTAGGGAGAGAGAAATAATTACAGGACTAAACTATTGAGTCTAGCCAATTAAAATCTCAATCAGTGTGCTTTAGACTGTTTAGAGAATTATCTGCTGATGAGGGCTTCAGTTAATAAAACTGGAAAAAACATATTGCTAAAGTAACAGTAATGAAATTTTGCAAAACTAGAATCTACTTGCACCAGGCTACCAGGTTCCAGGATTTGGGGTAGGGAACTTTGTAGTCATTTAAAAATATTTTTGCTAGAAATCAAGCTATAAAAAGTTAAAAGATCAATGAGATCTTTTCTTTAGAAAATGTGGCAAAACTGACTGAAAGCTGGACTTCAGAAATTCTCATTAGTAACACAACGCAGCAAA
Organism: Homo sapiens; assembly: GCF_000001405.40. Classification (NCBI taxonomy): domain Eukaryota; kingdom Metazoa; phylum Chordata; class Mammalia; order Primates; family Hominidae; genus Homo; species Homo sapiens. The sequence goes on from NC_000014.9 coordinate 53,945,303, forward strand.
TTATTCTTCCATCTTGTCTTCTTTTCCTCAAATTTCACATTTTTGAGGTAAACATTTTGGAATCCGACAGTATTTTCTGAATTGTTTGTTCTGAACAGCATACTATAACTTTTATATTTTCACTTAGTTTATAAAGAATATTTTGAAGAGCGAGCGAAAGCAGAAACAACTGGAACTTGCTGCAGTTAATGCTTTAAATAAAGTGACTTATGAATGGTAATTTCAAATGGCTTCCAAGCTGAAAAAAAATTTTAGATTTTTTTCTAGAATTGACTCAAAGTTGCACACCTTGAACTTTTGACTCCTTTTTCAAAATAATTTCTGTGTGTTTTTTTTTTAACATTAGAGCAATTTGACATTTTTCCTAAAATCAGCCACTTTTCTCCACTGGTGAGCATTGCAGTTCTGTTTATTTATTCTGCCATTAGGTGCTAAATGCATAGGGAAATGAGATCCTTGCAATCCCACCTAGACCACATTTCTAACCACTCTGAATTTAATTTCCAGTTATAGTTTTCAGAATTGTGCTAGTTTGTATCACAAGGTAAGCCTGAATAACTTTGCATCAATTCTAATTTGGCAGTCCACCAGTTATCCTAAATTCCCCTAGGGAATACTAATAACCTTCTGATTCCCAGGTAATGTAAGGTCACCAACGTTGCATTTGCATTATTCTTTTCCTTTTCAAAAGAGAGTATGTGAATAGTTTGTAAAATTGGTTTTGTGTTGAAGCAAAAGTATCTTTGATGACAAATAGTTCGGAGACCTGGGCCTGGGATAAGCTTTATGCTCCTGGCTCACCTTTGGAGAGGGAGTGGGGGCGGGCACGGTGAGTCCCCGGTCCAGAGGCCCTGCGGAGGTCAGCTGAGGTGCTGTCATTATGTATCATGGCTTGGCATCTCATTTCTGAAAGCAATCGTCCAGCTCCACTCTTGCACACCCGTGGCCTCTCCCGTTCACCTCCGTCCCCCGACTGTTGGGGAGCGGGGCCCTGGCTGCAGTTCAGCTGGGACCCAGGGCTCTCCGTGTCCCCAAGGGGCCCAAGACAGCGGCTCAGCCTTCAGGGCCAGTCTGCAGGTCCGACCCTCACCCAGCGGGCCTGTTTCCCACTCGCCCACGTCCCCGCTCCCATTGAGTCACCCCCATATGCAGGCCCACTGTGAGCTCGGAGGCAGGAGAGCCTCGCTCCCTAATTCCCGCTCTCTGCCCCCTACAGAAAACCCCTAAAGGTCTCGACCCCTCTTAAGCCCCTCCACCCCGGGGAGCCTTCCCCTGCAGACTCCACGCTTCTGCGCGGCCTTTTGACCCCATTTCGCATGAAATCTGCAGAGCGACCGCCCCAAGGACCAGCGAGCGCTAATCAGATCCGTCTGTGTCTGCAGAGCTTCACCTGAGGCCTGGGTCCCCGAGGGCGGATGAGCGGGCCGGCTCTCGGGCCCGGGCTGGGGGACCCGCAGTCCGCGGTCGGCGGGGATGGGGAGGGGTGGCCGCCTGCCGCGCGGCTCCCGCGGGCCGTCGCCAGGTGCACGGTCCCCCTGGTCCCCCGCAGGGAGGACGCCCCCTGGTGCCCCCGCCGCCGCCGGGCCTGGGAGCTCCAGAGCGGGCGGGAGGCGGGGTCGGCGGGGCTGGATCTTGACGCCAGTCCAAGGCCGGGTGACTACTGGGGTCTGCCCGCGCCGCGGACGCGCCGAGCCCTCTCAGTGTGGCGCTGCCCGGCGGCGAGGGGGGTGTGGAACGAAGCACGGTCAAGACAGAAAACAAAGTCAGCAGGTCACCTGGCAGGTTCTGGGCGAATTATGCAACGAAAGCAGGGGAATGTTTGATGCGTCCCACTCCACACCCCCCCAACCTTTTTTTTTTTTTTTTAAGCTCCTAGGAAGCCGGTTCCAGTTTAAGGGTTGGGTAGGGATCGACCAAGCAGCTCCTCTGATGTGGTTACGACTTTGCCGAACTCCTCAAGGGCGAGCTTCCCTCCCCATCTTTCTTTCAGTAATAGGAACATTACTCTGGAGAAAAAAAAAAAAAAAAAACATGAATGGGGTGAAATGGTAGGCTTGATCCAAAAGCAACGCCGAGAATCACCCTACGACTTCCGTCAGGTACTGAACTGAATATTAGGCAAAAATAGTAAATGCCGAAACCTAAATCACACACATCCAATTTTTTTTATTTTTTTTTTAATCTCCCCGGGTCTCAGGACTAAGCTTTCAAACAGAATTTAAAGAGTTAACGCTGGCCATAGCTCTTTGTTTTCCATGCTAACATTTGTGGCATTAGGACTATTTTGTTAACTAGGTATATGCAATTCACAGAATTTCACGGTAAATTCCCCAGACCAAATATTTGGCTGAACAAATAAACAACATTATCCATTCCTGAAAATAAGCCAGTAGGAGCGGGGAGGATGGAGGAAGGGGCTGGTTGCTAGAACTGGACAGCCACAGGGCTCAGTACTGGCCCTAGGATAATTTGTTCAAGTACTGGAGATCTACTGGTTCCTTTTCAATGACATCGACGTTTCAGAAAGTTGCTAGAAATTGGGCAAAACAAAATGAGGCTGCCTGAGGGCAATCTATAAGGGGCTTCCCTAAATGATTTATTTGAGCTCCATACCATTAATCAAAGGGGCAGCGACCTGGGGGGTTGGAGGGGTGGGGGAAGGATCCCTTTTTGCGGGGAGTTTTGGAGGAACTGTGTAGTCTTGCTGCCTTTGCCTGGGGCTCTGATGTCTTCTCTCCACCTGCGCTCTCCGGGGAGCTGGGGTTTTGGCAACCACCCCGCTTCAATTTTTATTGGTTTCCACTAAGCTGCTCCTTTTGGAGGAGTGTAGGACTTCAGTAATTAAAAACAAAAATGAATCCTGCTTCACCCACTCCACTCCCAGGAGCGTATGTAAGAAAGTGTGTACAAGAATGCAAGGGTGCACACCCCACCTAGAAAAATGCAAACGCCAGGAGTGTGCACCACACACATTCTTTGGGTGCACACACCACCAGCAACAGCAATACTACCGCTCATATCTACACCTTCATGATGGAGAAATGCGCTATCAGCCTTCCCCACAGAGAACATACAAAGACACTAAATGTTTCTGCTCCAAAGGGATCCAAAGGGATCTTGGTCTGTGCTGGCTCACTTCATATGTGTGAATTTTCTCAGCACACATATGAAATGAGCCAGCACAGACCAAGATTCAAGGCTTAATTTAGTTGTTGGTGGCAAGTAAGAAAAAGCAAAGGCCTCTCCTCTGCTCCTCTTAATCCCTACACCCGTCATTCCAGAAAGGCATTTATCTGCCTGCTGGGAGCCCTTAACTGAGGGTACATTAGCATCCTCCTTTTTATTAACTTTGTCCAAAAATTGAGCTTTTCCCTTTAAGAAACCCTAGCACAGAACATCAGATCTACCTCTTTCTGCCCAAGTCCAGGGAAGAGGGTGTGAGGGAGGCAGTACAGAGCGAAAAGGAGAGTTGACATTTGACTCGAGATTTCTGTATAATAGTGGGACACCTTCACAGTGCCTGCTTAGAAATTCTGACCCTTTAGTATCTGACCCCATTGTCAACCCCCACCCAGCCCAATCTGTTGGGATCCTAAACTTGATGAAGGCCTTCACATTGGGAAAAGAGGACAAGGGAAAAAGTCAAGAAACAATGGGAAATTCTATCAAGTGGCATATTAAAACAGTAGTCATCAAACTTTTTGAAGGTAGGGTACATTATTTGTTACAAAAAAAAAAAAAAAAGACAAAATAGCAGTGCATGCCTGTAATCCCAAAGAGGCCGAAATGAGAAGATTGCTTGAGCCCAGGAGTTCAAGACCAGCCTGGGGCAACAAAGAGAGAACTTGTTTCAAAAAAAAAAAAAGACAAAAGAAAAAACAAAAGAGTCCTACCTGGAGAAAAAAAAAATAAGTTTAAAAACATGCCTTCACACACACATTATGATGTTAGTGTACAAATTAGTTTTGATTTGGAAATATCACATTGGTACCTGTAATAACTGGAGATACCCTGAGGTATCATGAAAGCAGAGGTGGGTATCATTTTTCTAGGGTTGAGACCTCATCACGCTCAGCTGTGATACACCTCAACAGGTGAGTGAAACAGAAGATGTACAAGGGGCCTGAAATGAAGTCTTTAATCTGACCTACACTCCTTTCATCCCAGTGTTTCTCCAAGGCATGTGTCATCCAGATGGGAGAGGATACTGCATCCTTGTTAACATTAAATAGAAATAGAAAACAATTCATGCTGGCAATTACCATCTCTCTCTGCCAACAGTTTACTTCCTGTCCCTACAACTTAACCACCTCCAGGTACCACCTTTTGACTTCCATCCAGCCTCCAACTCACCTGAACAGAAAAAAGCCTCATTCAAAAGAGATGAGCCCGAAGGAAAAGAGAAAGGATTAAGGAGAAAAAAAAAATCATGATTTACCTTTAAAATAATGACTCATTTTATTTTTTTCTTTTAATACGTAGTTATAAATATATTTTGTCAAAATATATGATCAATATGGTCAAAACATTTGCACGTAAAGTCATAAATAAGGTCAAGGTGAATGTTTAGGGATTTTTTCCTTTTTTTTTTTTTTTTTTAAATAAAAGTCCAGCTATAAGGAAGCAGTCTGTGTAGTGTGTGGGTGAGTGGATGGGAACGTGTGTGTGTGGTGTATGTGGTGTGTGTGTGTGGTGTGTATATCTGTCTATCCTCAAGGACTGCCTGATCTCAGCGGCACCCACATCCCTCTACTACCATCTCCTGATAATTTTTCAGTACCACCTTATCATACTCATCCAGGTACAGCATGGAGATGGCACTCAGTTCAGTGGGCACACAACAGGCTTTGGGGATACTGGAATTGACAGAATTGACCAGGGTCTGCACAATGGCATGGTTGGTTGAGTTGAGGTGGTCAGCCAGTGGAAAGGGGCAGTCCCCATGGCAGTAGAAGGCCTGGTAGCCTGGTGGGGCCACAATCCAGTCATTCCAGCCCACATCGCTGAAGTCCACATAGAGCGAGTGGCGCCGGCAGTTCTTATTCTTCTTCCTGGCCCGCTGTGAGTGATGCTTAGGGCTACGCTTGGCCCTCCGGCGTCGGGTCAAGGCATGGCCCCGGCCATCATGGCCAAAGGTGACCAGGAGGGGCCGGAGCTGGGCCCAATTCCCACTCCCTTGAGGTAACGATCGGCTAATCCTGACATGCTGGCCCTGGTGGGTCCGAGTCTGATGGAGGTGAGTCACCTCAATGGCTAGCCCATAGTTTGGCTGCTTCTCCCGGGTCCAGCGAAGGACCGCAGGGCTCACATCAAAAGTTTCCCACCGTGTCACATTGTGGTGGACCAGTCTCGTGTCCAGTAGTCGTGTGATGAGGTGCCCAGGCACCACTTCTGCTGGGGGCTTCATAACCTCATAAATGTTTATACGGTGGAAGCCCCTTTCCCAATCAGGGCCCTGGTCCACCTGCTCCCGGAAGAGCCGAAGCTCTGCAGAGGAGATCACCTCGTTCTCAGGGATGCTGCTGAGGTTAAAGAGGAAACGAAAAGCAGAGTTTTCACTGGTCCCTGGGATGTTCTCCAGATGTTCTAGGCACAGTTAGGAAGGAAGGGGAAAAGAAAAAGCATATGAACTTTTTTCAAAGATGGAAGAGTCAAGAGATAGCTCAGGGTTGGGCAATGAATGGTGAATTCTGCTTATGCAGGGGAAACCTACTGGGGGAAAATAAGCATACCCCTTAATTTGAAGGAGCAGATAAGTGGGGCAGCTAACAAACCAGCAAAATGTAGCTAGCATTTCTCAAGCACCAAAGACAGAAACTATATCCAGCCTCCTTGATATGTCTAATAATTTCTATGTGTCAACTCCTCTATGGCACCACAATCAGACTCCTCTTTTAAACCCCCCACCTTGGCTTTGTGTCCACAGTTTTCTTTACAAGTGGTTGTAAAGAAAAAGAGGGGCCAACAGAGCACAGGCAGGAGGAAACATGCAGACAACCACCCTCTCCCTCTTCCACTATTGAGTATGTTACTAAACATTTCCCCAGCGATCTTGGAAACACAGAGCATGCCTTGTTGATCATGTTACAGAGGGGAAAATAAATTCCAACACAGTAATGATGCTGGTGGATTAATAACTCAGATTTACTTTGGAAAAGAAACATCCGCTAGGAAACATTCAGATCGGATTACAAGGCCCCTATTGAATAAACCCGACAAACACACAGCTGTAATATTAAATTCAGTAGGTGCTTTGAAAAAAACGGGCAGAAAACCTAGCAGAAAAGGCTTTGATATAGCAAAAACACACCGCTGGGGCTAGCCCACGTCTGAGTGCTGTCATTCCCCTTCCCCTGAACACCTCCCCCTCTGTCTCCAAAAAATAAGTTCGGCGGCAGCTCTGCAAATTCTTGGAGGTAAGCAGCTCTGTTCCTCAGCCTCCTGGACTGGGGCTTTGATGTAACCCGAACTCTTCTTCCCCAGGGCTTTCACTGCCCCTCTAGCCAGTCCCACCAGCCCTCCCCCACGCAGACTGGGGGAAGAGACTGACCTTCGTGGTGGAAGCTCCTCACGGTGTTGGCCCGGCTGGCCGGGCGCTCAGGATACTCAAGACCAGTGCTGTGGATCTGCTCTTCCTCCTCCTCCCCAGACTGAAGCCGGTAAAGATCCCGCATGTAGTCCGGAATGACGGCACTCTTGCTAGGCTGCGGGCGGCGGCGCAGCCCAAACATCTGCAGAAGTGTCGCCTCGAAGTCCCGCAGGAGCTCATGGCTCTGCCCTGAGCGGCGTCCTCCCGCGTGGCCCTGAATCTCGGCGACTTTTTTCTTCCCCGTCTCAGGTATCAAACTAGCATGGCTCGCGCCTCCTAGCAGGACTTGGCATAATAAAACGACCATCAGCATTCGGTTACCAGGAATCATGGTGTCTCTGGGGAGGGGGAGGGGAGTGGAAGGTTAAAGAATAAATAAACACCAATAAATAGGGAGAAATAGAGATGTGTCTGCATATGCATTTAGGGCTAGAAATGGAGGGGCAAGATGGAAAGCAGGTCAGAAAGATCAAGTTTGTGTCTTCTCCCTCACACCACCCGCCCACCCACCAGCTGCAGCCATGCACGGCCTGAAAGTAAGAATTGCCCTGTAATTACTTGGTCTAACTTGTTTACAGTCAAATAACCCCAAATCAGATAGCCTCCATCCTGTTAATCTTTTTTTGTCCTAACTGCTATCTGGGCCATGATCTCAGCGTGGCTTCTTGAAGGATAAACAGTTAACATTGAGGGGGTGAAAAGGGGTGGGGGAGGGAGAATTAAAATGGCATTGCTCTCCACTTTAGACCTTCAGCTTCTCTCCCTTTTCCTCCACCCTCAGAGCCCAACTTTCACAACTTCCAGTTGGTTCAGAGCCAGAGGGAGGGAAAGTGAGAGGCAGGGGCTGGGCGAAGACAGAGGGCGACAGGGTCCAGAAGCCGAGAAGGTGGTCTGGGAGCTAACCGGGTGGCTTGAGGGCTTATTTTATTGTGGCCGATGAGTTTGAAATATTCAGCCAAAAGTGCCTGATCGTGCCCGCTCATCCCCAGGGAAGGGGTGAGAGACGATTCCGGAGAGACCTCTGTGAGTTTTGACAAGAGAGTGGGAACGCGCCACGGAGACACTGGGGGCTCTCCCAGACAAGTTGGATAGGGGAAGGGAGTGGTTAGCCCTCAAGGTACAACCCCGGGCTTTCATCTCTTTAGCTCCCTCGCGCTCCCCTTTCTTGCAACGCTGAGAGGGCGAGTGCGCGCTAGCAGCACTTTAAAAGGAACCCGTACGCTTCCAGCGCCCCGGCTGCCGGGCCAAGAAGGGAGCGACAGTGCTGCCAGGGAGCAGAGTGTGGATATTGTAAAGGAGGTCCGACGGAAGGGACAGCCGGCGAGCAGGGGTGGTGAGGGCAGAGTGAATTCCGGGGAGGGGGAAGGAAGAGGTGTCTACTCACTGACAGAAAACAAGGCATATAATAACAGTCCATGATTCTTGACAGCCAATCTTGAACAAACTTGCTGGAAAGGCTCAGGGAAGCTGCAGCAGTGCGTTGCTCGGGATGGCACTACGGAATGGCTCCTAAAAGGAATATTTGAATATAATGAGACTCCACCGCAGACAGGCTCTGTTTTTCTTCCAGCCCCTCGGAGTCACGTGAGCGCCGAGGCCCCTCCCGCGGCAGGCGGCGAAAGGGCTTGCGCGCCCTCCCCTCCTCCACAGCCCCCCGCCCCTCGCGGGCCCGCCCCTCCAGGCGAGGCCAACCTCCGCGCCCGCCGCCCGAGCCTCAGCGGTCCGGGAGGAGCTCCCGGCGGCGCTCGGCAGAGCCCTCGGCCGGTGCCCCGCGGCCGCCGCGCTCCCAGGGCTACTGGCGCAGCGCACGGAGAACCCGGTTCTCGGCGCGGTGCGTCGTGCTGGGCCCCCGCGCCGGGCCACCTGAAGCCAGAGGATTTGGGGCGCACTGAAGGGACTGCGTCTCCCAGCTCGAACCCGGCTTAAGTGGGGCCGGGAGCGAGGTCGGGAAAGTCTCACCCGCCCAAAGCCTCACCACCGAGAGGCACTTAAAAAGGAAAGCGCAGAGGGACCCTGCCCACGCGCGTGTACACACACACCCCCCCACACACACACAAGCAAACACGAGCTCCCCGCCACTTCCTCCCCAGGGTCTCCTCAAGGCCAAATATTGCTCCCAATGACAGCCAGTCACCCCTTGGCGAACGCCTGCTAAGGCTCCGAAGAGCCGGGCCACCGATCTAGCTCCCGGCTGAAAGCAGCCGACCTTGTCACGCGCGGGGCCGGGAATGGGAGGGAGGGTGTTAGAGGGTGATCGCTGTGGGAAAGTGAGAGGGAGCGGCTGTTAGTCATTGCTCCGGGTCCATTACCGAGAATCCCCAAACCTAGTCCGCCGCTGCGTGGCCCCTCTCCCCATGCAAAGCAGACCCCCGAAGAAGCCATGCCAGGCTGAGGGACAGACGCCGGGGCTCGAAGCTCCGGGCAGATTCAGAAAGAGGCGTCGCTGCAGAAAGGACGCATCACAGTTTTCAGATCTTAATGTGGCCGAGGTTTTACAACTCCCGACCCGGCGCAGAAAGGAAATCCCACCATGTTCCCCGGAGTCGAGAAAACGGTGAACAGCTTTCGGCCTGCGCTCGACCTCTGCGTCTGCGTCTCTCTCGCCTCGGCTTCCCTTATTTTTTAAACCACCACCACACTCCTTCCCCCGCCACTTCCTTCCCCCACCCCCTTCCTCCGTTGCACCAGCAGCAGAGTCGCACGCAGCAAATACTCCTTCAAGAATTTTACCTACCTACAGTTCAAGCAGTTACTGGGATGTCCTGACTAATCGAAGATGCTGCCGCGCGCGTGGGTCGCTCTGCGCAAGGGCCTCTTCGAAAACCCGACTAGGCGCAACTCAGCGTTCAGCAGGGCCGGGAGCGCCAGGTCGTCCCCGGGGCCCGGGCCCCATGACTCCTGCCCCAAAGCCCACTCCACCCGACCTCCCTTTCCTGAGGCTGTTCCCAGTTGCTGCTTTGGGTCGCTCCGGAGCTCAAGAACTCGGGTTGCCTGCCGCCCCACTCTCCACGCACATACTTGGTTTTCTTCTTAGGGGCATTGGCAGGTAGACTTTGAGGAAGAAAAGTAAAGGATCGAACAGCTCAGCCCTCCCTCCCGACCGTGGATGCCCGGAGTCGACCAACACCTCAGGTCCGGGTGCGGAGGCCGCGGGCGCCCCTGCGCGACCGTCCGCGCCCGGCAAGAGCCGCGCGGCTTTCGCCTTTGCTGGTCCCGCGCCACCGCTGGGGCGGGCTGCGAAAGGGTTGGGAAGAGCAAAGGGTTTTTTTGTTTTGTTTTGAGACGCAGAAGCCCTTTAAAAAGCCCGGCGAGGAGAGGTCCAGAAGTAGAGAAAGCAGACGGAGGCAAGCTGTGCCCGCGGGGCAAAGGGACAGTAGAAGGGGCGGGCGCCCGGGTTCCCCGGAAAACCCTCGGCCCCAAGGAATCTCCTGGGGCGGGAGAGCGCGGTTCTAAAACCGAGAGGATAGGAAGGGGAAGGGGGAGTTGTGTTTCAATTTCGGATTCACCAGGATTCATCTCTAGTCACATTTTTCTTCTCAAATTTTTAAATCGAAAAGATAAAAGCCAAAAGAACTTTCATCCCCAGAGCTTTTTATTGGGGGAAAGGAATGTAACTCGGGGTGGTTGTCCTTCACTTCCCTACTCGAATCTTCTCCTAATGCCGAAATGTGTTTACAGGTAGCCTCAGTTTACCAAGTATGTATCTTTTGGGGGTTTAACCTCTCACAAAGCCTTCAACTCACAAACCGCGATCCTTGGAAACCATCCTCCAAAGCAGTGCTTGGAGGCCTCTAAGGCCCCCGGACCAACTCCCGCTGGAAGAAGCCTGCAGGGACTCGGGAATCACGGGAACCTTTCCCGTCGGTTCCGGGCCTGGAGGGCCAGGAAGAGCCGCGCGTCCGCCTTTCGTCCCGCCAGGAACTCCCCATAGGACACGACACCGCAGGAACAAGCGTCCTGGGAGCCCCTGGGATCTTGGCTGTCGTCTCTAGGGACCCTACACCGTGAAATGATAGAGGCGAGGTTCCTTGGGTTCCGCAAGTCGACGAAAATAGCTCGTGGAGAAGGCGCGTCCTGCAACTGCAGTTCGCAAGCTCTCAGGGCGCCCCGCCAGCTGGGGGCCAGATTGGGTGACACTCCCCTCGACGCAGCCTCCGGAGCGGCGCGCACTCTCCAGAGGCCAGCAGGACTGCGCTCTCTACCGCAGAACCTGCTCCAGCTAGGTGTTCTCTCCCCATCTCGCCGTCGCTCTGCCCCCTCACTCTCTCTGGACCTCAGAGCCGGTTCTCTCCTTCCTCCTCCCGCGCTTTCCGTCCGGGGATCGCAACCTCCAGCCCGTGGGCAACGCGTTCAGCCCAAGACCCCACAGTTTTTCCCAACGACCCCCCTACCAAGGGCTTCTCTTGTTTCTGCTCTCCTGCCCCGCACTTCCCAAAGGTGAGAATCTCCCAGGGACTGCTGGACAGAGAAGGCCTGGGCAGGGGCAGTAGCCGATATTTAAAGGTCTTTCAGCGCCAGCATCCCCACCTCCAGCACCACTATTGGAAAATAATTAGGCCACCTTTTGCCTCGGTCACAGCCTGTGACCAGCTTCTTCCCCCCAAGGAGGCTCCTAGACCCCCTCTGCCTGTCTCCCCTCACCAGGTAGCCTTGCTCACCATAGGTCCCTGCAGTAGCGGGCTCGCCAGCAGCAGCTCCTGGGGACCTCTGAACGGTTGCAGTGAACCTGGGCGAGGGCCGGGGACTGTGGCGCTGCAGGCTCGAGATAGCTTGGACGGGAATCCCATCGGGGAGACAAGCTAGATACTCAGCCGGAGCAGCAGCGGCGTCTCAGGCTCGCGTCCCTCAGCTCGGATGCCACACTCACCTAGCTTCCGGGCCGGGCTCCGCGCTCCTTCCCTCCCTCCCTCCTCCTCTGCCTTCTCGCATCTTCCTTCCTCCTCTTTCCCTCCCTCGCTTTCTTTCTTTCCTTCCTCCTCCTCTTCCCCGGCGGCCCCTCCCTCCTTCCCTCCTCCCTCGCTCGCCTCCCTTTCTGGGGATGGGAGCCCCGCCCACATCCTCCCCTCCAGCCGCCCGACCTCGCCTAGCAGGCCCGGGTCCCGGAAGCCCAGGCAGCGCCCGAGTCCGCAGCTGCCGTCGGAGCTGGGACGCCGCTGCCTCCAGCTCTGGGAAGCGGCTGGGGCTCACCTGGGGACCACGTGCGGAGGTACTAGAAAGCATGCACCGACTAGTCGCCGTACCTTCCAAAAATACCCATGGGAGTCTGGGCTTCCCTGAGTTTAGTGTAACTGCTGCCCAAACTGATGATTAAAACACTGAGTAATCACCATTTACCCTGAGTAATTAGAGATAATGAAACACCTCTAAAATCAGGTTATGGAGAAAGGAGCTGTTGGATCGGTTTAAAAGGTGGCCTTCCATAAACTGTTAAAAGATTTCCAAACGTTGAGAAACAGGCTGTGTGCAGAACTGTGTGCCAGAGAGAGATACCTCTTGGGCTGTTAAAAGGTGAATTTCCTTCCAAAACATTCTTAAAGTGCGTTTTGTAGAACACCTTGGTGATGACCCTGAGGTAGACCCCAGTAAATGAGCTCACTTCCCTCCTCCCCCCAAGGCCTAAAGACAGAGGTGGCCTGCAGACAGGCTGGGGCCACGTTTTTTACAGTTAGAAAAATCTGTTTCTAGCTCAGAAGCCGTCTTAAGAACCGACACAGCAGTTATTTTTGTTGGTGTTATGGTTGTTGTTGATTTTTTTGTTCATTTTTGGTGTACCTAAGAGTCCTGACACTCTGTCTTTCCAAGGAGATAACCACAGAAGCAGTAACCTTTTAGGCCACAGGGAGACAAGAAAAGATGCCCCTTGGTCTGTTTTTAAAGGAAGAGGGGAGATGAGGAATTGGCCCTTTCATATAAAAACATTTTAGTAATCATATTAGCAGGGAGGTGGAATGTGGTGGCTTTTAAACCTTCCCAAACAGGAACTAATTTCACACACTGCCTCTGATGGAGCTGTGAGGGAGCTATCAGCCTCATCTCTCTGTTTTACAAACAAGGAAAGGCAGGACTACCAGGTTAAAGGGACTTGCCCAGATCTCTGAAGTAAATCACAGCCTCTGCTCCAGAGCTAATGCTTCAGGGAGGGGTTGAGGCTCATAGCCTGAGCTCCAGGTAGCCAGAGGAGTGCTGGAAGACTGAGCATTTCCTGTCCTGGATTTCTTTCCCTGGGACAGACATGACACTTTACTGTCTCTGCAAAGCATTTAGGTCTTTACTTAAACAGATATTGGCCCTGGGTGGCTCATCTATAAAAACTTTACGTTTATACACCTTCGATATTTAAAAAACAAGAACTACTTCCTGTGTGGAACACAGATTACAAAGGGTGGGAAATATCTGAGATCAGAGAAGCAACTGTCAGAGCAAGGCCAAGACATCCTGCCATCTTTTCCATCTATTAGGCCTAGGTCTTTTGGCCTAATGCACCAAACAACAGAAACAAGCTGTATGGCTTTGGGCAAGTCTTTTCATTCCTATGAGTCTCAGTTTTCTCATCTGCAGAATGAAAGGATTGGGCCAGATCATCTGCATGCTCCCTTTATATTTGAAAATGATTTGATTATTTAATTGTAATTTTAGCCAAAGTCCGTCTTCCTTCATTTTAAGTCACTCCTGAGTTCACTTTCTCTAAGAACCACTGATTAAAACAGGGCAGGGCAATAACACCACCCCAAAAGGAGGACAAAATATACCTGTAGCTTCCAAATAGTCAAAATCACAATTAATTATTAAAAATAATAACAGAAAATTAAAACTCCATTAAATAGTTACCTAATGTTTCTCCTGCAGCATCAGGCATTGTGCTCCTTTAGCATGGTACCTGAAGTCAGGACAGATTAAATGCTCACTGAGCCCCTAAATCAATCACTGTTGTTTTAATCATTAACGAAATGTGGTTCTTAATATTTAAACTCAGAAACAACAGTGATATGCTGGACTTAAAGGCAGGACTTTATTTTACTTTAAAGCACCAATGTCATTTCGGGGTTTTTTTAATTCCAAAGGTTTTTGAATGACAGCTATTGTCTCATTTTGCTGCAGCCCAGACACTAAAGTGGCCACTGATTGGCCCATCCATGAGTCTGTGACACTCACAGTCCAGGAGTTTCCAATTAAGCTACCCGACATACCATGTTTAGACCCCTGATATGAATCTTCAGATATATGACGAGAGAACTCAGCTTTAGTTCTCTTGGGACAGCTTTATTTCTCTCCCCACATTTTAGATGGGCGCAAGCCATCTGTTATCAGCTGCTTTTACCCACTCCTCCTTTTCCCCCCTTACTCATGCCAAAGAACAAATTACTTGTTGGTTAGAGAGCTAAATCAACCACAGCCTAGTGATCAGAGTTCGTGAGAAGAATCAGTTTAGTTATTTTCTGTATCTCAAACTTACCTGTGAATTTTCATGTTTTTATAGAACATGGTAGATAGACCAAATGAAACTGTACCCTTAAAGCACATTGATGAAGAGGGGAAACCCACCATAATTCAGGAGCAACTATTGCTCCTATGCTGCTACTACTCAATGAAAGGCATTCCTTTGTTGGGTTTTTCCTGGAGAACATCAAGAAAGAGTAGCTGGTCAATAGCCTGTCTGCGAGCCCTTGGGACAGCCTTTTTCAAAGCATGTTCTCAGGACTATAAGCCTCAGAGTAGGGTGGGGGTGCAGATGAAATGCAGACTTCCTGGTCCTGCCCCAGATCTGGACCCAGAAATCTGTATATTTCACAAGGTTCTCTGGTCATTCTGAGCACACTAAAGCTTGAGAGCTACTGTTTTAAAAGTTATTTTGTTTCCATTTTCTATGCTGATAAGTACCATTAAAAGGCTGATACCAAGACATCATTAAACAGGCAAAGAATATGCTGGGCTTGAACTTTATAAACTGTTAAATATGGCAATTATAGTATCACTATGCCCTGAACACACCAAATAGGTCTATGCAAGTGAAAAGATAATCCTATAGATACAGTAGCCCTTAATTCCCCATCCCCAATTAAGAACCACATCAGGTCTTCAAACCTTCTTGGCCAATTAGGTGTCTGGTGAAGCTACGGAAGGAATTCCCAGAATCACTGCTAAGTTTTGAGAAGCAGTAAGATAGATCAATTGGAATTGGAATTCGAATTCGAATTGGAATTGGAAGTGGTCTCTGAAATTGGCTAGAAATTTAGTTTTCCTCTTATTAATATTTATCATATCTTATATATTTGCCCTATATATCTCTAGCCCTTACAACAACCCTTATAAAATCCCTGTCCTACAGATGAGAATCTGAAGTTTAGAGACGTTATGTAAGTTGCTCAAGGTCACAAAGCTAGAAAGTGGTGGACCCCAAGTCCAAACCATGTCAGTCTGTCTCCTCTCCCTGGGCAAGTGAGGGGTATTGTGGATGGATCCCCGAGGCTTATCCTGGAAGCTTTCCCCAGGCCAAGGCACCAGCTGCTGCTCCATCCTGGCAGCATGCTATTACCAGGAATTTCAGGATATCTTCCCAAGTTCTTAGATAACAAAACAAAATCAAGACCTAGAAGTTTGTTTCTTCCTGACGTTACTATATAAGCCCGCCTTAGGGCAAGACTTTTATGTGACCTTTCCTGAGAAAAAGGTTATGATCTTGAGAAAGGAGCTCATTATCTCTGCTGGGTCCAAGTTTCCTCATTGTAAAATGTGGAGCTTGAACAGGGTCCTCACAGGTCTTTCTCAGGCTCTGGAATACAGAGACAATATATCCTGGTAGTTAAAATCACAGTCAAATTGCTTAATCTCCAATGTCCACTCATTATGCTTTGTCTATATAGATCTGACCCATGAACATAGCTGTGCCAAGATAACTACTCACTGTCAAAATCATACCTACTCTGAGCAATTAGTTTTTACTAATAGGCTGAGACTGAATGACATGTCCAAAAAGCATTCTCCGTCTGTTTTGCGGATTCCTAACACCTCTAACTTTTAAGAATTTTTTTTCCTGTCCCTCAAGCTAAAACATAAACTCATTTTCTTTATTCTGATCTAAAGATGAACTTTTAACCCAATTGCACAAGTTGTTCCTTCTCTAAACATTTAATATTGTTGCCAACCTTTGATATGCCTCACTCAAAGTAAATAATACTGGATGCTGATATTTTCTCATGACAAAAAGAAAATCCAATGCTATTTCAGTTCCCTATGTTTTAAATTGCTGCCTTGATACTTTCTGGAATATGGTCCTTTCTATAAAAACCCTTCAATATTAACATCCAAGCCAGGTGCGGTGGCTCACACCTGTAATCCCAGCACTTTGGGAGGCCAAGGCAGGTGGATACCGAGGTCAGGAGATCGAGACCATCCTGGCTAACATGGTGAAAACCCATCTTAACTAAAAATATAAAAAATTAGCCAGGCATGGTGGCGGGCGCCTGTAGTCCCAGCTACTCGGAAGGCTGAGGCAGGAGAATGGCGTGAACCCAGGAGGCGGAGCTTGCAGTGAGCTGAGATCACGCCACTGCACTCCAGCCTGGGCGACAGAGTGAGACTCTGTCTCAAAAACAACAACAAAAACAACAACAAACAAACAAAAATCCAAAATGGACAGAGACTTCTAAATGAACCCCCAGTGATATCAGACAGATGAAAAGACTGTTTTTATGTCATAACATGTTTAACGTGGATGGCAGACAGGGCATGGATATGAAAAGTCTTTTCTAAGGAATGATCAGGATGGGATTGGCATGCAATGACAGATATTTGGGTTTTGACTATTCTCAGCTTCCTCTCCTAAAAAAATAGTCGACTGCACTCATTTAATTCTACAACAGGGATGCTCTTTGAAAATAAATTATTTTAGAGGATATAAAAAAGATTAAACCTTGAAATTTCTTTGTTTTGTGCTCATACATCCTTCTCCTTCTCTTTTTCTGACCCCAGTGTGTGGGAACAGTGTAACCTGAACAAGAACGTAGTGTCTATAGGATGAGTGACACTTGGAAGCAGAGGCAGAGTGCTACATGGACACCTGACTGTACCAAATGGTTATTGTGTTTTCTCAATCAGACGCCAATTGCGGAATACCAGCTGATATTCTACCCTCAACTCATGCTAAAAGCTTTCTAGTCTTTCTCAAGGAAACCTGTCCAAAGGGATATGTGATCCCAGGAATTATTATTGTATAAGTAATACTTGGATGTTTTTACTAATAGTTCACACATTTCACAGCCCTTTGGTGGAGAGCCTTTTTCGTTAATGTTCTGTTCAAGAATAATTGCATAGTATTTATAATCCTCTCAGGGATTAAGTATAGATGTAATACACAACTCAAAGATGCTTGTTGATGTTCACTTTGTAAAAATTCATCAAGTTGTATACTTGATATTTGTGCACTTTCTGTGTTACATATTTTTTAATTAAATACTTATAGAAACTATGCTTTTGAAATGATTTTTTTAAAGTTATTTTCTTTGACCATTAGTTGAAGCCTACTAGCAACACACAATGTTTGGAGCCAAATGGTTAGGCAGGGCAAAACCAGGGGGAGCCTAATCTTTGGTCCTCTGGTGGCCACAGCACCTGAGAAACTGAACTGTGGCTTCAGGAAATCCACTCTGGGGCCACAGAAGAAAGAACAGTTGTACCAACCAAGGCCTGGCCTCTGGGGACCAGTACAGCCCATAGCAGAAGGCAAGATGTCTGACACAATCCTGGCACGTTCCTTAAACTCATGGGAGGGCTGGTAACCACTGGACCAGAACAGAAGCTCCTGGAGGCATCTGAGACTTGTGCTCAGCTCTTTCCTTCCTTGGCTTCTCTTGCTAAGAAGCTCAGACTGGCACTGCAAACCATCAATCTCTGGGGCGAAATGGCAAGGTCATCAGATATGCATTTCTTAGGATAGAAATGCAGGAAGGTAAAACTTCATCCAAAACAGATAACAGTTTAAGAGAAAGATATGGGCTCCACCCCCAAATTCTGGGAGCCCTGGGCTTAGGAGATGGGCTGGGGAAAGGATTGTGATAGAGAAAATGGGACTCCCAAGTGACTGTCTTGGTCCCTCACCACAGCTGAATCCCAGCCTTGATGCAGAGAGATGGAGCTAAGTGCATGTGGCCGGACTTTGGCCCTTTTCAGAATCTTGCAACCACAGGGCCAGGCTCAGAGATTGTGCAAACTCAGTTTCAAGGAGTCAGAGAAATCAAGACAGGTGTTGAGAGCCTGGGCTGCAAGTAAAGTATGAGGTGAAGGGTTGAAGGAGGGAGTCCTGCTCTTGAGGAGCAGCCCAGATGGACACTCCGCTCACCTCCTCCAGGCAGAAGAAGAACAAGGTGTGCACGCGGGGAAGTTCGGAGTCCCTCCTTGTCTTTCTAGACTGCAGCTGCGACAACATGCTGGGGACACGAGGCTCACCAGCCCCAGTACCTCCCCACCCCTCCTCGAGCCAGCTAAGCAGGACAACTTTCCAGCTCCTTATCCGCATTCCCTCCCTGATCAGGGGCAGACTGTACTTCCCCGATGTCCGCTAACTAACGTAAAGAAACGTCCGCGTGCTCCGCTGATACCCCAGGGCCACCGGAGGAGAGCAGTGGGGTGTGAGAACTAGGCTGTGTCCAGTGGCTGGTGGTGGGGGGAGCGGCTACTGCGCCTTCCCCTTGGGCACTCCTCTCGGGTCCCTGAGGCGACGCCCTAGTAAGCCTCCACGCACGTCAGCGAAGGGTGGGTGGAGGGTCACCCTGACCGCGCCCCACAGCTGGCTCCCGCGCTCTGCCCACCGCCACGCCACCTTCACCGCGCGATCTCGGCACTCCCGCCTTTCTCTTGCCCTCGTTATTTTTAGTTCGGCTGCTGCACCTCCCTGCCTGCAACAGCTCGCCCCACTCTCAGACTCGTTTTGCAGGATTTGTGCCCCTGGTGGCTAACCTGATCCACACTTGAATAAACAGCGAGCGCCCGGGCAACCTGGGCGAGCCACCCGCGCGGAATTTGCATCCATCCGCACGAGAGGTTCCTGAGACGCTAAGCGTTCTCGCCTACCAGAACTTGGAAACAATGGACCATCCCCAGAATGAATGAATGAAATTTTTAAAACGAAAGGGACAGGAGGTCTTAACGCCCTGGCAGCGGCAGAGCGGCTCCTGGGACAATTTTGTCCCTGCTCCCTGACGTTCTCTCCGTGAAGCCTAAGGGGACGCCGGGGCAACAGGGTACAGGAGCCCCGATGATAGTGGCAGAAAATTAAATTTGGATAGTATTTGTTAAGCTTGCTTTCCTAGCTAGCTGCCCCCTCCACTACCATTTCCATCTTAAGACAGGCTTTCCAGGTGGCAGAGGATGGCTTTTCTGATCAGTTAGGAAAAAGAGCGTGCTCCCCCAATGTCTGAATTTCTGTGATGGGCTGTTTCCACTTGCCAAGCCCAGCGGTGGTACCTGCAAGCTTATGCGATAGTAGCAAAGTGGGATTTATAAGGCCTGGAGGAGGTGTGAGCTTGCCAGAGGCCGCTTCAGATAGTCAGTGCCTGGTGGGTTAGTGAATCATTGCAGAACAACCTCAAGGGCTCCAGCCTTCCTGCAAGCCAGTCAAACAAAAAGAAAACATAACAGAGTTTCCTTTATTCAGCATAAAGGGATGGCTGGCTAGCTGTTGAAGCTTTTCCCTCAGAATTCTGATTTTTATTCTGAAAATCTGAGTTTTGTTTCTTGTTCACCTCCAACAAGTTAGGATGTCAACTACAGATGACAGGTAAACATGCCTCCAAATGTGCTGTGGCACTCTGTCACATGCCTAGTTCTACAGCTAGAACCCAAGGAGTTTGGATGATCCAGTTTATTTCCCCAGTTTTAGACGAAATTCAGATAGAAAAAATGGGGACAAAAACCAGGTGATTAAGGGACTAAGATTCTCAAGGGGTAAATAAAAGTGATTGTTGGCTTTGCTTGTTGTATTTAAATTAAATGTTAATCTTTTTATGTTAGAGATTCTTAGGCCTGCCACTTGGCTTCATTAAGAATCCCTGGATGGATTTTAGGGGATCTGTGAAAATCCCGACATTTATGCAGATAATTTTTGATGTAAATGTGAAAGTGCTTGGGGGATGCATAACTTCATCTAGGTTTCCATGTGCTAAATCTTTTCTATTGGGATATGTCTCCAAGTTGCACTCATAAAAAACTTTGATCCAGTGGTACATAGCTTTCACACTCAACAGCAAAATGTCCTTAACTCACCACTGAGACAACAGAAACTCCACTCTGTTAAGAGCCAACAGTCACAGGGGAAAGGACCCTGGCACAATAGTGACCTGGAGTCTAAGTCCCTGCTCTGCCCCATGTTAACTGTACCCACCAGTTACCCACTGAAGACTCTTGTGACTTAACGTGAGGATCAAACACTGGAGTGTACGTGAAACCAATTTACAGATCACAAAATACATGGCTAGTGGCATTTATGAAAATAAATGCTGATGGGTTTCCACATGCTAGTGATAATTAAATGAACAATTATGTGAATAATTGTAATTACATGAATATTTGCATATTTTCTTCAACCATATACTTATAAGGAAAATCAACATACTTCGGATTCCTGACCATTGTTAGTCATATTCATGTTTCATTATCTCATTTAATTCCCCAGAAAAACTCCTTATGGTTTATATACTACAGTTATCAACACACATCGCCCCACCCCCATCACCGCCACCACCAACTTTCTTTTAGCATTTGAGGAAAGAAGTGTAGAGAGGTTAAGTAATTTGCCTAAGGCCACCCAGCTAACAAACACCAGGTTTCGACTTCAGATAAAGATCCCATTTACAAGAGGGGAATACTAGAAAAAGGGCACATTTTGTACAGATTTAGGTAAATTTAATTCCTTGTGCATTTTGTGCAAAAGTACAGGAGTTTTAAATAGAGCAGCCACACTTGAGATGGTCAGTCTTCTCATATACTCTTTGCTGGAAAACTGTCCTTAACCCATTTATTTCCCCCCTTTGATTTCCTCCACAGTTCAGGTTCACTAGCGTCTTAATAAAATTGTGTACACATAGTTCCTTATTAGTGGCATCTAGCTTCTTTAACTAATTAGGCAGCCTTAGAAGGGAAAGAGCATCTCTGTCCCCCACTTCTACAACTTTTTCCAGTAACCCTTTGAACTAAGAAGCATCATCTATGGCAGCCAATAGATGCCAAACTGAAACCACCAAATGGCTGAATATCTCAAAGTTAACTCAAAGTTAATTAGCAAGGACATATCTCTTTTGTCTATAGCACCCAGTCATGAAGCTAATGAAGACAAAACAGACACATTTCGTGGCTTCCTGAGTTATAGGGAAATTAGGAAAACTACCATGAACTCTGATCTACTTTCTTTTAAATTCTTTCTTATGCCTTCAGCACTGGCATGTGGGTTTGTTCAACAGACAGTCCTCCTATTTTGTTTCTCTTTAGCATAAAATCCTTAATAGCAAACTGTACGCTACATAGTTTGTGGATGTCCCAGAGAACAGAAAGACATCTATTCTTGATCTTTAATTATGTTTTAATTATATCTTGAGAACCAGTATCACAAAAAATGAGTTGCTGGAGGTCAAGACCCAAAAGCAAAAGCAAAACAAACAAACAAACAAACGAACAAACAAAACATTATGGATTATAGTAGGTGCGTTGCTAAAAAAAAAAAAAATTATGAATGATGGTGTGATGGTGTGCTCCTGTACAGCACTCAGATTGCTGGAATAACAGACAAAAGCATCTTCTTAGTAACATTTTGATACTTAAACAAGGAGGAATTGATGAAATGATTTGTTAAAGTGCTTTAGCCACTGCGGTGTGGTTTTGTAAAATATAAACTTGAAGTCAGGTAGCCGGGAAATTTTGCAAAAACAAAACAACCCATATTTTGAGGCTTGTCTTCTTGGGAATTCATCAGCTTTCTTTGTTGAGCTTTTCTGGTTCAGGCATCCCATATCCATCCCATTCAGAGCAGTATATAAATGACAGTGAGTATCAAGTAATAGAAAATCAGCCATGATTTATTAGGAATTCTCATGGCATTACTACATCTCCCTTTCACTCACAGGACCAGGAACTTTGGTGTCCAGAATATTAGTGATCCTTATACTCAATCCTCTCATTTGACAGATGAGACTGAGACCCACAAATATCAAGCTATAATCCACCTATTACTGGTAGAGTGTGGCAGATTGTATTTTTCAAAGCTGGCTGCAACAGTATCTTCCATTCCACATGCTCTTGAATGTGACTTCTGACACTCTTCCCACTGAGACATAGGGGTCTATCTTTTCTCTCTCCTTTTTTTTCCTTTTTGTTGTTGTTGTTGTTGTTGAGACAGAGTCTTGCTCTGTCGCCCAGGCTGGAGTGCAGTGGCACAATCTTGGCTCACTGCAACCTCCACCTCCCAGGTTCAAGCGATTCTCCTGCCTCAGCCTCCCAAGTAGCTGGGATTACAGGCACCTGCCACCACGCCTGGCTAATTTTGTATTTTTAGTAGAGATGGGGTTTCACCATGTTGGCCAGGCTGGTCTGGAACTCCTGACGTCAAGTGATCCACCTGCCTTGGTCTCCCAAAATGCTGGGATTACAGGCGTGAGCCACTGCGCCTGGCCTTGTTTTCTCCTTTTGAATCTGTGTTTCTGTAGCCTAGATGCTGTAACAAATTCCAAGTCTTAGTGGCTTAAAATATCATAAATCTGTTACAATTCTGGAGGTCAGAATTCTAAAATAGGTCTTACCTGGATAAAATCAAGATGTGAGCAGGGCTGCATCTTTTCTGGAGGCTCTAGGGTGCATCTGTTTTCTTGCCTTTTCCACTTTCTAGAGGCTGCCTGCATTCCTTGGCTCATGGCCAGCATCACTCTGCCCTCTGCTTCTGCATCACATCTCCTTCTCTGACTCTGACCCTCCGGGTTCCCGATTGTAAGGATCCTTGTGATTACATTGTGGCCACCTGGATAATCCAGGATAATCTCCCTGTCTCAAGGTCTTTAACTCAGTCAGGTCTGAAAAGTCCAGGTAAGGTAACATATTCACAGGTTTGGAGATTAGGATGTGGACATTTTAGAGGGCTAGTATTATGCCTAACACACTGGGTAAGCTTATGGCTACAGAAGAACCCATGCTATATAACATCCAAGACTATGTCATGAAAGTGACGGTGCTTCCAATTGGTTGCCTTAAATCACTCACTTTTAGAACCCAGGTGCTCTGCCATACAGGGAATGAAACAAAGGTATTGCCATCTTTGAATTTACATGCAAAAAGGGAAGACAAGTGGCAATCGAATAGAGAAACATGTAATATAACATTAGGTGGTGTTGGGCCGGGCGCGGTGGCTCACGTCTATAATCCCAGCACTTTGGGAGGCCAAGGCGGGTGGATCACGAGGTCAGAAGATAGAGACCATCCTGGCTAACACGGTGAAACCCCGTCTCTACTAAAAATACAAAAAATTAGCCGGGCGTGGCGGCAGGCGCCTGCAGTCCCAGCAACTCGGGAGGCTGAGGCAGGAGAATGGCGTGAACCCCGGAGGCGGAGCTTGCAGTGAGCGGAGATAACGCCACTGCACTCCAGCCTGGGCGACAGAGCGAGACTCCGTCTCAGATAAAAAAAAAAAAAAAAAAAAAAAAAAATTAGGTGGTGTTGGACCAATATTTCTCCTTTTATCATTTAAGAAAAGTGGAAAGAATTACAAAAGAATTACAAAAATTGCATACAGACTTCCATGGGGCCTGATTTGTATATTTACCACAAAATCTAATTTAATCAAAAGAAACAGCTTACAATCCTCATCTACAGATTGGATTTGAGTGTACTGTAACTGCACCAATAGCTTTGGGAAATCTGAGTGTTTCAGTTGTTTGGTGCTTCATAATAAACAATCCCAAAACAGAGTAGCTTAAAAATCACAATTTATTATCACCTCTCATGTTTCTCTAGATTGACTGGGCTCAGCTGGCACTTCCTGCTTGGCTGGGGTTTCTTTCGGTTGCAGTCAGATGGTGGCTGTAGCAAAAGACATGTGAAGGCTCAACTGGGCCAGATGTTCAAGATGGCTTCTTCTCTCATGTGTTTGGCCCCTCATCTGGATGACTGAAATTGCTAGGGAGAGGCCCGGTGTCTCTTCTTCTCCGTGTGGCCTCTCAATTTGGCTAGTGTGGGTTTTATCATGTCTTGGTGGTCTAATGGTAGTTGGACTTTTCATACAGTAGCTGGCATCCCCTAGAGAGAGCTTTCCAAGAACACAGGCTACTAGACTCATTATGACCTAGCCTCAGAAGCCACACAATGTTACTTCTACCACATCCTATTGTTATACAAAAACCTGCCTAGATTCAACGTAGCAGGGGTCTATGCAAAGACATGAATATCAAGAGCCAGGGTTCATTGGGGGACCTTGTTGAAGACTAGCTATCATGATGAGAGGTGTGGCTTAGGCAAAATGAAATTGCATTCTACTATGGAAATATCTAAAGTCACCCCACAGAACTCAGCCCAAACCAGTAAAAGTCCTTCCCCAAAACAATTCCAAAGCCACAACCCTGCTAATTCTCTAGGTCACTTAATGCAGGCAGAGGTGAGAAATGCTGACAGAGCCATTCTATCCATAAGGTATGACTCTCTGATGGGTGGGGCTAGCAAACCTAGGGGTCCCTTTTGTTAGAGCATGAGGACTTCCACCACTGGGAGTCAGAAAGTATTTGTTTCTTTTCTCCAAAAGCACCAAAACACATTTGAATGCCCAACTCCTTCAGCACACCAGGAATGTTCCCATGTAATATAGACTAGTGGCAGCACTGGCTAAAAGCTACTAAGTGCTTGTTTGGGATGAGGTGCTAGGCCAGTCTCTACAAGTGCATGTAACTTATTTTGTTTTTGTAAGAATCCTATGAAGCAACTGTTATCTCTGTATTACATATGAGAAAACTGAGGCACAGCAACTAAACAATTTCCACTGGCACATATATAAGTGGTAGCCCTGGGATTCAAACCAAGACAGTCCAATGCCAGGGCCCATCCTCTTTTTTTTTTTTTTTTTTTTTTTTTGACATGGAGTCTCGCTCTGTTGCCCAGGCTGGAGTGCAGTGGCGCGATCTCGGCTCACTGCAAGCTCCACCTCCTGGGTTCACGCCATTCTCCTGCCTCAGCCTCCCGAGTAGCTGGGACTACAGGTGCCCGCCACCACACCTGGCAAATTTTTTTTGTATTTTTAGTAGAGACGGGGTTTCACCGTGTTAGCCAGGATGGTCTTGATCTCCTGACCTCGTGATCTGCCCGCCTCGGCCCCCCAAAGTGCTGGGATTACAGGCGTGAGCCACCGCGCCCGGCCGACCCATCCTCTTAATCACTGCACTGCCCAGCCTTGAGCAAGTCACAGGACTTCTCTGGGTTGCAGTTTCCTCATCTGTAAAAGAAAGCTAATACTCCTTCCTTCACAGGTTTGTGCTTGAGTGTCTTAGGCTGGACGCGGTGGCTCACGCCTGTAGTCCCAGCACTTTGCGAGACCAAGGTGGGCGAATCACTTGAGGTCACGAGTTTGAGACCAGCCTGGCCATCGTGGTGAAACCCCGTCTCTACTAAAAATACAAAAATATTAGCCAGGCGTGGTGGCAGGCACCTGTAATCCCAGCTACTCGGGAGGCTGAGGTACGAGAATCGCTTGAACCTGGGAAGCAGAGGTTGCAGTGAGCCAAGACCACGCCATTGCACTCCAGACTGGGTAATACAGCAAGACTCTGTCTTAAAAAAAAAAAAAAGTGAGTATCTGCCCAGTGCTGCCACTTAAAAGCTATGTAATCTTGCACAAATTTCTTAACCTTTCTGAGTCTTGGTTTCCTCATTTAATAAATGAGTATGTTCTTATGAGGAGTCCGTGGCATAATGCATATAAAGTGCAGTGTCTGGCATAAGGGGCTTATTAATTGGTATAATATTATTAGTCCTTATGTTGTAACATAATTTTGAGGTTGTTAACTTAAGCCTAATATTCTCACAAATCTCCTGCTGAAATTGCTGTTATTTTGTCTGATTTTCACTGTTTCTTTACTTTCCCACCCAGGAAACAGCTGCACATTTGGGCAGAGAAACATAAAAAGTATTGGTAGATAATCAGGTTGCCACCACAGATGTCCCTGCCTCAACTGAGGACAGAAGACAGCAGCCAATATTCACAGAGGACTGCAGATGTTCTTCTTTAACTTGGATCAGAGGAGCCATTATAGATACAGGGTGGGTATTGCAGACTTTTCTGTTCAGAATAGAATATTGCAGAATATGCATGCATCCATTCAATACTTATTGAATACTACTCTGTGCTGAGCTGCCTTGGAAATACAAAGATGAATTGGACGTAATCCCTGTCCTCTCGGACCTCAAAATGCAGACAAGGAGACAAAACAAACATTAGCCATAGTACAGTGTAAGGAGTTCTATATACAGCAAAATACAAACAGTGGTTGATCTCAGAAGGAAAATTTTTGTAAGAGTGGTTTAGAAGGAGTCAAGGAAGGCTTCCTGGAGAAAGCGGTATTTTATCAGGATTTTTTAAAAATGAAAGAACTTCAATAAGCAGAGATAGAGTAGGGCAAAGATCATCCAAGGTGGAGTAAATCATGGGGAGGCAGGTGCGGATAAAGTGAGTGAGCCGCCTGATTAAGGTGGGAGAGGTGGCAGGTGCTGCCAATTGGCCACCCCACCTCTATCCACAACTTCACCTCCCCCAGGCACCTTCCACCCTATGACACCCTTCTGGTCACTGAGTCATAAGCAGAAGATTGCTGGGTTAGGATTGTGGGAAAGTATTTACTTTATCCTTAAAAATAGGACAGGCGCAATTAGCATGAACTTTCCTTAAACTTTTGCCCTTTGCTCTCTCTCCTTTCTTCTGCTTGAAATGTGGATGAGATCCCTGGAGGTGCCTCTTGAGGTCCGGAGGTGATAAGCAGAGGAATAAAAGCTATATGATGGGATGGTGAATAGAGAGATAGAAGGAGCATTTGACCATCATTGGGTACTTGCACCAGCCCTGCAGCAGACCTCTTAATTTCTTATTATGTGAGAAAAAAGGGTTCACTGTTTAAGCCAGCATACATTAGATGTTCTGTTACCTGCAGCCAATGGCGTTCCTGATTGATACACAAAACAACAGTGACCCATGGGATATAAAGTCAAAAAAATGAGTGGGATCTATATTATGAAGGGCACTAAAGTTCATGTACAGAATGATTGTTCCTTATTTAGTAGGCAATAGGGAGACAGTGAAGGTTTGTGAGTATTAATAATATTAAAGCTGTTCTTTAGGAAGATTTATCCAGCAACAAAAGGGAAAGTGCTTGGAGTCAAAGAAATCATGTAAGAAACAATTCTTGCAGTTGCTGTATAAAGTAGGGCCTCCCCTGGCATAACCTCTATCACAAATATATATATTATACATATAGATGTATGTATAATTTGATATATACAATGGACACTTTCTCAATTTATGTAAGGTATACTTATATAGAACTTTGCTATATTATTAATTTGTAACATGCACTCTAAATACAATAGCATTTTGTCCTGTGATGGCAGCTTCAAAGCCAGTCTGTTAAACTCCTTTTGCAACTGGCCTGTGATTCCTTCTCTCAGTTCTTCCTATTTAAAAATTGAAGAGCCACCACCTATAATAGGAGAGAAGCAATAGACAATAAAGAGAGGGAGGAAGGGAAGGAGGTGAGAAACATTTCACAGGAAGAATTGACAGGCCTTGTCAACTGTTTCAATATGGCAGGACCAGGGAGCAGAACAAATGAGGAATGACTCCAAGATAAAGCCTATGTTGCTGGAAGTTTCACGAGAGAATGAGGAGCGTGCAGGAGTGGGCTTGGACACAGAGTGGTGGGAGAAAGTGAGTTCCTCAGGCCATTGACTATCAGGAATGAACACTTGAAGAATTGTCCACATCACGTGGATCCCTTCCAGGGTGACCTCCTGGTGTGGTAGCTTTGTTTGGGGATACAAATATCAGTAAGATACCTTTGAGGATCTCACAGTTCATCCATTTTACAAACACTATTAAGTATCTACTACTAACCAGGCTTTGTGTAAATGAATACTAATGCAATATGGTTAAGTTTCAGCCTGCGTGGCATTTGATAAAAGGGAAAGACAGATAAACTAACTATGGCAAAGCAGCACATGACATAGGTGTGCTAGAGAAATACTGGGAATTTAAGTATAGAGTTGGACAGCTGTCTGGGAAGGCTTCACAGTGGAGAAGACCCCTCTGAGTGTTAAATAGACAAAAACATTCCAGACAGGAGAGACAGCATATGACAAAAGTGTCATCACACTTACAGCATTCTGCCATCATGCGGCTGTGGTGAGGGGGAGGGGTGTATGTAATTAAGTGGGTGAATAAAGCTCAAAATGTAAGCTGCAATTTACTTGCACAATTTACTTAACCTCTCTGAGCCTCCCTTTGCTTCTCTGTAAAATGGGAATTATCTCATGGGATTGTTATTAGGATTAAATGAGATAATGACTGCTTTACACAACGCCAAGCACAATAAGTGTTAGCTCTTGTTATCCAGTAGGTCTCAAGCCAGGATTAGATTGGCATTTCAGAAAGACTGCAGTCCTGTGCATGAGTAGATTGCATGAGACTGGAAGCCCAACTGGAAGCAAACTGCAATAGTCCGGGCCAGAGACAATGGAGCTCAGAGCAGACACCAGTGGTGGGCAGCCCTGGAGGAAGATTGGAGCATGGATCTTCAGTCAGTCTTAATAGTGTTTCTCAAAAAAAGAAGAAAAACTCTTAAATTAAGCTAGGATACATAGTAAATTGTAAATTCAAATGTTGCAAAACCATAACAATGACAAACTATTAGTAGACTGGGAAAATTAAAATTTTAATTTTAATATTTAACTAAAACTTGTTAAAGAATTTACAAAATTAACCCTGAAGATGCTGACATTTCCCTTAATTCTGGAGGGTAAGGTAGCTTCACTCAATGCAATATGTCTTCTACTATTTCATCAGATTCTGTTATGCCATGGCCATTTTTCAGGAAGGCTGGGCATTTAATCACATATAACAAGTGTTTATTGAGTATTTGCTGTGTGCAAAGCGCTAGTAAAGGTGTCATAATCTTAGGAACAAGACCCAAGTTTATTCTAAAGGGTTATTCTTGTGCTTCTTTTCGGGGAAAAAAAACACAAAATGATGTATATTCTTTTTTAAAAAATTTGAAAGATGCAAAAGCAACTGAATTTATAAACGACTCCAAAAATTCAAACACTGATTCTTTTTTAAACACCCCAAACAAAACCAACCAAAACTCAAACTTATCTCACAGAATTTATACAGGTCTCAAACAATCCCACATGGTTGTGTGGTGCTCTGCAGAGGTGGCCAACAGGAGAAACAAAGACAAACTCAGCTGTGTGTCTACCTCAGGTTGGTTCGTTCTCATGAACACATGTGGATTTGAATGTTCACTAGGGTTCCCCACAGCTCACTTAATCTGATGGTGGGTGGTGCACATGAGGTAAAGTCACCATATAAGCCATGACTACCTTTTATTCACAATCCACCATGTGTCCCAAAACTTATCATTAAGCTTTACAATACCCTGATATATAGGAATTATACTATACTCATTTAACAGAGATGAAGGATGAGTAGCAAAACTGGGATTTAACGGGTTTGGTGACTCCGTAACTGAAGTTCTTTCCATTTTGCCAGTGGCTTCTTAAACTACCTGATGACTGATCTGACTCTTCAAATAAACATATCGTTCGATTTGCCTTCTGAATTTTTTTAATTAACTTTTCCCTTCTGACTTATTAAAAAAATACTCTTTGGAGAAAATAGAACCATATAAAGAAGCATTATACCTCTAATTTTGATAATCATTTCTAGGTCAGGTTGCCAAGCTGAAACTTCATTGTCCTCGTTTAAAAAGCAATGTCTTAAGAGTTGAATTTAAAAGAACGCAATGGTGCAGTCTGTTTCATCAATGTTTAGGTATACAGAAGGAATAAATAAGCTCTGTGGGGAGGAGAGGGTTGCCTTTT
The DNA here is from genome assembly GCF_000001405.40 of Homo sapiens. Taxonomy (NCBI): domain Eukaryota; kingdom Metazoa; phylum Chordata; class Mammalia; order Primates; family Hominidae; genus Homo; species Homo sapiens. Next base: position 53,974,995 of record NC_000014.9, read on the forward strand.
TTTCTAAGTGGAGGTGAGAAGTAGGGGGACATATACCCAGCCTCTCGTACATGGCAAGAGGTATGTCCTTCAATAGTCATCAGAGTACAGGTTCATACGTCTCAAGGACTGGTGTGTTACATGCAAGTTTCAACAAGCAGATCACAATCTACTGCCACAGCTTTCCTAAACTGGGGGATTTTACACAATAACCTTAATTTCTCACTTCTCTTTAAAATCGGACAACCTGGTAATATTACCAGGGTTGAATTCTTAGGTGGCCATAACCAGCCGGAGTGGCCCCCTTGAGACCTGGTGGCCATGCTCCTGTGTTCTGTCTTGTCCTGGGATGCTGAGGCCTCAGGTCAGTCACTGTTTTCCATTCCTTTGGCACTGTTCTATTTCTTGCCAAAACATTTCTCTGTGCTCATATCTCTATCTAAGGTGGGGGTACATTTGCAGAGCAGTACATTTCTAGAAAAATCCTCCTACTTCACGCATTAGACGTCTGCATGTTCTTAATACAAATCTGTGTTTGCAGCTTTCCATGGTCTTCACCCCAGGATTTTTGCTCTTTCAAAAGTTCAAGCTGCAAGGACTAATGCCATGTTCTCATTTCCACTCTGTCACAAGCTGGGGGCATGACCTTGAGCAAGTCACTCCACGCTTTGATCTTCATTTCCTCATCTGTAAAATGAGGCAGTTGGTCTCATCTCGTCAGCTCTGATGTTCTGTGACCTCATCTCTAAGGAGCTTCCTTGGCCCAGGCAACGCCAGTCTCCCTCCTCTGGCCTCTTTTTCATAAAGCTTCCCAGAGCTCAGTAGACAATTCAGTTCCAAGGCAAGTGATGCTGACTGAAGAAGGAGAAAGAGCAGGTAGGATAGAAGTGAGAAGAGAAAAAAACGACCCAAGGAGAAATGCAGCCCAGACATAAGCAGAGGGGTACAGAAGGGAAACAGGGTCACAAAGTTTATACTTAAAACACCTAAGAGCTGGGTGCGGTAACTCATGCCTTTAATCTCAGCACTTTGGGAGGCTGAGGGGGGTGGATCACCTGAGGTCAGGAGTTTGAGACCAGCCTGACCAACATGGAGAAACCCCGTCTCTACTAAAAATACAAAAATTAGCCAGGTGTGGTGGCGGGCACCTGTAATCCCAGCTACTCAGGAGGCTGAGGCAGGAGAATTAATTGAACCGGGGAGGCGGAGGTTGCAGTGAGCCGAGGTCGCACCACTGCACTCCAGCCTGGGCGACAGAGCGAGACTCTGTCTCAAAAAAAAAAAAAAAAAATAAAAATAAACAAACAAAAAAAACCCACCTAAGAATGAAACAGACATGATCAGAATCTTTTTATACTTTAAACAAAATTATATTAAAATGTTAAAATGGCTGGGTGCAGTGGCCCATGCCTATTGTCCCAGATACTCCGGAGGTTGAAGCAGGAAGATCACTCGAGCCCAGGAGGAGTTCAAGGCTGCAGTGAGCTATGATTGCACCCTGCACTCCAGCCTGGGAAACAGAGCAAAACCCTGTCTCAAATAAATAAATTAATTTAATTAAATAAAATTTAAAAGCAATAAGTACTTATTATAGAAAATTGAAAAACTGAAAATTTAAAAAGTAAAGAAAAAAATGAACTATGATCACACCACTTAAGGTCAAGGAACACTTAACTCTAGGTATATTGGCCTTCCTAACCTTTCTTTTTATTTTTTACATTCTTTTCATAGTTAATATTACATACAAACCTCATTTGATTTGAAAACAAAAAAATATCATGAAGTAAAATATTCAGAACTGGCTGGGCGCGGTGGCTCACGCTTGTAATCCCAGCACTTTGGGAGGCCAAGGCGGGCGGATCACGAGGTCAGGAGATCAAGACTACGGTGAAACCCTGTCTCTACTAAAAATACAAAAAATTAGCCGCGCGTGTAGTCCCAGCTACTCAGAGAGGCTGAGACAGAAGAACGGCGTGAACCCGGGAGGCGGAGCTTGCAGTGAGCCAAGATCGCGCCTAGACTTCGTCTCAAAAAAAAAAAAAAAAAAAAAAAAAAAAAAAATCAGAACTGTCTCACTAAAGTTTAAATGGCATATACGGGTACACTTTTGCTTTTTAACTTGATAGATTTTTTTTTTTTTAAATTTTATCTAGGCAGCACTTCCAGCAATTTGTGAAAAAAGAAAAAACGGTTGAACAAAATCTTTTATTTTCCATTATCTTTTCAATTTACCAATTTAGCTTAGGGTTTTTTTATTCTATCATATTATAAATATAAAATATTGGCCTTAAATAAAAGGGTTTAAAATAAGACCAATTTGCAAAGTTTTAATAAAGGAACAGCTGCATTCTGACTTTCAAGTCTTATGAGTATTTTTCTACAATCTTTTTTCCTTTTTTTTTTTTTTTAAGAGAAGGCTTTCCTTTGGAAGGGGCTCGGATGTCATTTCAGAGGCCAAGCATTCCTTATTTCTATTATTTCATTTCAATCAAGGACTACAAATTGTAGGCCAAAAAAATTCCCTTTAAAACTGATGATTCTACCAGCTTTTTTTGACATAGCCTAGAGACACTTACAATGCAGTTTTAGATAACCTCTTCTGGACGCACAAGGGAAAGGTAAGAAGATGTGATTTTAAAATGTTTGTAAAAGTGAAAGAATAATCCCATTGCTCGCAGCAGTGGGGAAAGAGCATATCTGTAGCTTTTCTTGCCATTAAGTATATCCAGAGAATGAATGCACCAGGTACAAGGCCCAGGAAAGAGGAGAGCTGCCTCTGCAGAAGCAAGGGCACTTGTCTGCAGTTCAGCTTACCTGATTTGCAGATCGCCAGTTTATCAGAATTGAACCAACCGGCTTCATCTTCTTCTGCTTTGTTGATACCCAAGCTGGCCTTAATTTTTTTTTTTTTTTTTTTTTTTCAGCTGAGAATGTCTAAAGCCTGAGGTATGCTTCTGGGTGTTCTTAAGACTTGAATGCCGTTGCTTAAAGAGTTAAAGATCCCTGAGGCTACAGTAAAAGGACGATAAGGTAAATCACTCACCCACTGGAGATGCTCCCCTTGTCCTTTACCAAAACAAGGTTTGAGGAAGATGGAAGGCATTCAACAGTTTAGAGAAACTCTACTGTGCAAAGCCAAACATCAGTATTAGGTTTTTAAGGTTAAAGAAAGTTCTCATTGTAATAATTTATCTTTGAGAACAAGAAGTTTATTTTTCATTTATCAAGAGCTTAACATTTCCCTCTTAGGAAAAATGCTTTGAGGGATACACTATACTCAGGAAAACACTCACCAACAACGTATTTTTGTTTATCAGTTTAAGCGGAAAAACTCCACTTAGAGATTAAAAAGAAAAAAAAAAAACAAACTTATTTCCAGTGTTAGGGGAATCCCATTGGAACTGGCTGTCCACAGAGGTGGAGAATTTGGCCTTGTTTACAGCTCTAGCAATTGCTTTAGTCCTCGGTTAGGGGAAAGTTGTCCCAGAGAGGTATTTTTAAATAAAGATAAAAAGACTCTCCACAATATTCATTCTGCTTCCAGGAGAAACTAAATTCTATCCTTCATTGGAAGCCACTTCAAGTTTAGTATTTGGAAACTCAGAGTAGCAACACTAGAGATGAGGCAATTCAATTGAGTCCTACCAAGGACAAGTTTACAGTTTTGTATCTGTTATATTTATCAGAAAAAGAAAGAGTAGGAGGAAGAAGGAGAAGAAATAAAAGAAGGAATAGCCTTTTAGTAAATGTGGGCAAAAAGGAAGATACACTTAAAACATCTGTATCCTAATGAAGTAAAAATTTAGCTCTTCAAGTTCTAAATGCCACTTTCCTACCAAAGTCTCAAATTATAAGCAGATTGACTCAAGGTTAGGATGATGGCGTTTTGGTAGAACTTCATCTCTAAAAAAAGATGGTTACTTTACTTAGAATTCTGTCTTAGAATTAAGCATGCTGAATCCTTTTTGATTTTATGGTGCTTACTCTAATTTTAAATGAAAAACTTTTTTCTAGTGAAGCTTACTGTGTATGATTGAAATGTTGGTGGAAGGCAAAAGTCCTCTGCAAAAACATTTGAAAATGAAACACTCTCAGTGCATAATCCCTTGCTCTGCAGTGCAAGGTTTTCAAATAAGTGAAAAGAAGAAAAATGCACATGAGACTCTGCCTACCAGAAAAGGCTATGTGCATAGGAATCTCCTTGCTGCAAAGTGCTGACATTTGACACCACTTTGAACCCTGAATGCAGCTGGCTGTCGGACTCTGAATTGTCTCCCACCTTGTTTGTGGCCTCTGACTTATCCCTCTGGCCAAGTGCCCCATGCCTTACCAACCTCTCCCACTGCAGAGAGGGCAAGCAGGGCAGAGGCTAAGCTGGCATCCTCTTCAGGGTTCGATCAGTGTTCAGTAACAGCTATCAGAAGGCTGCTTATCAATGACTTCCAAAGAGGTCACTTGTGGAGTCAGTGGAGATTTTGAAATGTGTTGGTGTATAACCAGCTTCTCTGAGTTTGTAAACAACTGTAATTAATCAAATCCCAGCCACAGTGCTTTGGAAGCATTCCTTTCGTGAGGGAACAGCACTAAAGATGTTGTTGTGGCTTCTGTGGTGCGGTAGCTATGGAAGCATCAGGGTGTGGTGAGAGATTAGGCTGCTGCAAGGCCATTGTATGTTGCCAGATAGAATTATCCTTTGATGTACACTGGGGTCTAAATTGTTTTCTTTCCTTTGATACATTTAAAATTAAGATTCCGTGTTAATCCCTAATTAATTCCAAGATCAAGCTTCTATTTTCGCTATTTGAATGAGTGATGTTGGAATGTTTTTAGGGAAGTGAAGCCATAATAAAATATTTTCCAATTACATTAAATACCTTTTGGGCATGGTTATTAGACATTGCTGTATTCAGTGTGGCTTTTACATCAGAAGGGCATGATTTGAAATCAGAAATCAAAAAATTTTAAGTCAGAAATGGAGCACTTATGACAATAGTGCTTTACATTCAAATGGTTTATACAAAAAAAAAAAAAAAAAGGAAAAGAGGGAGGCTAGAAACTGCTATGATAAGATGAAAGTTCACCTTAATAAGAAAATACAGAATCAGGAATTGTGAAATTTAAAAGGATTAAATATTAAGTATGAAAATTCAGTAGAGAACAGGTAAGATATAACCACCAGCTGAAAAAGGTGAAGATAGGAAGATAAAAGGAGGAAGCCTGGAGTTGAGCAGAGCTTTTTCTAAACTGCAATCTTCAAAGAAAATCGACCTGCACTCCACATGGGGCTTCTTCCAGGCCCTGACAGAAGGTCAAGGACAGCTGACCTGGGCTGGAGCCAGGCAAAACTGTGAGGTTAGCTGGGATTTCATGAGTCACCCTTTTAGACCTCCCAGCAATCTCATGCCATGAATTTGCATCTGAGCCCCAGAAGGAAGGAAAATTCCTTCTAGTTAGGAAATTAAAAAGCACAGTAGTGACCACCAAATGATGCCTGAGATTTCGCAAGCATTTGTCACAGATTTGTAGAATAGTCATGATTTAAAATATTCAGGCCGGGCACAGTGGCTCACATGTGTGATCCCAGCACTTTGGGAGGCCAAGGTGGATCACTTGAGGCCAGGAGTTCGAGGCTGCAGTGAGCCATGGTCGTGCCGCTGCACCTCAGTTTAAGTGACAGAGCAAGACTCTGTTTCAAAAATAAAATAAAATTCTCAGACCATTTATCTTCATAAATACAGGAACACTTGCTAGTTCATGAAGTTTGCAGGGGGAGGGGATCAGGCTGAGGAGTTGTCACCATTCCTATGGGAACTAATCTTCTAATTCAGCCCCTTACCTTGTCTCAAGAAAAGAATGAACTTGCATGTTTTGGTCATTATTTTCTGATTACTATCATTTGTCCTGGAAGTTGGGTGGAAGCAGGTGATGTCCTGCTTCTCTCTCCCACCCCTAATTAGGGGCCTGAGTCCCATGTGATAACATCTTGAAGGGTGCTTTGCCATTATCAGTGGGTGGGTCACTGGAGTGGGGCAGGGGCACCTTCTTCTACACTCAGCCAACAACCCCCGGGCTCATACGTCTGCATCAGTTCTGACTGGGCTTGTACCTGCTCTACTGGTTGCTAAATATTTTTAATATCACCTGGTACAAAGACTTCATTTTATGAAACTCCTGGTCACCTGCTGAAGACAGCTGTGGTTCAGGGAAACACATGCTGGGTTTGGCATTATCAAGACATTTGGGTTTGAGTGTCTGCTCTGCCAAGATCAAATGCAATACTATGTGTGAACACCTAGAACAAGGGAGTCAGCTGTTTGCTCATTTCAGGTACAATTATGCGGCTGACCCACCCTTAAATACAGCCCTTCTTAGGATGTAGACATGGGAAGCATGCTGGAGCCTCCCAGGGGAGGATGAACAGGCTGCAGCTAGACTTTTTTCTCTCTCTTTCTCTCTTTTTTTTTTATTTGAGATAAGGTCTCACTCTGTTGCCCAGGCTGCAGTGAAGTGGTGCCATCTTAGCTCACTGCAGCTTCGCACCCCTGAACTCAAGCAATCATTCCACGTCAGCCTCCTGAGTAGCTGGGACTACAGGCACATGCCACCATGCCCAGATAATTTTTTAAATTTTTTAGTAGAGATGAGGTCTCACCATGTTACCCAGACTGGTCTCGAACTCCTGGGCTCAAGCAGTCCTCCCATCTCAGCCTCCCAAAATGCTGGCATGAGCCACCATGCCTGGCCTTTCAGCTAGACTTTTATGTTGGAGTTACCAAAGCCACTGAAATCTCACCAGTCTCATTGATTCAATATTGCTACAATGTAGGTAGTAGACCTATTAGGCCTCAAAAAGTACCCACAAGTCTTTCAATCTAAAGTGTTCTGGATTGCCTTTTATCTGCCAAATGCAGATTCTCAGACTGTGCCCCACATGTGCTGGGTCAGAATCTCTAAAGGTGCGGGGCCAGGAATTTTCATTTTAAACACTTCACAGGAGATCTTCACAGACAATGAAAAGGTGAGAACCACAAGTTGAGGCACCAAACATGAAAACACTCAGTACTGGTAAGTGTTTTATGGAAGACAGAAGCCAATTTCTAGATACCAACACTGTGGTTACTGCTCAAAAGCTCTATCAATGAAGTTATTACATACTAAAATAATGTGGTGTGTGTGTGTGTGTGTTTGAAATATTGTGTGTGTCTGAGGATGTATGTGTTTGAGAGAGACTGTGAGTGTGTGTGTGCATATGAATGTATTTATACTGCAGGACAAATACCACTCGTGGGTCAGACTCGCTGGATTATGGCTGTACCACTAATTGCATCTGGTTTCTATGACTTTGCTCAGGCTTCCACAGAACAAAGTCAGACACAATCTTGTCAAATTTGATCCCTATGAATTTCATGAACTGGGGAATCACAGTAAAGTCTGTTGAACACTTGCCTTTAGCTCATACTAATTAATTAGCACAAGTAAAGCTGCACAAGCTGTATTTTATAAAAAGTTTCTCAGAGATCTCTGAGCTTGACTCTCCTACTAAAATTGGGGGCCAGGATTCCTACAAGTTACAAGGCTGGCCACTTTATATTTCCTAAAAGATTATTTGCACCCACCTCACCCCAACAGGCTCAAATAAGCTTTTGTTACCTTTCAGCCACAACAACTCAACAGTGTTGAGTGCCTTTCATTCAAATACATATAAGCGAGATAGTCCTGTTTCTGCATGACAAATGGTAGCAAAATCTCAGTTTTCTTCTTGCTCTTTCAGTCTTTTTTCTCCTAGGTGGGCCCAGTCTTTGCATTTCAATTCAGTTCAGTTCAATTTAACAAACATTTACCGTATTCAGTGCCAGCTAAGTTCCACACACTATTCTAAGTGCTATTTGTTTTTCCAGGCCAGGATGAGGTAAGGGACAGTGAATGGAGAAAGATGAAGGAGATCCTATCTTGCCCTCAAAGAGTTTCCAACATGTTTCTATACAAATAACTATGCTCTACTCAAAATGTAATGAATGTTAAACCAGTAAATTACCCAAAGTTTAGAAAGAGGGAAGGATTTTCTCTTGAAAGTTTGGGAAAGTGCACTTGATCAGGATCTTAAAGGAGGGTAAACATATTTGTGCCTCATTTCTTTGGGCCTTGAACTACCTACCCCAAACATGTTTTAATTCTATAATAGTGTTGCACAAACAATCACAACTGAATTTTTTTGAACATTTATTCCTACATATCTATGCATTATATGTAATATATGTATATGTATTCCTCACAATAGCCCTGCATAATAAACACTGTTATTATCCCCATTTCTCAGATGAGGAAATTGAGGCAGAGAGAGATTAAAGTAACAAACCCAAGGTAACACAGCTAGTAAGCAGTAGAACCAGTTTTTGATCCCAGGGAGTCTGAATCCAGAGCTGGAGGGCTTAAACACCATGTTGCAATGTACATACATTTTATATTTTATGCCACCAACAACCTGTCTTATGTTTTTCTTTTTCTGCCTACCCAAATATTTTTTCTCTCCAAGTTAGCAGGTTAGCATCCTTTTTTCCTCTTTCAATATTTCTACTACTTGGTGAGAAGAATAACTACACATTTTCTAATGCTTCATTTTGCTTTTAGTCTCAGTATTTTACAGGTGATTACAGAAAGCCCAGTTTGAAGACTACATGCCTAAAGTGAGTCTCTCCTCCATGCTGCTTGTGTTTTGTCCCAGAGGCTCACTGAGGAAGAGTCACATGAGCAGGCTCACTGAAGATAGCAGGGCTATGGATGATTAAACCTAGACCTACACTAGTGAAGATGTTATAAATGTGTGTTTCAATGGTTCTACTTAAATATGATTGCTGCACCAACTTTCACTAAACCCTTCTTGGGCATGCCTGACAATCTAGATTTCTGCCCAAGGAAAGCAAAAGCTTCTCATTCAGATCCTTTTAGACCTTTGTGTTTTTAGATACCCAGAAGCACAAAGTTAACAGCCACATACTCAACACCCACAGTGGGAAGCAGCATATCATGGGTATTGAGAATCTTCAGAATCAAACAAAATAGGAGTTAAATACTGACATTGCTACCAACCTGCTTTGTGCCTGCTTAATCTCTCTGTACCTCAGTTTACACTTCGGTGAAATGAGGATAAGAATATCTCCCTGACAGCATTTTTTGTGTGTGTGAGGACTGAATAAAGTCATATTTGTAAAATGCTTAGCAAAGCATCTGCCTCATAGTCAGCAAACCATAGTTATAATTTTTACAATTTCAATATAATGGGGAAAGCAGTGTGGGGTACTTTAAGGTTTGGAAGGAAGGGATCAAAAGCAAAGAGCTCAGAATTGAGTGCTCCACTGCAAATTGTGCCATATTCTTTGTTAATCCACCTGGCCCAAGGAAGTGATTTACTGTGTTCATTAAAGCAGAACATTTAGAGGAAGAAAAGAAGGGCAGTTGTGCTGGAAACAATACCACAAGGACCCTAAATGTCCTCCATGCACTACTCCCTGATCCCAGTGCCCCAGACCACACCCACAACTCCACCCTTCTCTGAACCTCATTCCACATCTCATGAGGGGCCTAGCTCCTGCTTCCACTTCAGTGCTAGGACATGCCAACTTCTTCATGCTACATCAAGGCCCAGCTTCATATTGATGTGCTGAAATTTCCCTTGAGACTTCCTCTCTGACCCATGGATTATTGAGGAGCATGCTGTTTAATTTCCAAATATTTGGTGATTTTCCAGTTATCTTTCTATTATATGTTTCCATTTAATTCCATTATGGTCTAAAAACATATTCTATGTGTGATGTGCTTTGGCTGTGTCTTCACCCAAATCTCATCTTAAATTGTAACTCCCACAGTTCCCATGTGTCATGGGAGGAAGCTGGCAGGGGGTGATTGAATACTGGGGGTGGGTCTTTCCTATGCTGTTCTCGTAATAATGAATGAGTCTCACAAGATCTGATGGTTCTAAAAATAGGAGTTTCCCTGTACAAGCTCTCTCTTTGCCTGCCGCCATCCATGTAAGATGTGACTTGCTCCTCATTGCCTTCTGCCATGATTGTGAGTCCTCCCCAGCCATGTGGAACTGTAAGTCCATTAAGCCTCCTTTTTTACCCCAGTCCCAGGTATGTCTTTATCAGCAGCATGAAAATGGACTAATACAGTAAATTGGTACCAGGAGTGGGGTGTTGCTGAAAGGATACCAGAAAATTGAAACTGTGTAACGGAAAAAGTTGGAACAGTTTGAAGGGCTCAGAAGAAAACAGGAAAATGTGGGAAAGTTTGGAACTTCCTAGAGACTTGTTGAATGGCTTTGACAAAAATGATGATAGTGATATGGACAATAAGGTCCAGGCTGAGGTGGTCTCAGATAGAGATGAGGAACTTTTTGGGAACTGAAGCAAAGGTGACTCTTATTATGTTTTAGCAAAGAGACTGGTGGCATTTTGCCTCTGCCCTAGAGACTTGTGGAACTTTGAACTTGAGAGAGATGATTTAGGGAATTTGCAGAAGAAATTTCTAAGCAGAAAAGCATTCAAGAGGTGACTTGGGTGCTGTTAAAGGCATTCAGTTTTAAAAGAAAAACAAGGCATAAAAGTTTAGAAAATTTGCAGCCTGACAATGCTATAGAAAAGAAAATCCCATTTTCTGAGCAGAAATTCAAGCTGGCTGCAGAAATTTGCATAAGTAACAAGGAGTTAAATGTTTATCACCAAGGCAATGGGGAAAATGTCTCCAGGGCATGTCAGAGACCTTTGGGGTAGCCCCTCCCATCACAGGCCTGGAGGTTTAGGAGGAAAAAATTATTTCCTGGGCCAGGCCCTGGGTCCCTCTGCTGTGTACAGTCTAGAAACTTGGTGCCCTGTGTCTTAGCTGCTCCAGCCATGGCTGAAAGGGACCAACATAGATCTCAAGCTATGCCTTCAGAGGGTGCAAGCTCCAAGCCTTGGCAGTTTCCATGTGGTGTTGAGTCTGCAAGTGCACAAAAGTCAAGAATTGGGGTTTGGAAACCTCCGCCTAGATTTCAGAGGATGTATGGAAATGCCTGGATGCCCAGGCAGAAGTTTGCTGCAGGGGTGGTTCCCTCATGCAGAACCTCTGCTAGGGCAGTGTGGAAGGGAAATGTGGGGTTGGAGCCCCCACATGTAGTCCCTACTGGGGCACCACTTAGTGGAGCTGTGAGAAGAGGGCCACCATTCTCCAGACCACAGAATGGTAGATCCACCGACAGCTTGCACCATGTGCCTGGAAAAGCTGCAGACACTCAACACCAGCCCATGAAAGCAGCTGAGAGGGAGGCTGCTCCCTACAAAGCCACAGGGGCAGAGCTGCCCAAGACCATGGCAACCCACCTCTTGTGTCAGCATGATATGGATGCGAGTCATGGAGTCAAAGGAGATCATCTTGGAGCTTTACAATTTGACTGCCCTGCTGGATTTCAGACTTACATGGGGCCTATAGCCCCTTTATTTTGGCCAATTTCTCTCATTTGGAACAGCTGTATTTACCCAATGCCTGTACCCCCATTGTGTCTAGGAAGTAACTAACTTGCTTTTGATTTTACAGGCTTATAGGCAGAAGGGACTTGAGATAAGATATTGGACTGTGGACTTTTGAGTTAACGTCAAAATGAGTTAAGACTTTGGGGGACTGTTAGGAGGACAAGGGTGGTTTTGAAATGTGAAGACATGAGATTTGGGAGGGGTCAGGGAGGGAATGATATGGTTTGGCTGTGTCTCCACCCAAATCTCATCTTAAATTGTAACTCCCACATTTCCCATGTGTCATGGGAGGAACCCAGTGGGAAGTGATTGAATTATGGAGGCGGGTCTTTCCTGTGCTGTTCTTGTGACAGCCAATGAGTCTCACGAGATCTGATGGTTTTAAAAACGGACATTTCCCTACACAAGCTCTCTCTTTGCCTGCTGTCATCCATGTAAGATGTGACTTGCTCCTCCTTGCCTTCTACCATGATTGTGAGGCCTCCCAGCCATGTGGAACTGTAAGTCCATTAAACCTTTTTTCCTCAGATAAAGGATATGTCTTTATCAGCAGTGGGAAAACAGACTAATAAATACAATGTGATTTCCCTTCTTTTAATTTTGTTAAGGTTTACTTTATAGCTCAGAATATGGTTTATGTTAGTGAATGTTTCATGTGTGTTTGAGAAGAATATGTGTTCTACTGCCACTGGGTGGAGTGGTCTATAAATGCCAATTAGGTCAAGTTACTGGAAAATGCTGTTTAGGTCTCGTTTTTTTTAATTTTAAAATCAAAAAAAAATTTTTAGAGAGGGGGGTCTCACTCTGTCACCCAGGCTGGAGTGCACTGGTGCCATCTTAGCTCACTGAAGCCGTGAACTTCTGGGCTCAAGTCATCCTCCCACCTCAGCCTCCTGAGTAGCTGGAACTATAGGCATGAACCACCATGCCCAGCCCATCTATATTTTTAGTTATTTTCTGTCAACTTGTTTTATCAATTACTGTGAGAGAAGTGTTGAAGACTGCCATTATAATCATAGTATTTGTCTGTTTATTTACTTCTGTCAGTTCTTTACTCATCTGTTTTGAAGCTCTATTTTTAAATGCATACACATTTGGGATTGCTGTATGTTCTTGGGAAAATTGACTCCTTTTTCATTATGTAAAGTTTCTCTTTATCCCTGATCATTTTTGTTATTCTGAAGTCTACTTCATCTGAAATTAGTGTACTTACTCCAGCTTTCATTTAGTTTGTGTTTTCATTTTATATCTTTTTCCATCTTTTTACTTTTTGATCTAAACCTTTATATTTAAAGTGGGTTTGTTGTACACAACATGTAATTGGATCTTGCTGTTTTATCCAATCTAACAAACTCTGTCTTTTAACTGGTGTGTTTACATCATTTACATTTAAAGTGATTATTGGTATATTGGTATCATTGGATTAAACTCTACCATCTTGCTAGTTATTTTCTATTCATTGCCCCTTTTTTTTTTCCTGAGCTAGGATCTTGCTCTGTCATGACCAGGCTGGAGTGCAGTGGCTCACTGCAGCCTTGAACTCCTGGCCTCAAGCAATCCTCCTGCCTCAGCCTCCCATTTACTGGGATTACAGGTATGACCCACCATGCCTGGCTTTAGTTTCTATTTTCTCCTTTCTGCTTTTTCCAAGTTTAATTGAGTATTTTCATAATTCCATTTTATCTTTTCCATTGACTTGTTATTTATCTCTTTTAAAGAAAAACATTTAAAATGGTTAACTAGAGTTGTAATATACTTTTCAGTTATAAAAAGTTTGATTACTTTGTATTTCCTAAAGATGGGTTGGGAGGGGGCTGTGGTTTCATTACCTTCTGAGAAAAACTTTAAGATCTTTTGGTTAAAATAGAATCTAAATAGAATGTTGAAGTATGGCATGGCATTTCCATTTTAACAGAATTTTAAAATGGCATTTCATTTGCAATCAATGAACTAACTCACACACATATTTTTTTGACATGAGAAGATTAACTCAAGGTAAAAAAATACTGTTTTGTATTTGTATGCAATAAAAATTATACAAAAAGGAAAATGCAATGAAATTTTATATTACTCTTTTCTCTGTTGCTATAACTGAATATCTGCAACTAGGTAATTTATAAAGAAAAGAAATTTATTTCTTATAGTTCTGGATACTGGAAAGTCCAAGGCCTAGGGGCTGCTTCTGGTGACCACCTTCTTGCCGGTGGGAAATCTCTGCAGAGTCCTGAGGCAACACGGGGCATCATATGGTGAGAGGACTCATAAGAGATGGCCAAACTGGCTTTTATAACAGACCAACTCTCATGATAACTAACCCATTCCCTCAATAATCCATTAATCTAATTAACAGTCCATTCACAAGGGCAGAGTCCTCATGACATAATCATCACCCAAAGGTCCCACCCCTCAACACTGCTATACTGGGGACCAAGTTTCTAACACACAAACTTTTGAGGGACACATTTAAACCACAGCATGTTTTAAATTGCTCAGCTTAATTCTCCTAAAAAGAAGTAGCCAGAAATTATACACTCTTGCTCATTAGGAAAACAGTAGAGAATTTTTCCATTCTAGAGATGTAATTCTCATTTTTGTTGAGATTACAATTCCTTTGAGACTCTGATGAATTGTGCCCAAGGAAAACACACATGCTCATCTCTTCACCAAATTTTGCTTATAATTTCAAGGAATTTGCTGACTTCCTCGAGAGTCTTGAAATCCCTAGTTAGGGAACCCACCCTAAAATAAGTAAGAAAGCTGTCAATGAGTATTGTGTTGTAACCACATATCTTGGTATGTAGATCATATAGCAGAAGTTTCAGGTCTGACCTGAGCTTCTTGGGTAGGGCAATGGAAAACCTTGAACTCCATTTATTGTTTAAGCAGCCCTTGGGCCAGGTCACACCCAAGGCCCAGTTCTGAGTTTTGTCACCTACTCAGTCCCTGAGCCTTAGTGTGACAACACTGTAGCCTCTTCAATGACCAAAGAAAGGTTGGATGGTGAGAGTCAGATTGCTGATCTAGATGGCCAGCAATCCCTAGAACATGTTTATCCTCTTTTGTGCTAGAATGTAGAGTCCTTCCACACGCAACACAAACAACTGCTTAAATTGTGACTACAAACCAAGACAAATTTGTTCATGAGCAAATTTTTAAACTAACATGAAAACTACCTTTAACACGATATAGATTCAAGCAATACTTACTTGTATTTTTAAAAGAATAGTCTCCTATTTACACTTTAAAAAGTCAGATCACAAAGTGTTTAATAGCAATGAATCTTAAACAAACCACTCCTTTCTTACTCTTCTGCTAGGTTCCAAAATCTCTCTCCAACTATGACACCCTCCTGGATCAATCAAAAGAAAGTTATTTGATTCCTCTCAGTAAAATTTATTTAAATAAATAACACCATTGACTTTACTCTTTTACTAATTCACTTTCCTTTTTTTTTTTTTTTTTTTTTTGAGACGGAGTCTCGCTCTGTCGCCCAGGCTGGAATGCAGTGGCGCGATCTGGGCTCACTGCAAGCTCCGCCTCGTGGGTTCACGCCATTCTCCTGCCTCAGCCTCCCGAGTAGCTGGGACTACAGGTGCCCGCCACTGTGCCTGGCTAATTTTTTGTATTTTTAGTAGAGACGGGGTTTCACCATGGTCTCGATCTCCTGACCTCGTGATTCACCTGCCTCGGCCTCCCAAAGTGCGGGGATTACAGGCGTGAGCCACCGCGCCCGACCAAGCACTTTCCATTGTTTGTATTCCATTTTTTAATGTATCTGTTCCTTTTAAAGATTTAACTATTGTCAAGATATGTATCTCATTTGCCAGAGTATAAATCCTTAAACAGCAGGAGTCTTTTCTGTTCCACCATGCTCTGATTTGAAGTAAGAATGAA
Source organism: Homo sapiens (assembly GCF_000001405.40). Lineage (NCBI taxonomy): Eukaryota > Metazoa > Chordata > Mammalia > Primates > Hominidae > Homo > Homo sapiens. The sequence continues at coordinate 53,990,375 of NC_000014.9, forward strand.
CTTCCCCTGAAAAAACTCATAGCCTTGCTCTGTGGCTTGTGTGCTATGGGTGGCTCTCATCTGTCCCTCTGTTCCATGCCTTGTAGGCTTGTGGACCTTCACGGGAACAGAAGCCTGTTCCCCTTTGGGCTTCATGAATTCCACTTACCTCCCAATTGACAGAATGCCACATTGAAGTATTTTTAAATACTTTTAAATAGAGATGATAGATCAGATTTCAATTTTTATTAATACATCTACCTTCCAAATAGTAAAAATAATGGAGTGTTTACATTAACCAAAATGAATGGAACCCTATGAAAATAATCGTTAAAGGGACTGGCTAATCTGTGGCCCAGAAACTCACTTTGGCATTTGAAAAATGGCCCGGGATTTAGTAGGATCATTGCCAGGTTTCACCTGAGACTCATCACATGACACATCATGCTTGTGTCTGTTTCTTCAGCAAATTGGGATTTTATTATTTTTAAAGTCTCCACATCTGTAGACAAAATGTACCATATAAATACTGCCTTTCAACTTGCATACGAGTGCATGAAGATAAGTGATATTTATGATTTTAAGTTGTTTATTGTAAAATAATTTACACTTATCTTGCTGTCTTCAGTAATTAAAACAATGGAGGAACACTTTCTTCTGACAAAGACAACAGTAAGCTAAAAACAAAATCAGCTGGCTGAATTTTCCTTCTTTACCCCTTGTCTGAGGATGGAACTTGATTTTCATTAATCCAGAGCTACAGCACCAAAGATAATTTCAGTCAACTCTTTTGTGATGACAGCTTGGCGGGTACAGTTGAATGTCAATGTCAATTTGTCAATCATCTCAGAGGCATTCTTGCTGGTGTTGTCCATGGCTGTCATCCTGGCACTCTGCTCACTAGTGGTGGACTCCTTCAGAGAGTAGTAGATGCTGTTGGCCAGACTGTATTCCTGGTAATTTTGCAGCACCTCAGCATCAATATTATAGTAGATACTCATGCTCTCGGCACTTGCAATGGTATTAAGGAAAAAGATGGGCTTTTCTTCAGTCTTATACGAGATGACAGACTTGAACTGATTAAAGATGATGGAGCCTTCATCAAATTCATATCCAGAATTTAGTAATTCAAGGGCAATGACTGACACATTTCCAAAAGCAGGGGGATTTCTTCTCACTTCTTTTAATGCCACCAGAAACTGGTCAGAATGCATCCTGTAAAGTACGCCCCTGATTTTGTCACCAATTCCAACAAGCATAACTTCTTTCCCAGCTGCTGTTAGTGTAGCAACCTCGCTTTTCATCTGTTTAGCAATGGAGGAATGAATAGCGCCACACAGTCCTCGATCTGAGGACACACCAATAAGGAGGTGTTTCTTGTTGTCTTCAGGCACCTTGATACCAGCTTTTTCTCCAGAGCCAAAGATCCCAATCCATATATTCAAGCTGGTTTCAGCTCTCTCTCAGCTTGGGCGTATTTTGCTGCTGCTACCATTTGCATAGACTTGGTAATTTTCTGGATGTTTTTGATGGACTTTAGTCGCTTGGTAACATCTTTCGAAGTTGCTGTATTTCGAACTTGAATCCATTGTGGCTGCAAGGTCCAGGCCAACAGCCCAGTGATGCCCGCATGAGAGAACATGGTAGCCGCAGCCCTGCTGAAAGTCGGTGATATTTATGATTTTAAAAAATTATTTTCCAGCCAGGCGCGGTAGCCCATGCCTGTAATCCCAGAACTTTGGGAGGCCGAAGTGGGGGGATCACCTGAGGTTAGGAGTTCAAGACCAGCCTGACCAACATGGAGAAACCACATCTCTGCTAAAAAAAATACAAAATTAACCGGGCATGGTGGTGCATGCCTGTAATCCCAGCTACTCACAAGGCTGAGGCAGGAGAATCACTTGAACCCAGGAGGCAGAGGTTGCGGTGAGCTGAGATCACGCCATTGCACTCCAGCCTGGGTGAAAGAGCAAGACTCTGTCTCAAAAAAAAAAAAAAAAAAAAATTTTCCAAATTTCCTGAATAAAAATGGTTTGAGAAAACTACATTTTCCAGGATATACTGAAAGATCCCCAGAGGAAAACAAAGGCATCCACTTTTGTACATTTATATATTTTCATCGCTCTTTGAAACAATCAGAATGTCAGGACTTTGGCATTTCTAAGGGAACACTCTCAGGTATTCTAACCTGATAGTTTTCATTCCTCCTTATTCTTTGTAATAGTTTATACTCTATAAAAGATAAGCTTTTCTCTCACTATCAACTTTTCTTTCCACTTGATAAACAATGATGCTTTTTAATGGGTTCTGAAAGAAACTAAAATTAACCTAGATCAATTTCAGTGACTTCCTTATTTATACACCAACCTTCTTAACAATATCCTCAAAAACATCATCCAACAGAGCTCATCTATTCACCTCTGTCTTGAGCATCTTCTCTATGAACAGTAGCTCTTTTTCAATTGCTTGGTAACACTAGGAAGACTTGAGTTTTCTCTTGGCGATAAGAAAAAAAAAAACACATTCCTGTTTTGATTCTGTTATTCTGAATAAAAATAAAACTAGAAAGCAAACATTTAAAAATTGACACGATTTTCTCTTTCTTGCATATGCTGTAGTTCTCACCCTAAAGTGAAGTGTTGCATATGATTTCTGATATTCCAAGTTTTCCAAAATTACATGCTGTGGTGTTATAATAATAGCCTTTTTCAGTGGAGCACCTAATACACTGACTTTTGGGTAAAGCACACTACTCAGGAAAAGTTAGCCACACAACATTTAGCCAATGATATTAACCACTGACAACCATGCAGTGTTGGACACTGATATATCCAAGGCGTAAGTGGCTGGGATGCCCACTGAAAGTCACTTGCTAACACTTCTGCCAACTGCAGTAAGTTCAAAGAAAGCTCTTCTTTTCTTAAAACACTACCACAAAGTCTCTTACTTTTTGAAAATTCAAGATTCAGAGCATAAAGGAAAATTGATAAGGGAAGAAAGGAGAAAGACATAGCTAAGGAGACAGAATTTGAAGAAGGTGCGGGATCAAGATCCTCAGTTGAGGTGAAAGATCCTTTGTAGACGAGTGAAGGACAAGGCTGGAAAGAAAATTTAGCCATTTTTCACCCCCTTACAATTTGGGTTGGGGAGACGAAGGGTTGTTCATCATCTTGATTTGTACAAGATCCTTATAAATCAACGAAGTCTGCCGTAGAAAAGTTTTAAAATTTTTGTTACCAAATTTATCCATCATTTCTAATGGCTTCCAGGCTTGCATTCTGTTTAGAAAGGCTGGGCTCATTTCATTAATTCCACTGTTATAAATAATTTTACACATATTTTATTCTAGTAGTGTTATTGTTTGATTTTAAAATATTTTAATATTTGCTCTATTTTGGGTTTATTTTATGAAAGTTGTAAAGTATGGCAAACATCTTTCTTGATGTAATTTTATTTCAATGCAAATCTCACACGATGTACACTTGGATCAATCAACTGATCTTTGGCCATTTACTAAAGACCTACTACATGCCAAGCCAACAAGGGATCCAAAAGAAATATGACATGGCAGTTGATTTCAAAGAACTTACCCTATAGTTGGGGGAAACAACTAACACCCTGAGACAATTCCAGAACCAGACAGTGTATAATTAAGTACTAAATACTGTGGTACTGCCTAAAATTGCTGTGAAAGCTCAGAGGAAAGAGAGATCCACCTGGGCTGAAGTTGTCAGGGGAGACTTTGCAGACAAGTTGGAACTTGAATTGAATACGTATTTCTCCAAATACTAAAACAGAAAGCAACAGGCTGTGTGTATGTGTCCGTGAGTGTGAGTAGTTCAGGAGGACGCCTGCTTTTCACAAAGCAACCTATCTACACAGACTAAATAGGATTTAGAAATTTACTTGCAGATTTGAGACAGGATTTTAGAGCAAGAAGTGGCAGAGTAGCGACTATGGCAGTAAGAAAGACGTGCCCTGGAGAGGAGTGTTTGCCTGTGAGTCTTACTGCCCTGGCATCTGCTAGATCCTCCCATTCCCTCTGCAAAGTACCCCTGAGGTTTCACCTACCCTGATGCTGCCAGAGAGTTCTGTCCAGTGTCGACAGGCATCCCCTCAATGCCTCTTTTCATGAGCAACTGGCTGAGGCCTCTCTTCTTGCACTACTTGAGTCACTACCACTCTAACTCTTAACCAGCCCAAACATCCTCAGGTAAGTGATAAACAGGGAATATCACCACAGGATATCACTTCTACAAGTCTGTACTGCTGGTAGGAATAAAAGCTGGTTCAAATATTGCAGGAAGCAGAGGAGGGAGGGATGGGTGGTATTTACCTACACATTTCAAAAGCCTTAAGTTTTTACGTATCTTTTGATCTAATCATTCAACTTCTAGGAATTTCTTATTATTTATTTATTCATCTACTTATTTAATAAAAATATATATTGCTTATTATATGGCAGGTACTGCTTTAAATATTTTTTAAATTTACTTATTTAATCTTCGTAACAATCCCATGAGTTAGGCACTATTATTATCCTCATTTTATAGTTGAGGAAAATAAGGCACAGAGAGGTCAAGTAAGTTACATATGGTCACCAGCTAGTACATGGCAGAGCCAGTATTTAAACCCTTACGGTCTGACTTCTGAAGTCAGATAGACTCTGAAGTCTACTTCTACCTTAGAGGTAACCATACATTATACCGCTTAACCAGTCGTCACGGATGAACAGAAAGATTTCGAGACAGCTGTTCCTTCAATACAAATGCATTAATGTCTCCTGTGTGCCAAGCGCAGCCTTTGTTCCCCTGGAACAAGTGACTTAGGCACTGATTTTCACACTGAGGGTAAAAGCTCATCTGTGGATCATGAAATAATTTAGTAGATTGTGACCAGAAAAAAATTTTAATGATATTGAAATGAACAGAAATCACCGGAAAGTGAGTTTTGTTTCATGACTTTTTTCCACTTATATGTGTGTCACATGCATATGTCAGATACACAGGTGAGTGCTGGGTCACAGATTACTATGTACTTCTTATCCTGAGCTGCAGTCAGAAAGGGTAAAAGTCATGAGTCTAACAGAAGAGATAAATATTAGATAAGTAATTAAGCCTAGACAACATAGTAAGGCCATATCTCTAAAAAAATATGAAAAAAACAATTAGCTGGACTTGGTGGTATAGACCTGTAGTCCCAGCTACTCAGGAGGCTGAGGCAGGAGGATTGCTTGAGCCCAGGAGTTTGAAGTTGCAGTGAGCTATGATCATGCAACTGCAATCCAGCCTGGATGACAGAGAAAGACCCTGTCTGTAAAAAAAATTTTTTTTAATTAAATAATACAATTGCATCAAAAGTAGTTTTTTAAAAAATTGCCAAAATTGTCTAAATATAGATTATTAAATAAATTATGGTACAGCAATATAATGGAATTCTATCCAGAAACTAAAATTATATTGTAGATAAGTAGTAACATGGAAACATGTGCAAGATATATAGATAATAAGAAAAGTCAGATTATAAAACATATTAAAAAACACATACACATTTGCATGAAAAAGAACTAAAAAGGATAGTCATCAAGATATTCCTAGCTGTGGAAATTATATGAAAAAATATTTTCTTCTTTTGTTTTTCTGCATTTTCTAAAATGAACATAATTACTTTTATAAGAGATATTTTATATACAATAAGATATATTCTTATATATGATATAAATTAAGGATTAGTATCAACAGTTAAATAACTGTTGCAAGCAATAATATTAAAATATTAAATGATTACTAATTAAAATGTTTAAATATATAAATATAATAAATCTGTAAAATATATTAAAATAATAACACTAATTAATTAAATTAAATTAAATAATTAAATAATGTTAGGACAAGCTATTCAATAAAAAAATGAGCAAAGGATGGGAGCAAATAATTCCCATCCTTTGGAAGAGGATGGAAGAGGAAACTTTCTGCCAAATAAACACACCAAATGATGCTCAACCACTATCAGATGCAAATTAAAACAACAGATGCAGAGATTTTAGAATATTGCTTCGATCAGTTTCACAAACTGCTAACCCTGCCCTAGAAAGACAATTTTAAGAAAGTCCATTATATGACAATCTGGAATTTTAGAATGGAAATAATGAGTATTCACCTTACAAAGCAATAGGTTCACTCTACATATCACATATCAAACTGGCCCAGGGCACTTAATATGTGGTTTTATATATGCCTCAACTTCCAAACGCCAAGAGACTAAAACACTGGCATTGATGAGCAGCTCTACAATATCACAAAATAAGTCATCAAATGAGGTACAAAGACTTCTCTAAAAAATACAAAAAATTTTTAAATTTTATAAAGATTAAGTAAACTTTAAAAATATTTAAAGCAGTACCTACCATATAAGCAATACATGTTTTTATTAAATAGATAAATAAATAAATAAGAAATTCCTAGAAGTTGAATTTTTCCTATCTTAAATTTTAAATTTTAGATAGGAAAATAGCGTGTATAGATGTAACTGACACTTTTTCAGTGCTCTCTCTACACACACACATACACAAACCCACAGACACACTCACACACGTACTATATTAACCTCTTAGCATACATTATCTCATTCAATCCCTACAACAACTTTATGAGTTGTAGTTATTACTTTAGCCCCATTTTTACTACAAGACAACTGAGGCTACAAGAGGTTAAGTAATGTGTCCCACAAACAGGGTAGAAGAGAAAGGATTTGAGCCCAGATCTCAATGCCTCCACAGTGCACAATCTCAGCCATGTGGGTAGTTACACACATATTGATATCTGGCAGTTAGTTGTGCTTGATGCTAATTAGAATGTAGTTTTTGGGGTCAGAAGGTTTTAAAAACAGGTCTGGGAATTACCGGCACTGGATATAGATTCTCTCGTTTCCAAGTGATGACTTTCTTAGAGTACACATTCATAATGAATATGGTTATGAGTGGATTTTTCCCTGGTGAAAATGTAAATTTCATAAAAAAGTGTGTCTTGTTCTGGAGAGAATTTTTGCAAGTGTACATGATAACAAGGAAGATTATCATGGTCTTTTTCTATGCTGATATGATTTAAATAAAAGAAGACCAAAATCATTGTCTTAGGCTCTTTCTGTAACATTATAAAATATGGTTATAATATATTTGGCCTGCAGACTTTAATATTATGTGTTACACCATAGTCATCAGAGTTTTGACAATAAGAGTAATAATGAAAATAACAATAGTATTAATAACAGTAATCCACTAAGAAAATTATAAATGATAACCAAGTGTAAAAGCTGCCTATTGGAAATAGATACTTGTGAATGGAAGATGAACTTCAAGTTTTTAATTTTATTGTTTCTGGGAGATAGGGTCTATCTCTGCAGGACCTGACAACTGGAAAATATGAATCACTTGGAATGGAACGCAAGCCATAATTGTCATTCTCGATGGTTTCCAATAGTAATGGTACTAGCACTTGTGTTAACTATACCATTTTAGCAGTGGCTATTAGTTGCATTAGTGGTAGCGATGACGACTGTGTTTCATTTCAACAGTTGGCCAACATCTTTCATGTGTACTCATTTGTCTGAGATTCCCTTGTTTCTCCTATCCTCATTTTCTCTTTGCCCTGATTCCTTCATTTTTATATTTTATCCATTTTACAAACTACCTAAAATAATTTAGGAAATAAGATCAAAATAAGTGCACGCATAAAGAGCCAAACGTTCTCATCTCATAAGTCAGGGTTAATTTTTCTCCCTTTAGACACAGAGGTCCAGTGTAAATGGCTTGGCTAATGGCTTATAAGTGGCTCCTGAGTGGGAGTTGAGGATTAAGGTCTCAGGTGCTGACATGATGACACTAGACCACTTCTTTGTATTGGCAGAAAATTGAGCACAATTGCCCTTACTTCCTAATTTATTCTTTCGTAGTATAAAGTTGCAGCCATTTCTAATCAAGCCTTGTAGACTGTGGTCATCGGAGAAAAACTGGAAGGGTGAACAGAGCAGAGGATGACTTTAGTGTGTGTTCTGTGTAGACAACTGTTTTTAACACAAAATCTCTTTTGTTTCATGTTTTTATATGAACTCCTGAAAGTAATGATTGCTTATGTTGCCTGTCAGGTTATAACACAGGGTTTTAAACACATACACACACACACACACACACACACACACACACACACACGGAATATGCCATTACAACAGGTAATTAAGCAATTGTTAAATATATTTTCAGTGAATCTACCAGAGCAAATGAAATTTTAATAGACAACAACATTATAGCAATTAAATATGTAAATAAAATAAAATAAGGCAAATTACTAAAATATTTCCCCCCTCCCTCTGCCCAGTTTCATCAAACCCACTACTTATTGGGTACTGCATGGTTGAGGTAGAACCATGGTTTATGGCCATTGCTGGTGTCCCTGGGGCCAGAGCAATGAGTGGCAATATGAAATAGAACCCCAATTAGTCCAGAATGTGGTTCTGATTCACTGTCCTCACCACCGTGTTGGGATAGAAGTAAAGAGTAGGTATAGATCGCCTAAAGAAAAAAGGGGGTGTCTTTATGTTCAGGGAAAAGGTGTAAGAAGAGCAAGAGCTGAGAGGCTGCCTTCAACACTGCTGCTGCTTCAGCTCATTTTTTATCTTTTCATCCCTCCCTCAGAGTTTTCAAAGCTGGAGCTCAAATTCAGGTCTAAGCTAATAGAGAGAGGGAAGGCAGGAGGTTAAACCAAACTGTTAACTGTGTCTCTTCAAAACTGACATTTAATACAGGGTGTAAATCACTAGGGGGGCCTGTTATTCCTTCAGGAATGCAATTACATAGGGTCAAATAAAACATGAAAGAAACCAACAAGTTTTAAAATGTAGTATGTTCTCAAAAGTAGGCAAGAAGGAATGTGAAGCAGTCCAAATATGCTAACACTCCCTGCTGTCCTATAGGAGAGGATTACAAGGAGAGGTTTCTGCTCTTTAATGATTATGTGGTTAAGCAGGAGTATGGGAGCACGTCACCCAGCCCGGCCACTTCACACTGGACTCTCGGCTTTCTGCAGATCCCTGCATTCATTCAACGCAGGTGTAGGCCCTGCTGCCTCGCCAATTACCATTACAGTCCTATTACCAGGACTGCCTCCACTTAACACTTTTGAAAATGTTTATATGTGAACACTGTGGGATTTTTGTCTTTCTGTTTTTCTCTTTCTTTTTTTCTCTTTTTTCTTTTCTTTTTCTTTTCTTTTTTTTTTTTTTTTTGAGACAGAGTCTCGCTCTTTTGCCCAGGCTGGAATGCAGTGGTGTGATCTTGGCTCACTGCAACCTCCGCTTCCTGGGTTCAAGCGATACTCCTGCCTCAACCTCCCGAGTAGCTGGGACTACATGCCACCACGCCCAGCTAATTTTTATATCTTTAGTAGAGACGGGATTTCACCATGTTGGCCAGGCTGGTCTCAAACTCCTGACCTCAAGTGATCTGCCCGCCTTGGCCTCCCAAAGTGCTGGGATTACAGGCGTAAGCCACGGCGCCCAGCCCTGTTTTTCTCTTTCATACTAAAAACCAAAACACCAGCAGAATCCTTATTCTGTGACTTTGAAGATAGACAAAAATTTAATGTTGGACTTTTGCTAAAGGTTTTCCAGTGGTTATGGCTACCTGTAATTTGCGTAGTGCTAATTTCTTCCATGGGGCAGGGTGGAGGGTGGGCTTATGTTGATATTTTGGGATGTGTCTGTTAACAGTTTGGAGTGTTTCAAACAATTGGATGCCTTAAAACCTTGGGTTTTTCAGTTTAACATCCTCATGAACTAGGGTGACCAACTCATCCCAGTTTGCCTAGGGCTTCCTGGATTTTAGCACTGAAAGTCCTACCTATGTGTAATCAATCATTTTTTTTTTAAAGTCTTGCTTTTAAATGTACATGGTAGAAACTGTGTATAGATTGTGTGAGGAGAGGAGATGGCTGGGAAGGGGCACTGGAATTACAACTATACTAATTATAAAAGAATTTGAACAAAACAGACGGGTCATCTGGGTTCAAATTCCTGTATAATCACTGATTTTTATAAGCTAGCTCTCACTTCTCCAAGAAAAATACAGTTTCAAATGAGTCATGATTAAAACTTGATTTTTCTTATCTTTCTTACAAAATGAATCAAACTACACAGCCAAGTTCTCAGAGTCTAATTCCAAAAGGTGCAGATCCTATCACTTTGGTTTAGTTGGCTGAATCTTAGGAGCCCCTTCCTGTACCTTTCTCCCTACACTCTCAACCAAGCAATGGTGGCCTGAGGCTGGTTCTTATGAATCCTCCCTCCAGGAGCTGCTGCAGAGGGTGAGCCAGGCCACCTCCTGCACACTGACTATGATGTCACAACTGGGTATGTCTCTGAGGTGCACCATTTCCCAAGCTCATTCCTACATCAGCAATTATTCTACAGGCTCCCAGATCTTTCTGGAAATCCTTTGTCAACTCCACAAATTGCATGGCTACCCCCAGCCCATGAGATACACCATTTTGATGGAAAGCTGAGTTATCAAAATCTTAGGGCTCAGTTCAGCTCCTGAAAGCAGCAGAACTCTGAGGAGTCTGAAGAATAGAGGAAAACTAAGTTCACCTTATATGTTTCTCTAAGTCCTTTGGCTTTTTACTTGAAGAATCCATATTCTGTTTTTGTGGTATTTCCTTTTCTGTATAAAGGATACTGAGTGGTTTTATTTCACCAAAAATAACACAAAGTAAAGTAAAAAGTAGTAATAATTCAAGTTTTCTCTCTTGACTTATGATTTATGCCTCTTTCCTTAGTGATTCCCCTTTCCTGTGCTTAAAATTCATCTGTTCAGATCAGACATACTGTAAATATCAATCTTTAAACTTTGTCAAAGACAAGGAAATTGATGGTAGACAGCTAGAACAAATAAGTACTCAAAGACTAAAGGAAGAGACTTGGAAGGGTAGAAAGGTGCCTCCCTGCAATTTTCAAAGGAGCATGAGGTATGTGCTGGGGACAAGAACACGGCCTTGGGAAGCAAACAGATCTGGGTTTGAATTCCAGCCCAGGCACTTATTAACTAAGTGATCTAGGACAAGATACTTCATCTCTGCAAATTTCAGTTCCTTATCTGTCCCACGGGATAATTCTAGTTTTTATATGAGCATAGGAAATGATATATGTAAAGCACCCCAAACACAGTAAATGTCTAATAAGTAGTAGCTATTATTACCAAGGTGATAGATTTAACAGGAAAAAGCGACCCCTGGCAACACCCCAGTGTGTTGCATGCCACAGCGCCCTCAGTGTTTTCACTGCTGGGTTTCTTCCCTAATGGACATCTCTAGGAACTCTGAGCTCTTAATCTCAGCCTTCCACCCACACTCCCTAACTAGCCTCAGGCAAATCACTTATCTGACTCAATTGCTTCATCTGTAAAGAGGAGGAAAATAATATTTACCTTCCTCAGAGGAATGTTGGGAGAATTAATGAATGCTTGCAAAGTACCCCGAGATGTACAGATGAAAGGCAGTATAGAATTGCAAAGTATTATTATAAATATTAGTGTTATTTTGACACATTTGCATGCCTGCATGCATGTGTGGGCAAATTTGCACCTGAGAGCCTCGGATCAAAGGGTGTCACTTTCAAGTATCATCCTATGAGTACCTCTGGCAGCCCATGGACATCTATGTCTGTGCAATTTATACACAGTACAACAGTCCCATAAACGAGAATTTGCCCAGAAAAAGAAACACTGCATTGGGTAACTGGTATAAAATCAACCATAGCCCATGGTTAGGTCCTTTCCTTCTTTGGCAGTGCCATGATCCTTCCAGCTGCCCATAAGGATGAAAACCTGACTATGTGATCAGCTCCCTAAAAGCAGTGAAGTGCAATTCTTTAATCTTTTGTTTTCATGTTTTTGTAAACAAGGTCTCGCTATTTTGTCCAGGCTGATCTCGAACTCCTGGCCTCAAGCAAACTTCCTACCTCAGACTCCCAAAGTTCTGGATTACAGGCATGAGCCATCACATCCATTCTGAAGTATAACTCTTTCTCAGACTTCTTTATTTTTCAACTGAAAAAAATGACCTTGAGCCTCAAAGAGTTTGTTCCCAAATGAACTACATCTACTTGCAAAGCACACACCATAAAATCAGATTGCAAAGAAACACCTTCTCCAAAGTTGCAATTGCTCTCACAGCCATGTTCTCCCCCTCAGCAGGGCCAAGTTTTGCCTCTTGCTGCTCTCCTCCTCTTCTCTGCTTCCTCCCATTTGTCCCCACTCCCACCAACTCACTCCCCTCCCCACTAAGTGGTATGAGGTATGATTACTACAACACTATTCACTAAAATAGGACATCACATAACTCCCAGGAGACCAATTCTGTGGCCTGTGCTTTCAGGAATACAAGAGTAAGAGCCAGTGGAAGTTACATGAGATAATTAGAAATCCCTCATGCCTCAGACTGAGCCCTCAGCAGACATTCCTGCCTGTGTGATGATGTGGCCTCCTCCTCAGATTCCAGAAGAGTAGCATATGGGCATGAGCAAGACATATGTCTGATCTCTGCTGCAAATTTTGCATCCTGGCAAGAGACAGCAAGGCTTATTCCAGACCCCAATTCTCATTCCTGCTCCAGCCATCACAAACACCTGCTGACACCAATGAAGAACAAGCCTGTAATCCTCGTAAAAGAACACTCTTGAACCCTAGAAACCAGGGGAAGTAATGAATGCTAGCTTTTAAACTGTCATACTTTCTGCTCCTGAGCTAGATTGGACACTGAGGAAGCAGGTGACTGCTTTTGAGGTATGGCTAGAGTGTACACAGGCCTCCCTGTTGCTAATATCTCCTTCCACTAGCTGAGCAGATGGCCTGAAGTCCCTATAAGTTGTGGTTGAGACACTGTCTCTGCAAGGCCATATTTAGAATGGTAATACGATACCTGAAAATCAACATTTTAAATCATTCCAGTGGTGTGCTGGAACTAGCTCACAGCAGTTCACGAGAGACAACCATGTTCATCTCTCCCCACCTCTATGGGTGAAAAAGTGTGCACCTTTACTGCACACTACTGATTAGCAATCACTTTCATCCATTATCACTTGATCACAGATGAGTGTATGCTATTAAGAAGGAATGAAGTCCAGGTTGGTTTTGAGGTTGGGAAGCAAATGAAAATATTGGGAGGCACAAAGAGCTCCCTGGGAAGGAAGGTGAACATGGAGGGAAGAGGCCATTATTGCCAAGAATCTGGGAGCAGCCACAGGTACTGGGTGCCTTGGGGAGCAAGGACCAGGATGCCTGCTTCAAGGTTTTGCCAAAGGTGGGCTAGCCTTGTGCGTTTTAGCAGCAAGTAGAGGATGCAGCAATCTTCACATTCCCTAGGATGTTAGGAGAAAAAAAAATTCTGGGTTTCAGGCCCTTTGTGGCCCTAGCGACCTGTATAATCTCTCTCTGAGCCCCAATTTCCTTCATTATAAAATGAAAACAACAGTACAGTTATCTCTTGGTATCTGCTGGGAATTGTTTCCAGGACTCATACTGATGCCAAAATCGGCAGATGCTCAAGTCCCCGATATATGATGGTGTAGTGTTTCCATAAAACCTATGCACATCTTCCTGTATACCTTAAATCATCTCTAGGTTACTATAATACCTAATACACTGTAAATGCTATGTAAAGAGTTGTTATGCCTTGTTTTTTTGTATTATTTTTATTGCTGTAGTTGTATTCAATATTTTCAATCTGTGCTTGGTTGAATCTGTGGATGAGGAACTCACGGATACAGAGGGCCAGCTGAACTAATGTAATAGGATTTTTGAAGGATTTGGGGAAATAATGTCTGTAAAGTACTTGCTCCTAATCATGTTTCTTTTTTTAAATTTAATTTTATTATTATTATACTTTAAGTTTTAGGGTACATGTGCACAATGTGCAGGTTAGTTACATATGTATACATGTGTCATGCTGGTGTGCTGCACCCATTAACTCGTCATTTAGCATTAGGTGTATCTCCTAATGCTGTCCCTCCCCCCTCCCCCTACCCCACAACAGTCCCCAGAGTGTGATGTTCCCCTTCCTGTGTCCATGTGTTCTCATTGTTCAATTCCCACCTATGAGTGAGAACATGCAGTGTTTGGTTTTTTGTCCTTGCGATAGTTTACTGAGAATGATGATTTCCAATTTCATCCATGTCCCTACAAAGGACACGAACTCATCATTTTTTATGGCTGCATAGTATTCCATGGTGTATATGTGCCACATTTTCTTAATCCAGTCTATCATTGTTGGACATTTGGGTTGGTTCCAAGTCTTTGCTACTGTGAATAGTGCTGCAATAAACATACGTGTGCATGTGTCTTTATAGCAGCATGATTTATAGTCCTTTGGGTATATACCTAGTAATGGGATGGTCAAATGGTATTTCTAGTTCTAGATCCCTGAGGAATTGCCACACTGACTTCCACAATGGTTGAACTAGTTTACAGTCCCACCAACAGTGTAAAAGTGTTCCTATTTCTCCACATCCTCTCCAGCACCTATTGTTTCCTGACTTTTTAATGATTGCCATTCTAACTGGTGTGAGATGGTATCTCATTGTGGTTTTGATTTGCATTTCTCTGATGGCCAGTGATGGTGAGCATTTTTTCATGTGTTTTTTGGCTGCATAAATGTCTTCTTTTGAGAAGTGTCTGTTCATGTCCTTCACCCACTTTTTGATGGGGTTGTTTTTTTCTTGTAAATTTGTTTGAGTTCATTGTAGATTCTGGATATTAGCCCTTTGTCAGATGAGTAGGCTGTGAAAATGTTCTCCCATTTTGTAGGTTGCCTGTTCACTCTGATGGTAGTTTCTTTTGCTGTGCAGAAGCTCTTTAGTTTAATTAGATCCATTTGTCAATTCTGGCTTTTGTTGCCATTGCTTTTGGTGTTTTAGACATGAAGTCCTTGCCCATGCCTATGTCTTGAATGGTAATGCCTAGGTTTTTTTCTAGGGTTTTTATGGTTTTAGGTCTAACGTTTAAGTCTTTAATCCATCTTGAATTAATTTTTGTATAAGGTGTAAGGAAGTGATCCAGTTTCAGCTTTCTACATATGGCTAGCCAGTTTTCCCAGCACCATTTATTAAATAGGGAATCCTTTCCCCATTGCTTGTTTTTCTCAGGTTTGTCAAAGATCAGATAGTTGTAGATATGTGGCGTTATTTCTGAGGGCTCTGTTCTGTTCCATTGATCTATATCTCTGTTTTGGTACCAGTACCATGCTGTTTTGGTTACTGTAGCCTTGTAGTATAGTTTGAAGTCAGGTAGCATGATGCCTCCAGCTTTGTTCTTTTGGTTTAGGACTGACTTGGCGATGCAGGCTCTTTTTTGGTTCCATATGAACTTTAAGGTAGTTTTTTCCAATTCTGTGAAGAAAGTCTTTGGTAGCTTGATGGGGAAGGCATTGAATATATAAATTACCTTGGGCAGTATGGCCATTTTCATGATATCGATTCTTCCTACCCATGAGCATGGAATGTTCTTCCATTTGTTTGTATCCTCTTTTATTTCATTGAGCAGTGGTTTCTAGTTCTTGAAGAGGTCCTTCACGTCCCTTGTAAGTTGGATTCCTAAGTATTTTATTCTCTTTGAAGCAATTGTGAATGGGAGTTCACTCATGATTTGGCTCTCTGTTTGTCTGTTATTGGTGTATAAGAATGCCTGTGATTTTTGTACATTGATTTTGCTCCTAATCATGTTTCTAATATGACAAACTGATGGATACTTCACTGCTCTCTTCTTATTCTATTTCTCAACAGTATTTATCATGATCATCAATCAATCTGGACCTGAAGCCCTCAACTCGCCTGGCTTCTGAAACTCCACACTCTTGGTTTTCTTTCTATTCCTCTGATCCTGCCTCTACTGGGTCTTTCTTCTCTACCCTTTCTTGGCTTAATCTGGAGCCTCTTTCCCTTTCTCTTGTTTCCTGGCACAGCTTCATTAAGCAATCTCATCTAGTTCCATGGATTAAAATGGTCTCTTTATGCTGATGACTACTAGACTCCAAGAATTATCCTCTGTCTTGACCAGTGGTTCTTAAAGTGGGAACCCTGGACCAGTAGCATCAGCATCACCTGGAAACTTGTTAGAACTGCAAATTCTCTGACTCCACCCAGCCCTTCTTAATCAGAAACTCTGAAGGTAGGGCCCAGCAGTCTGTATGTTAACGAGCTCTCCAGCTGATTGTGATGCACATTGAAGTTGAAGAACAACTGCTCTAGACTAACATATTTAATGGCCTCATTTCCATCTCTCCTTGTATGTCTCACGGAAATATAAATCTTCACACATCCAGTTTCATGTCTTTTTTCTCTCTCAACTTCCTCAGCCCACATCTAATCCATTAGTAAATATTGCTAATTCTATCTCCAATTTATATAAAAAAGTACCAGTTTCTCCACAATTCTATCACCACCACTATAATTAGAAGCACCATCTTACTTTTTCATGCAAGACCAATGCAACATTTTCTACTTATTCCCAACTTGTCCCCCTCCAACCCCAATCTCCATACTGCAAGCAAGCAAGGTCTTTTAAAAATGTAATTTGGCTCCTCCATCCTAAAACACTCTAAGTGGTTTTCCCTTAGACCTAGAATAGGATCCAAACTCCATACCATGGTCTCCAAGGCCCTACCCGATTTGAGTCAGGTCCATTCCTCCATTACTTCACCTAGTGGCAGCCTCTCCCTCTCCTACTGCATCCCAGATGCACTGGTTTTCTCTCTTAGTTCCCTGGAGAAGCCAGCTGCTTTCTGCCTCAGAGACTATGCCCTTTTCTTTGGAACTTTCCTTCTCATCCTGTGAATGGCTGGCTCAGCCGCTCAGCCCCGCAGTCTCAGCTTAAATGTCACTTCCTTTTATGTGCTTTTTACCACCTATATTTTCCTCCACAACCCACTATTCTCAATCATCACCTTTTTATTTCCTTCCTAGCATGTCCACAATTTGTAATATTTTCTTTTTTTTTTTTTTTGAGGCAGAGTCTCACTCTGTCATCCAGACTGGAGTGCAATGGCGCGATGTCTGCTCACTGCAACTTCTGTCTCCCAGGCTCAAGTGACTCTCCTGCCTCAGCCTCCCAAGTAGCTGGGATTACAGGCATGTGCCACCATGCTCGGCTAATTTTTGTATTTTTAGTAGAGGGAGGGTTTCACCATGCTGGTCAGGCTGGTCTCGAACTCCTCACCTCAAATGATCCACCCACCTCGGCCTCCCAAAGTGCTGGGATTACAAGCGTGAGCCACTGCACCCAGCCCACAACTTATAAATGTTCTATTCAGTCACCTACTCACTTGATGTTGGTTTTATTTTGTTTGTCTCTGTTCTTCTCTTCCTACCACACTGAATGTGAACTCATGAGAGAAGGAGACTCATATATCTCCATCACTGTCAGTGTCTGGCACAGTGGCGGGCACAGGGTAGGTAGTTGTTGATGTAATCACTCTTATTAGCATGTGAAAAGGAGGTGGGGGAGACACCCTGTCAGGCCTTTTGGAGCTCCTAGGTGCTGGATCCTAAATCACAAGAAGTCAAAGCCTCACTTAAGTTTTGTGTTCCTGTGTGCACAGCCCTGAGCTAATAGGAGGCAACCACTGTCCGCAAGGAGCATCCCTTCTAGATGGGAACACAAGGTGAGACATACATGCGTGCAAACACTGGAGAGCAAGTGAAGACAGACACAATCAGAGGTAAGACTAATTGGTCCAAAATCTAAATATCATGGGAATTTTGGGGCAGGACCGATAACAGGGCACTAGGATAGGTGAGAAAAATGAGAAATTGGCAATAGGGCAATTTCCTCATGTGAGCTCCTCATGGGCATGAGATATGTCTTTTTGTTATTCTGTTAAATACCTGTTTTGTTTTGCTTAAGGGCATAACTTCAAGTAGATAAAGAATGTGTCCATCCCTAAGGAAATCAGGGCCACCAGTCTAGCTAGGAAGCCTCCTTTCTTTTTCTAAGGAAACAGTCTGCAAGCAGCATAGTCAGCTGTGAGGATGAGGGCAAGGACAGCATTGTGTATAACACAGTGTAGCCTTTTTACTCAGGTGGCTAATGCAATCCACAGAAGAACTTAAAAGATTCAGAAATGACAAAGCTAGCTTATGACAAAAACAGTCAAGAACTTTCCTCGCTTCCTCTCCTTCTTCCCCCTGTTTGGGCCCTACATAGCAATCTGAAAGAGAAGGAGAAATACTACACAGGTAAGAGGAAAAGGACAATGATCGCTTTTCCACCAGGAAGGGCCAGCCTAAAGCAGAACTCAACTGCGAGAGGAGAGACGACTTAACAGGACACATGTTCAAAGTTTGATTCTTACATAGGACTGGACAATTAATTACTTAACTAATTAATAGAGGGTGTGATTATGACATAAAGTGACTGTAGGATTTTTGTTTCCTAAGCTAATGGTGAAGTAATGGGACCTACTTGAATTTTTATCCAGAATGTGGGAGTGGGGCTAGCTCTGATGAATGAATGTTAAAACTTTATGTGTCCTGCTTGAGTAAAATACTAAAGAATGAAAAAATAACAAATATATGAATGAATAAACCAAAGCACAAAAATCCCACAGGTGAAGATGTCTAAGATGGTGGAGACAATTCCAGATGCTGGATCTTCCCTCTTGTCTGTTCTACCTGCTAAAGGAGCTCAGAGGTAAAGCCAGGGGAACACCTAAGAAGAGCATGGATTTATTTTATTAATTATTTAGCCAAAAGCTATGATGGTAGAACAACTTTTGAAGTAAAGAAGCCAGGTAACTATAACAACAACCCTCTTCTTCAATATTCCAGTCCAACTACCCTTCCAAGAGATGACCTGGAGTCAGTAGTTTGGCCTATAAGCTTCTAGTGCTTCACTATACTTTTATACACATATATAGACATGAAGCCACATATATTATGGAGTGTGTTTGCATTTTTAATGGGTTCATAATACATGTTATTCAATATTTGTTTTCACTGAACATGTGTTTTGCTTTTCACTGAATGTACATTATTCCACAACAGTGATGGCTCATAATTTAGCCAACCACAATTCTACTGATAGACATTTAAGTTGTGTTTAATTTTTACCAATGTGATGCCATGGGATTTTTAACATATCTGTTTACATGTGCAAACATTTCTTCAACACAGATTTCTAAAAATGAAAGTTTTAGATCAGAGATTTAAATGTATGTATTTTAACTTTTATTTTATAGAGATGGGGGTCTCACTATATTGCCCAGGAGGGATGGTCTTGAACTCCTGAACTCAAGCAATCCTCCCACCTTGGCCTCCCAAAGTGCTGGAATTACAGGCATGAGCCACTGCACCTGGCCTTATTTTAAATTTAGATGGATACCTATCAAGACTGACTGAGGGTTTCACTCCCCCACACACTTGCTAATGCTGGATATTAACAAGCTATAAATTTTTTCCAATCTCCTGAGTAGAAACTGATAACTCAGTGTTGTTTTTATTTGTATTCCCCTCACTAGGAGCAAGGCTGACCATCTTTTCATGTTTGTGGACCATTTGTACTTTTCAGCTGTTCATATTCTTTACCCATTTTTCCATTGGATTGTTCATCTTTTAAACATCATGGGTAGGATGTTTTTATGTTGGATACTAGTTGTGAGTTACATGCTTGACAAATGTTTTTTCCCAGCTTATCATTTACGCTTTCTTTTTAACTTTTAAGACAGCATCTTTTATTGAGGAGAAATGTATGTGGAAAAAAGTGATATTTTTTCCTTTATGTATTATAGATTTTGTATGCTGCTTAAGAAGACCTTACCCCAATGAAATATTTCCTCATCTTTCCATCTAATACTCTTGCAATTTTGTTTTTCAAGTTGAAGTTTTTAATTCATTTGAAATTTATCGTAGTATAAAGTAGGTATCTGTATTTTTCCAAAAACTTCCAACACCATTTATTGATAGTTCACACTTTTCTGTCTGGTTAGAAATGCCATTTTTATTATAAACCAAATTGCAATTCATGTATTAGTCTGTTTGAAGAATTTCTGTTCTGTTCAATTGATAACTTTATATAGGAGCTAACAGCGCATTAATTACTACAGCTTTTTAGAATACTTTGATGTTGGATAGGTCAAGTTCCATTTCATTTATCTTCACTCATTTAAAAAAATCTGGTATGTTGAGAATCAGGTTTTCAAATTTCATAAAAATGAGAATTTCATCAACTTTCTTAATTTGGGAATGATATGAGAGCTTTACAGTGTTAAGCCTTCCCACCCAGAAGACTTCCACAATTTCCATCTTTACTTATTGAGATCTTTTATGTCTTTGGGTAGAGTTCTCAAGTATTCTTTATATAGGTTTTGCACATTTCTTAACAGGTTTACTGCTGGTATTTTATAGTTTATGCTGCCATTGCTATTACATTTCTTAACTGCTGGTGTAGAGATTCTACAAATATCTTGTATCCAGACATTTTATTACACACTCCTTTAACTGATTCTTTTGCTTCTCTAGGCAGAATTCATTAGTATGACTGATATTTTGACTTCAGAGTGAAAGATGCGAGAGATATGCAGATGATCTTTAAGTATCTATAAGATTCTGTGTACAACCAGAGAGAAAGACTACGTAAATAATTCAGAATTCAATCAGGCAGTAAAGAGATTAGTTGAACAGAGTTATCAGCAACCTCAGTGGAAGGCTGTAGACTTAAATCAGATGGAAGAATTGGGTAACTTGTAATTTGAACCCAGGAGAAATGAACCCCATTTGAAGGGTTTATACTTGGAGTCCCTGTTGTCACGGCAACTATGAAAGGAGCTCATAGTTTCTATTGCTGACAAGGGGAGAATCATGCTGGATATACAGCTCCCAGGTTCAGATTTCTTAACCTCTGGTCTCTCAAGATGATAAAACCCAGCTTGCTAGCAGTGGTAAAACTGTCCTCTTTGCAAGTAGTATGTTTCCAATCTCATAGAATTTTAGAATGTAATATATTCTAAAGAAAATAAAACTCATATTATTGATACTTGTGTGTTACATTTAGGATAATTTAGGTCAATCTGGATTCTACATTGACATATTAGGCTATTTGGCAGATTAGCCTTGTGATTTCAATTTGGAATGTGTATGAATAATTGACTTTTAGAATGAGAGCTTTATTTTGAGATGTGTAAGATAATTTGACCAAATCTGAAAATAGTATTAGAATGTTTAAATAAGGTGAGCTACACTATATTTATAGGTTTAACTTACTAGATTTGTAAGAATTGTGAAAGTAACAGAAAGGGTTTTCTTATTAAGATAGGCATTTTTTAAGGCTTTGAAGAAAATTAAATTTTTAAAATTTATAAGTGGATTTTATTTCCTTTAAGAGAATATAAGTTGTAAATAGGGCTAGTTTTTAAAGAGTTTAGTCTATAAAACTTAAGTTACTCAAATAATTTTTTACAAAGTAAAATGATTGTTCTTATTTTCTACACATATAAAAAGAAAACAAAGATTTGTAAGTTGCACTTAACGGCTTGGAGAGAATTAAATTTTAAAATTTTTCGCCATAATAAATTGATATTCATTTTTAAATACATTGTTTCTCTGTACACAAATTATTTTCGCTGTACAGAGATTATTTCCTTAGATTGTCTAGGTAGATGATCATTTCATATGAAATAATGTCAGTTTTGTCATTGATATGTCATTTATGCCTTTTGTCAGTTTTGTCATTTATACTTTTTACACCTGCTTCTTGTTTGTACACTGGCCAAAACCTGAGTGGTAATGGTGGCTGTCCATGTTTTATTCCTGATTATGGTAATATTTCACCATTAAGTATGAGGTATGCTATCAGTTCTTGAATATAAGTTTTGCCTCATCAAAGATATTTTTCTATTTCTAGTTTAAACAACTTTTAAAATCATAAACAAATATTGATTTTGAAATACACTTTTTTCAGCCTCTGTTGAAAAGACCAAAATCTTTTTCACTTTAATCTGCTAACAGAGAATTACATTAATACATTTTCTCATACTGAAACTTTAGTAAAGTAAATCCTAACAGGTCATAATATATTAACATACCATTGAATTTTACTTGGAAATTAAAATTTTTTTTACATTTATGTTCATAAATGAAATCAGTCTATAATTGTATCATATGTTATCTCTGGATTTTTCTTTTTCATTTTTAATGAACTTTATTTTTCAGAGTGGGCTAAGGTTCACAGCAAAATTGAGCAGAAAGTACAGAGAGTTTCCATGTACTCTCTGTCTGCACATATGCACAACCTCCCCTACGACTGACACCTTGCACCACAGTGGTACATTTGTTACAATCAGTGAACCTAGGTTGACATGTAACTGTCACGCAAAGTCCATAGTTTACATTAGGGTTTACTCTTGGTGTTGTACATTCTATGGATTTTGACAACTGTATAATGACATGTATCCACCATTGTAGTATCATACAGAATAGTTTCACTGTTCTAAAATTCCGTGCTCTGCCTACTAATCCCTCCCTCCCCTCTAACGCCTGGCAATCATTAATCTTTTTACTGTCTCTGTACTTTTGTGTTTTCCAGAATGTCATATAGTAGAATGATACAGTATGTAGCCCTTCCATATTGACTTCTTTCACTTAGTAATATACACTTAAGTTTCCTCCATATCTTTTCATGGCTTGATAGCTCATTTCTTTTTAGTGCTGAATAATATTCAATTGTCCGAATGTTCCACAGTTTTTTTAATCCATTCACCTACTGAAGGACATCTTGGTTGTTTCCAAGTTTTGGCAATTATGTATAAGGCTGTTATAAACATCTATGTTTAGGTTTTTCTAAACATGTTTTCAATTCATTTGGGTAAATACCAAGGAGTAAAATTACTGGATCATATGATAAGAGTACGTTTAGTTTTCTGAGAAACTGCCAAACTATCTTTCAGAGTGGCTATAGCATTTTTCATTCCCAACTGCAATGAATGAGAGTTCCTGTTGCTCCATATTCTTGGCAGCATTTGGTGTTGTCAGTGTTTTGGATTCAGACCATTCTAATGGGTATGTAGTGGTATCTCATTATTGTTTTAACTAGCAATTCTCTAGTGACACATGCTGTTGAGCATCTTTTCATACGCTTGCTTGCCATCTGTCTATCTTCTTTGGTGGGATATCTATTCGGGTCTTTTGCCCATTTTTTAATTGGGTTGTTTGTGTTCTTATTGTTGAGTTTTTGTTTTATTTTGTTTTTTTTGAGACGGAGTTTTGCTCTTGTCACCCAGGCTGGGGTGTAATGGTGCAATCTCAGCTCACTGCAACCTCCACCTCCTGGGTTCAAGTGATTATCTAGCCTTGCCTCTTGAGTAGCTGGGATTACAGGCATGTGCCACCATGCCCAGCTAATTTTTGTATTTTTAGTAGAGATGAGGTTTCATCATGTTGGCCAGGCTGGTCTTGAACTCCTGACGTAAGGTGATCCACCCGCCTCAGCCTCCCAAGGGATTACAGGCATGAGCCACCACACCCAGCTTATTGTTGAGTTTTAAGAGTGCTTTGTATATTTCAGATAACAAACCATTAACAGATGTGTCTTTTGCAAATGTATTCTCCCTGTCTATGGCTTGTCATTTCATTCTCTTGACACTGTCTTCCCCAGAGAAAAAGGATTTAATTTTAATGAAGCTTAGCTTATTAATTATTTCTTTCATGGATCATGCTTTAGGCGTATGAAAAAGATCATTGCTATATCCAAGGTCATCCAAATTTTCTCCTGTATTATCTTCTAGGAGCTTTATAGTTTTGCATTTTATATTCAGGTCTATGATCCGTTTTGAGTTAATTCTTATAAGGGGTATAAGGTGTATTCTAGATTCTTTTTTTTGAGGGGGGGATGTCCAGTTCTTCCAGCATTGTATGTAGAAAAGACTTTCACTGCTTCATTGTATTGGCTTCATTCTTTTGTCAAAAATCAGTTTACAATATTTATGTGGGTGAGGGTCTATTTCTGGCCTCTCTATTTTGTTCCATTGATCTATTTGGCTATTTTTTTCACTAATACCACACCCTCTTGATTAATGTAGCTTTATAAGAAGTTTTGAATTCAAGTAATGTCAGTCCTCCAACTTTATAATTCTATTTCAATATTATGTTGGCTATTCTGGGTCTTTTGCCTCTTGATATAAATATTATAATCAGTTTTTCAATACCCAGAAAATAACTTGCTGGGATTTTGACCAGGATTGTGTTGAATCCAGAGATCAAGTTGGGAAGAACAGACATTTTGACAATATTGACTCTTTCTATCCATAAAATATGGAATATTTCTCCATTCATTTAGTTCTTTGCTATCTTTTATCAGAATTTTTTAGTTTTCTTCATACAGATCTTGTACATACTTTGTTAGATTTACACCTTAGTATTCCCTTTTTTGAGGGTGCTACTAGAGATGATAATGTGTTGTTAATTCCAAACTCCACTTGTTTATTGCTGTATATAGAAAAGCAATTGACTTTTATATATTAGCCTTGTACCCTGCAACCTTGTAATAATCACTTATTAGTTCCAGAAGGTGGTGGTGGTTGTGGCAGCGGTGGTGGTGGCAGCGGTGGTGGTGGTGGTGGTGGTGGTGGTGATGGTGACGGTGTTATTGATTCTTTTGGATTTTCTATATGGACAATCATGTTACCTGTGAACAAAGAGAGTATTACTTCATTCCCAATCTGTTTCATTTCCTTTTCTTGTTTTATTGGCTTAGCTAGAACTTTCAGTATGATGTTGAAAAGCAGTGGTGAGAGAGGAAGGACATCCTTGCCTTTCTCCTGATCTTACTGGAAAAGCCTTGAGTTTGTCAACATGATGTATGATGTTAACCGCAGGGTTTTTAAAAAATGTTTTCTAAAATCAGGTTGAGGTAGTTCCCTTCAATTACTAGTTTGCTGAGAGTATTACTCTATCATGAATGAGTGTTAGATTTTGTTAAATGCTTTTTCTGTATCTATTGGTATGTTCATGCCATATTTCTTCTTTAGCTTATCATTGTGATAAATTACGTTAACTGATTTTTGAATGTTGAACGAACCTTGCATACCTGGGTTAAACCTCAATTAGTTGTGGTGTTTAATTCTTTTTATACACCATTGAATTAGATTTGCTAATATTTTGTTAATAATTTTTGCGTCTATGTTCATGAGAAATATTGGTCTGTAACTTTTTTGTAGTGTCTTTATCTGGCCTTGGTATTACATTAATGCTGGGATCATAGAATAAAACACTGCTCAAAGAAATCAGCAATGACACAAACAAATGGAAAAACATTCCATGCTCATGAATAGAAAGAATCAAAAACAAACAGAATATACATTCCTCTCATCTGCACATGGCACATGCTCTAAAACTGACCACACAGTGAGACATAAAACAATCCTCAGCAAAAATTTTAAAAACAAATTTTTATTTTATTTTATTTTATTTATTTATTTATTTGAGATGGTGTCTCACTGTGTTGCCTGGGCTGGAGTGCAGTGGCATGATCTTGGCTCACTGTAACCTCTGCCTCCCTGGTTCAAGCAATTCTCCTACTTCAGCCTCCCAAGTAGCTGGGATTACATGTGTGCACCACCACGCCCAGCTAATTTTTGTATTTTTAGTAGAGACAGGGTTTCACCATGTTGGCCGGGCTGGTCTTGAACTCCTTACCTCAGGTGATCCACCCAGCTCAGCCTCCTACAGTGCTGGGATTACAGGCATGAGCCACTGCACCCAGCCCCAAAATTTTAAAAAGCAAAATCGTACCACACTCTTGGACCACAGAGCAATAAAAATAGAAACCGATACTAAGAAAATCACTCAAAATCACACAAGTACATGGAAATTAAACAACCTGCTTCTAAATGACTGTGGGGTAAATAATGAAATTAAGGCAGAAATGAAGAAATTCTTTGAAACTAATGAGAACAAAGATACAACATACCAGAATCTCCGGGACACAGCCAAAGCAGTGTTAAGGAGGAAGGAAGTTTATAGCACTAAACACCAACATCACAAAATTAGAAAGATCTCAAATTAACAATATAATATCGCAACTAGAGGAACTAGAGAAACAAGAGCAAACCAATCCCAAAACTAGCAGAAGACAAGAAATAACTAAAATCAAAGCTGAGCTGAAGGAAACTGAGACATCAAAAACCATGTGGAAGAACAAAGAATCCAGGAATTTATTCTTTGAAAAAAGTTAATATAGACTGCTAGCCAGACTAATAAAAAAGCAGAAGATCCAAATAAACACAATCAGAAATGACAAAGGGGACACTACCACGGACCCGAAAGAAATACAAAAACCCCTCAGAGACTACTGTGAACAGCTGTATGCACACAAGCTAGAAAACCTAAAAGAAATGGATAAATTCCTGCAAACATACAGTCTTCCAAGACTGAACCACAAAGAAATTGAATCCTCAAACAGACCAATAATGAGTTCTAAAACTGAACCAGTAATAAAAAGCCTACCAACCAGTGGTTCAGGCCTCCAATCCTAGCACTTTGGGAGGCTGAAGGTGGGCAGATTTCCTGAGCTCAGGAGTTTGAGACCAGCCTGGGCAACATGGTTAAACCCCGTCTCTACTAAAATACAAAAAATTAGCCAGGTGTGGTGGAGTGCACCAGTAGTCCTAGCTACTTGGGAGGCTGAGGCACAAGAATTGCTTGAACCTGGGAGGTGACAAAGTGAGACTCTGTCTCCAAAAAAAGAAGAGCTGGTGCCATTCCTAATGAGACTACTCCAAAAAATTGAAGAGGAGGGACTCCTCCCCAATTCATTCTATGTGGACAGCATCATGCTGATACCAAAACCTGGCAGAGATACAACAAAAAAAGAAAAGTTCAGGCCAATATCCTCTATGAACATAGATAAAAAATTCTCAACAAAATACTAGCAAACTGAATCCAGGAGCACATACAAAAGACAATTCACCACAATCAAGTAGGCTTTATCTCTAGGATGCAAGGTTGGTTCAACATATGCAAATCAATAAATGTAATTCATCACATAAACAGAACTAAAAACAAAAAAATGCCTATTTCAATAGATACAGAAAAGACTTTTGATAAAATTTAACATTGCTTAATGTTAAAAACCCTCAACAAAGTGGGCACTGAATAAACATACTTCAAAATAATAAGAGCTATCTATAATAAACCTACAGCTAACATGATACTGGATAGGCAAAAGCTGGAAACATTCCCCTTAAAAACTGGCACAAGACAAAGATGCCCTCTCTCATCACTCCTACTCATGTAGTACTGGAAGTCCTGGCCAGAGCAATCAGGCAAGAGAAAGAAATAAAAGGCATTCAAATGTAAAGAGAGGAAGTCAAACTGTTGCTATTTGCAGACAATATGATTCTATATCAGAAAACCCCATAGTCTCTGCCCAAAGGCTCCTTGATCTGATGAACAACTTCAGCAAAGTTTCAGGAC
The DNA here is from genome assembly GCF_000001405.40 of Homo sapiens. Taxonomy (NCBI): domain Eukaryota; kingdom Metazoa; phylum Chordata; class Mammalia; order Primates; family Hominidae; genus Homo; species Homo sapiens. The sequence goes on from NC_000014.9 coordinate 54,017,855, forward strand.
ATAAAATCAATGTACAAAAATGAATAGCATTCCTATACAACAACAATATTCAAGCTGAGAGCTAAATCATGAACACAATCCCATTCACAATAGCCACAAAAAGAATAAAATACCTGGGAATACAGGTAATCAGGAAGATGAAAGATCTCTACAATAAAAATTATAAAACTCTGCTCAAAGAAATTAGAGATGACACAAACAAATGGAAAAATATTCCATGCTTGGGGACTGGAAGAATCAATATCATTAAAATGGCCATACTACCCAAAGCAATTTACACATTCAATGCTATTTCTATAAAACTACCAATGACATTCTTCATAGAATTAGGAAAAACTATTTAAAATTTCATATGGAACAAAAAAAGAGCCTGAAGAGCAAAGGTAATCTTAAGCAAAAGGAACAAAGCTGGAGGCATCACATTACCCAACTTCAAACTATACTACAAGCTTACAGTAACCAAAATAGCATGGTACTGATACAAAACAGACATATAGACCAATGGGACAGAATAGAGAGACCAGAAATAATGACACACACCTACAACCATCTGACCTTGACAAAATCAACAAAAACAAGCAATGGGGAAAGGACTCCCTATTTAATAAATGGCGCTGGGCTAACTGGCTAGCCATTTGCAGAAAATTGAAACTGGACCCCTTCCTCACATCATATACAAAAATTAACTCAAGATGGATTAAAGACTTAAACATAAAACCAAAACTGTAAAAACCCTGAAAGATAACCTAGGAAATACCATTCTGGACAGAACATTTGGCAAAGATTTCATGAGTAAGATGCCAAAACCAATTGCAACAAAAACAAAAACTGACAAATGAGATACAGTTAAACAAGAGCTTCCAAACAGCTAAAGAAACTATCAACAGAGCAAACAGACAACATACAGAATGGGAGAAAATATTTCAAATTATGCATCCAACAAAGGTCTAATCTCCAGAATCTATAAGGAATTTAAACAAGTTAACAAGCAAAAACAACCCCATTAAAAAGTGGGTAAAGGACATGAACAGAAGACGAAAGAAGACATACATGCAGCCAACAACCATATGAAAAAATGCCAAATACTTAAAGCCAACTGATCTTCGACAAAGCATGCAAGCACATAAATTGGGGAAAGGACATCCTATTCAATAATGGTGCTGGGAAGACTGGCAAGCCACATTTAGAAGAATGAAACTGAATCCTCATCTTTCACCTTATACAAAAATCAACTCAAGATGCATCATAGACTTAAATCTAAGACCTGAAACCATAAAAATTCTAGAAGATAATATCAGAAAAACTCTTCTAGACATTGGCTTAGGCAAATAATTCATGATTAAGATGTCAAAAGCAAATTCAACAAAACCAAAAATAAATAAAATGAGTTCTAATTAAACTAAAAGGCTTCTGCACAGCAAATAATAATAATAATAATCAGCAGAGTAAACAGACAGCTCACAGAGTGTGAGAAAATATTCACAAATTATGCATCTGACAAAGGACTAATATCCAGGATCTACAAAGAACTCAAATGAATCAGCAAGAAAAAAAAACCACAAATAATCCCATCAAAAAGTGGCAAAGGACATAAATAGACAATATCAAAAGAAGATATATGAACAGCCAACGAACATATGAAAAAATGCTCAATATCAGTAATTATCAGGGAAATAAAAATTAAAATCACAGTGAGATACCACCGTACTCCTGCAGGACTGGCCATAATTAAAAAGTCAAAAAATAATAGATGTTGGCGTGGATGTGGTATAAAGGGAAGACTTTTACACTGCTGGTGGGAATGTAAACTAGTACAACCACTATGGAAAACAGTACGGAGATTCCTTAAAGAACTAAAAAGAGAACTACCATTCGATCCAGCAATCCCACTACTGGGTATCTACCCAAATGAAAAGAAGTCATTATATAAAAAAGACACACGCACACACATGTTTATAGCAGCACAATTTGCTATTGCAAAAACATGGAACCAACCTAAGTGCCCATCAACCAATGAGTGGATAAAGCAAATGTGGTATATATACAGCATGGACTACTACTCAGCCAGAAAAAGGAATAAAATAACCTCTTTTGCAGCAACTTGGACGGATTTGGAGGCCATTCTTTTTTTTTTTTTTTTTTTTTTTTTTTTTGGAGATGGAATCTCACTTTGTTGCCCAGGCTGGAGTGCAGTGGCACAATCTTGGCTCACTGTAACCTCCGCCTCCCAGATTCAAGCGATTCTTCTGCCTCAGCCTCCTGAGTAGCTGGGATTACAGGCACGTGCTACCACGCCTGGCTAATTTCTGTATTTTTAGTACAGATGTGGTTTCATCATGTTGGCCAGGCTTGTCTCAAACTTCTGACCTCAGGTGATCTGCCTGCTTTGGCATCCCAAAGTGCTGGGATTACAGGTGTGAGCCACCACGCCTGGTGGAGGGCATTATTCCAAGTGAAGTAACTCAGGAAGGGAAACTCAAATATCATTTGTTTTCACTTACAAGTGGGAGCTAAGCTACAATGATGCAGAGGCATAAGAATGATATAATGGACCTTGAGGACTCGAGGGGGAAGCCTGAGAGGGGGATGAGGGATCAAAGACTACATATTGGGTACTGTGTACACTGCTCAGGTGATGGGTGCATCAAAATCTCAGAAATCACCACTAAAGAACTTCTCATGTAACCAAAAACCACCTGTATCCCAAAAACTATTGAAATTGAAAAAAAAATATTCAAAATCACTAATTATTAGGGAAATGCAAATCAAAACCACAGTGAGATACCATTTCATATCAGTCAGAATGGCTATTATGAAAAAGTCAAAAAAATAAAAGACGCTGACAAGGTTGTGGAGGAAAGGGAATGCTTGTATACTGCTGGTGGGAATGTAAATTAGTTCAGCCATTGTGGAAAGCAGTTTGGCAATCTGTCAAAGAACTCAAAGCAGAATTACCATTCAACCCAGCAATCCCATGATTGGGTATATATACCCAGGAGAATATCAATTGTTCTACCCTAAAGACACACACACACACATGTTCATCACAGCAATATTCACAATAGCAAAGACATGGAATCAACCTAAATGCCTATCAGCAGTTGACTGGATAAAGAAAATGTGGTATATATATATACACCATGGAACACTATGCAGCCACAAAAAAGAATGACATCATGTCCTTTGCAGCAACATGGAGGCCATTATCCTAAGCGAACTAACAAAGGAACAGAAAACCAAATACTGCATGTTCTGACTTACAAGTGGGAGCTAAACATTGAGCATATAAGGACACAAAGAAGGGAACAACAGACACTGGGGCCTACTTTAGGGTGGAGGGAGAGAGGAGCCAGAGGATCAAAAAACTACCTATTGGGTACTACGCATATTACCTGGGGGATGAAATAATCTGTACATCAAACCTCCATGACACGCAAATTATCTATACAAAAAATCTGCACATGTACCCCGAACCTAAAATAAAAGTTTGAAGAAAAAAAGAAATTGTTTTTTCTACTTCTAACTTCTAAGAGAGATTGCAGAGAAATTGTAAGATTTCTTCCTTACACAGTGGAATTCAACAGTGAATTCATTTGGGCTGGTGCTTTCTGTTTTGAAAGCTTATTAATTATTCATTAAATTTCTTTGATATAAGCCTGCTCAGATTGTCTATTTCTTCTTGGGTAGGTTTTAACAGATGGTGTCTTCCAAAGATTTGTCGATTTCATGTAGGATATTAAATTCATGGGCATGTAGTAGTCCATAGTATTCCTTTATTGTCATTTTAATGTCCATGGGATCTGTCCTTTTCCCTTCTTTCATTTCCATAATTTGTGGTCTCTCTCTTATCTTCTTAGAAGTTGCACATAATTCTTGCCTTTGCTCTTCAAGGGGGGTTAAGTGTTTATTACCTCTGGCTTCTTTCAAGATCTTTTCTTTAACTTTGATTTCTGAAGTTTGAATATAATATGCCTAGATGTCAGGTTTCTTTGGCCATTTATCCCGTTCAGTGCTCTCTAAGCTTCCTTGGCCTGTGATTTGGCGTCTGACATTAATTTGGGGGAAACTCTCACTGATTATTGCTTCACCTATTACATCTGTCCCTTTCTCTGCTTCTCCTTCTTGTACTCACATTATACAGAGTTAACATCTTTTGTAGTTGGGCCACAGTTCTTGGATATTCTGTTTTGTTTCTTTTCCCAATCTTTCTTTTCTTTACTTCTCAGTTTTGGAAGTTTCTATTGTTACTTCCTCAAGTTCAGGGATTCTTTCATCAAGCTGGTAATGAGCCTATCAAAGGCATTCTTCATTTCTGATACAATGTTTTGATCTCTAGCATTTCTTTTTTATTCCTTCTAATATATATGCTTAAATTATCTATCTGTTTTTGCATTTTAAAACAGTTTGAATTAGTGACAGTTTTCCACTAAAGCCCTTGGCATACTAATCAGAGTTTTAAAAAAATTCCTGATCAGATAACTCCAACATTTTTACCATAACGTACTTCTCATTCTGATGCTTGTTTGGTCTCTTCAATCTGGTTTTTTAAAAAATCTTTTATGATTATTATTATTATCTTTAGAGACAGGGTCTCACTATGTTGCCTAGTCTGGCCTTGAACTCCTGGACTCAAGTGATCCTCCCACCTCAGCCTCTTAAGTAGCTGGGAATACAGGCACGCACCATTGCCCCTTGCTTTACCTTTTAGTATGCCTTGTACTTTTTTATTGAAAGGTAGACCTGCTGTATTGAGTAAAAGGAACTGCAGTAAATAGGCTGTTAGTAATGTAGTGGCAAGGGGAAGCATTCTACAGTCTTATAATCAGGTCTCAGTCTTTGGGTGAGCCTCTGCCCCTGGACTGTGAATTTCAGCAGTGTTTCTCAATTTTGTTTTTTCCACCTTAGGTGGGACAGGATGGCTAAAGGGAATTGGCATTGGGTATTTTCCTTCCCCTACATGGAAAGCTAGAGTTGGCTACAACTCTATGGATATTTGTATTCCCCCAGGTTGGTTACTCTGATAATATGCCAGCAGACTGGCTCTGATAAAATAGCTTCTCTTCAGGGAAGGCCTTGCTAAAAAGAGCAGAATGCACTGGCATATTTTAAAATGGTTTCTTGTCTCCTTCCCCAGCGGAAACACGAGAGGCTTTTTCTCTGATATTCACTGTTAGGACCTGGTAGAGTTCCTGGAGGCAGAACAAAATTGTGAGAACCTTTCCTCACAACCCCACTGCACCCTCTCCCCCGGAAGATTGGAAGTCCCCTAGAGTTTGTAATTTTCACAGTTGTCCACATTGGGCCTCTGGTAATGCTTCACTTTCAGTGTATGTTTTCCTACACTGGTACTCGTTGCCACAGAGGTGTATGCTCACAGGTTTCTGTTCACACAAGCTGTGATTTTCTGTATCCACCTGTCAGTCACTCTAATTTGGGGAGGCTGCAGTTAGTCCTGTGACCTCACTTCTCTGATGGGTCTCAGATTGCTGCTGATTTTTCAGTTTATTCAGACTTTTACTTATTATTAGGACAGAGTGGTGAACTTCTAAGCTCCTTACATGCTGGACCAGAAACAGAAAGTCCCTTGACTAGTTTTATATCAGAGTTTTGCCAGCCACATAGTATTTTTTCATTTAATTTTTTAAAAGAATATTCAAATTTATTTAAATAGGCAGATAAAATTCTATGTATTTATTATTTACAATATAATGTTCTGAAGTATACACACATTGTGAGATGATAAAATCTAGCTAATTAACATATGCATTACCTCATACTTAACATTTTTGCAGTAAGAACACTTACCATCCACTCTCTTAGCATTTTTCAAGAATACAATATATCGTCATTAACTATAGTCATCATGCTGTACAATAGATCTTTTGAACTTATTCTGCCTATCTAACTGTACTTTTGTATCCTTTGACAAACATCTCCGCAACTTCCCCACCAGCCACCTCAACGTCTGGCAACCACCATTCTACTCGCTGTTTCTGCAAGACCAACTTTTTTAGATTCCATATATGAGTGAGACCATGTGGTGTTTGTGTTTCTGTGCCTGGCTTATTTCACTTAACATAATGTCCTCCAGGTTTATCCATGTGGTTGGAAATGACAGGATTTCCTTCTTTTTACAGCCGAATAATATTTATATATATATATGATATATCTGATATCTGATATATATAAGATATTCATATATACATATGACATATATATCACATTTTCTTTATCCATTCATCTGTTAATGGACATGGGTTGATTCCATATCTTGACTATTGTGAACAGGGGTAAAATAAACATGGGAGTGCTTAGATGTCTCCCCAACATACTAACTTTATTTCCTTTGGATATATACCCAACAGTGGGATTATTAAATCATATGGTAGTCTTATTTTTAATTTTCTGAGGAAACTATATACTGTCTTCCATAATGGCTGTACTAATTTGCATTCCCTTAGTGTGCAAGGATTCCCTTTTCTCTACATTAGTGTTCTCATCAACACTTATCTTTTGTCGTTTTGATAATAGCCATTCTAACAGGAGTGAAGTGATATATCACTGTGGTTTTTTTTTATTTGCATTTCCATGATGATTAATGATGCATTTTTTCATATGCCTATTGGTCATTTGCATGTCTTTTGCCTATTTTTAAATTGGGTTGTTTTTTTGCTATTGAGTTGTTTGAATTCCCTATATATTTTGGATATTAACCCTTGTATTAGAAGTATAATTTGCAAATATTTTCCACTATTCTGTAGACTGTCTCTTTACTCTGTTTCCTTTGCTGTCTTTTTAATTTGATGTAATCTCATTTGTCTATTTTTGCTTTTGTCTCCTGTGTTGTTGAGGTCATATCCAAAAAGAGCATTTCCCAGGCCAATATTGTGGGGATTTTCCCCTATTTTTTTTTTTTTAGTAGTTCTATGGTTTTGGGTTTTACATTAATCCATTTTGAGTTGATCTTTGTATATGGTGTGAGGTAAGGGTCTAATTTCATTCTTCTGTATTTGGATATCCAGTTTTCACCACTGTGTGTTCTTGGCACCTTTGTCAAAAATCAACTAGGTGTAAATGTCATTTAGTTTATATGGCCTAGGAATTATCTAATATTTAAGAATGTGGTACAATTTGCACGTAAGACTATCTGAACCTGGTGCCTTTTTTCAGAGTGGTAGGCCTTTTACTATCTTTTTTTATTTTATTCCTTTTATTAGCCTATTTCAGATTTTTTTTTACCTCCTTTAGTTAATTTTGATAATTTGCAGTTACCTAGAAAATTATCGATTTAATCAAGATTTTCAAGTCTATTGATATACACTTACAGACAGATTCTTCTCTTTTTTTTGAGACAGAGTCTCACTCTGTCACGAGGCTGGAGTGCAGTGGCGTGATCTCAGCTCACTGCAACCTCCACCTCCCATGTTCAAGTGATTCTCCTGCCTCAGCCTCCCAAGTAGCTGGAACTACAGGCACACACCACCGTGCCCAGCTAATTTTTTTGTATTTTTAATAGAGGCAGGGTTTCACCATGTTGGCCAGGATGGTCTCGATCTCTTGACTCCGTGATCTGCCCACCTCGGCATCCCAAAATGCTGAGATTACAGGCGTGAACCACCACACCCAGCCTAAAGACAGATTCTTAAATAATTTTTCCTATCTACCATTTTGTTGCCTTTCTCATTCCAAATATTTATTTGCCATTCTCTCTGTATTAATCTATTAGTGGAATAGCAATAGTTTTTGTCTATTTCATAAGTCTTTTCAATTTATGACCTATAGGTTTTATTGTTAAAATCTTTTTTGTGGTTGTTGTAGTTTAAAAGTATTTCTGTTTTTGTCTCTATTATGCCTCTCTTCAATTTCGTTTATTTATCTTTTCTAGTTTTATGAGTTGAGTGCTTTAAGGAAGACAATTTCATATAAGACTGTTTATTCCAGTAAGGTTAATTCCTACCCCCTGCCAACAATAAAAGTCCAATATCATTATTCTGCCACCAGGTGGCTGGCCAGTGATACTGATTTATGGTGACATAGCAGGGCTCAGTGTTAATCTCTGATGTTGGCAAAGTAGACACACAGCAGTGAAAGAAGCCATATCCCACATATATAATTTTCATCCTTCCCACCACACTTTCAATAAGCTCACTGAGCAATCACTGGAGTGGCCAAGGAAAGTGGCTGCTGACTTACATCCCTGAACTGGCCATCTGGTCCATCCTTTGCCATCTGATTGAGAAAGTCCTTAGTTTTGAGGGCCATTGGTGAGCATTCATAAGGCACCAATACTGACACACTCTGGACCTAAGGTGGGGAAATGGGAGTGGTTCAACAGGTGCAGGTGATAAGAAGTGCATTGTTGGCAGATAATTTAAATAATAATAATAATAATGGCAACTACGATTTAATCTTCTTCTTCTTAGCACCATCTGCTAGCAATTCCAAACAATGCCAGTTCACAATACTCCCTCTCAAAAAACTTTCTGCTGGTCTAAGTTCTAAAAAGTTGCTTGTACCTGGGGCAAGCCACTCCTACCACCCACCCTTGGTATAATAGAGGTTTCCATCCACTTACCCTGCCCCTAGATCCTCTCATTATCAATCCTCAGTATTGTTCTTCTCTAGTCCCTGATGACCCAGACAAGTATTAGCCACTGATTATAAGTCATTTTAGACTCGTAATGCAGGACAACTTTCTTTCCAGGATATGTGAAGAAAAGATATTCCACATATAATTCTGCCTATTACAGAGAGGATTTCTCTTCATCATTGTCCTTGTCATCACACACAATTGAGGTTAATGAGAACAGTCTGCATATAGCACAGTATCACCTAAAAATCAAGTTTAATGTTTTGCTTCTTTAATCAACTGGTCATAGGGTACTCCTCCCACCCATGAAGCTATGTAAGCAGGTAGAAGGTGATGTGGCTATGCATCAACAGTAGGAACACTGAGAATGTGAGCCGCTTGCTCACACAACTCACTGGTACATTTAAGGCCTGCTTAAACTCAGTCTTATGTCACTTGCTTAGCCTTGTTGAGTAAGTGCTGCTAGGCAACCCAATTTTATGACTTGATAAGTAAGATAATACCCATTCATGATAGGCAGTCTTGCAGCAAACTAGATAGAACCCACATCTAGGATAGGAGCTGATTGGAGTTACTATTACTACCTAACTAATTTTACAATAATCGACTGATATTCTCCAAAATTACTTGTTATTACTAGGTAACTTGTCATGAAGATAGGAGGATTCACCACTCCTTTGTCTTTCAACTTTGTGATGATGTTAATAATTTCTGCAATACCTCCAGGTATAAAGTATTGCTTCTGATGTATTGTTCATCTGTGTTCTTGAAGTTATTTGCATAAAATTGTTCATACTACCCCTTTACTATCCTTTTAATGCCTCTAGGATCAGTAGTGATGACCTCTCTTTCATTCCTGACAACTGTGACTTGTACATTCTCTTTTTTCTCTGTCTTACTATATTTTAATCAATTTTATTAACATTTTCAAAGAACAAACTTTTGACTTTGTTACTTTTCTCTATTTTCTGTCCCTTTTCTATGTAAATTGCTTTTCATTCTTGTATGTATCATTTTCATATTTCTTCTTAATTTTGGTTCAATTTCCTCCTTTTTCTGTCATCTTCAAGTAGAAGTGTAGATCATTTATTTTAAGCATTTTTTCTAAAATAAACACTTAAAAGTATAAATGTCCTTCTATGCACTGCTTTAGCTGTTTCCTACAAATATGAAATACCTTCATTATCATGTAGTTCAAAATACCTTTTTCTCAAGTTGAGAATTCTTTTATTTATTTATTTACTTATTTTTTAAATTATACTTTAAGTTCTAGGGTACATGTGCACAACGTGCAGGTTTGTTACATATGTATACATGTGCCATGTTGGTGTGCTGCACCCATTAACTCGTCATTTACGTTAGGTATATCTCCTAATGCTATCCTTCGCCCCTTCCCCCACCCCACGACAGGCCCCCAGTGTGTGATGTTCCCCATCCTGTGTCCAAGTGTTCTCATTGTTCAATTCCCACCTATGAGTGAGAACAAGCAGTGTTTGGTTTTCTGTCCTTGCGATAGTTTGCTCAGAATGATGGTTTCCAGCTTCATCCATGTCCCTGTAAAGGACATGAACTCATCCTTTTTTATGGCTGCATAGTATTCCATGGTGTATATGTGCCACATTTTCTTAATCCAGTCTATCATTGTTGGACATTTGGGTTGGTTCCAAGTCTTTGCTATTGTGAATAGTGCCACAATAAACATATGTGTGCATCTGTCTTTATAGCAGCATGATTTATAATCCTTTGGGTATATACCCAGTAATGGGATGGTTGGGTCAAATGGTATTTCTAGTTCTAGATCCTTGAGGAATCACCACACTGTCTTCCACAATGGTTGAACTAGTTTACAGTCCCACCAACAGTGTAAAAGTGTTCCTATTTCTCCACATCCTCTCCAGCACCTGTTGTCTCCTGACTTTTTAATGATTGCCATTCTAACTGATGTGAGAAGTTACCTCATTGTGGTTTTGATTTGCATTTCTCTGATGGCCAGTGATGATGAGCATTTTTTCATGTGTCTGTTGGCTGCATAAATGTCTTCTTTTGAGAAGTGTCTGCTCATATCCTTCACCCACTTTTTGATGGGGATGTTTGATTTTTTCTTGTCAATTTATTTAAGTTCTTTGTAGATTCTGGATATTAGCCCTTTGTCAGATGGGTAGATTGTAAAAGTTTTCTCCCATTCTGTAGGTTGCCTCTTCACTCTGATGATAGTTTCTTTTGCTGTGCAGAAGCTCTTTAGTTTAATTAGATCCCATTTGTCAATTTTGGCTTTTGTTGCCATTGCTTTTGGTGTTTTAGACATGAAGTCCTTGCCCATGCCTATGTCCTGAATGGTATGGCCTAGGTTTTCTTCTAGGGTTTTTATGGTTTTAGGTCTAACATTTAAGTCTTTAATCCATCTTGAATTAATTTTTGTATAAGGTGTAAGGAAGGGATCCAGTTTCAGCTTTCTACATATGGCTAGCCAGTTTTCCCAGCACCATTTATTAAATAGAGAATCCTTTCCCCATTTCTTGTTCTTGTTTTTGTCAGATTTGTCAAAGATCAGATGGTTGTAGATGTGTGGTATTATTTCTGAGGGCTCTGTTCTGTTCCATTGGTCTATATCTGTTTTGGTACCAGTACCATGCTGTTTTGATTACAGTAGCCTTGTAGTGTAGTTTGAAGTCAGGCAGCGTGATGCCTCCAGCTTTGTTCTTTTGGCTTAGGATTGTCTTGGCAATGCGGGCTCCTTTTGGTTCCATATGAATTTTAAAGTAGTTTTTTCCAATTCTGTGAAGAAAGTCTTTGGTAGCTTGATGGGGATGGCATTGAATCTATAAATTACCTTGGGCAGTATGGCCATTTTCACGATATTGATTCTTCCTCTCCATTAGCATGGAATGTTTTTCCATTTGTTTGTGTCCTCTTTTATTTTGTTGAGCAGTGGTTTGTAGTTCTCCTTGAAGAGGTCCTTCACATCCCTTGTAAATTGGATTCCTAGGTATTTTATTCTCTTTGAAGCAATTGTGAATGGGAGTTCACTCATGATTTGGCTCTCTGTTTGTCTGTTATTGGTGTATAGGAATGCTTGTGGTTTTTGCACATTGATTTTGTATCCTGAGACTTTGCTGAAGTTGCTTATCAGCTTAAGGAGTTTTTGGGCTGAGACAATGAGGTTTTCTAAACATACAATCATGTCGTCTGCAAACAGGGCCAATTTGACTTCCTCTTTTCCTATTTGAATACCCTTTATTTCTTTCCCCTGCCTGATTGCCCTGGCCAGAAATTCCAACACTATGTTGAATAGGAGTGGTGAGAGAGGGCATCCCTGTCTTGTGCCAGTTTTCAAAGGGAATGCTTCCAGTTTTTGCCCATTCAGTATGATAATGGCTGTGGGTTTGTCCTAAATAGGTCTTATCATTTTGAGATATGTTCCATCAATACGTAGTTTATTCAGTTTTTAGCATGAAGGGCTGCTGAATTTTGTCAAAGGCCTTTTCTACATCTATTGAGATAATCATGTGGTTGTCTTTGGTTCTGTTTATATGATGGATTGCCTTTATTGATTTGCATATGTTAAACCACCGTTGCATCCCAAGGATGAAGCCAACCTGATCATGGTCGATAAGCTTTTGATGTGCTGCTGGATTTGGTTTGCCAGTATTTTATTGAGGATTTTTGCATCGATGTTCATCAGGGATATTGGTCTAAAATTCTCTTTTTTTGTTGTGTCTCTGCCAGGCTTTGGTATCAGGATGACGCTGGCCTCATAAAATGAGTTAGGGAGGATTCCCTCTTTTTCTATTGATTGGAATAGTTTCAGAAGGAATGGTATCAGCTCCTCTTTGTACCTCTGGTAGAATTCGGCTGTGAATCCATCTGGTCCTGGACATTTTTTGGTTGGTAGGCTATTCATTATTGCCTCAATTTCAGAGCCTGTTATTGGTCTGTTCAGGGATTCAACTTCTTCCTGGTTTAGTCTTGGGAGGGTATATGTATCCAGGAATTTATCCATTTCTTCTAGATTTTCTAATCTATTTGCATAGAGATGTTTATAGTATTCTCTGACGGTAGTGTGTATTTCTGTGGGATTGGTGGTGATATCCCCTTTATCATTTTTTATTGCATCTATTTGATTCTTCTCTCTTTTGTTCTTTATTAGTCTTGCTAGTGGTCTGTCAATTTTGTTGATCTTTTCAAAAAACCAGCTCCTGGATTCATTGATTTTTTGAAGGGTTTTTTGTGTCTGTATCTCCTTCAGTTCTGCTCTGATCATAGTTATTTCCTGCCTTCTGCTACCTTTTGAATGTGTTTGCTCTTGCTTTTCTAGTTCTTTTAATTGTGATGTTAGGGTGTCAATATTAGATCTTTCCTGCTTTCTCTTGTGGGCATTTAGTGCTATAAATTTTCCTCTACACACTGCTTTAAATGTGCCCCAGAGAGTCTGGTATGTTGTGTCTTTGTTCTCATTAGTTTCAAAGAACATCTTTATGTCTACCTTCATTTCGTTATGTACCCAGTAGTCATTCAGGAGCAGGTGGCTCAGTTTTCATGTAGTTGAGCAGTTTTGAGTGAATTTATTAATCCTGAGTTCTAGTTTGATTGCACTGTGGTCTGAGAGACAGTTTGTTATAATTTCTGTTCTTTTACATTTGCTGAGGAGTGTTTTCCTTCCGTCAATTTTGGAATAAGTGTGATGTGGTGCTGAGAAGAATGTATATTCTGTTGATTTGGGGTGGAGAGTTCTGTAGATGTCTGTTAGGTCTGCTTGGTGCAGAGCCAAGTTCAATTCCTGGATATCCTTGTTAACTTTCTGTCTCTTTGATCTGTCTAATGTTGACAGTGGGGTGTTAAAGTCTCCCATTATTATTGTGTGGGAGTCTAAGTCTCTTTGTAGGTCTCTAAGGACTTGCTTTATGAATCTGGGTGCTCCTGTATTGGGTGCATATATATTTAGGATAGTTAGCTCTTCTTGTTGAATTGATCCCTTTACCATTATGTAATGGCCTTCTTTGTCTCTTTTGATCTTTGTTGGTTTAAAGTCTGTTTTATCAGAGAATAGGACTGCAACCCCTGCTTTTTTTTGTTTTCCATTTGCTTGGTGGATCTTCCTCCATCCCTTTATTTTGAGCCTATGTGTGTCTCTGCATGTGAGATGGGTCTCCTGAATACAGCACACTGATGGGTCTTGACTCTTTATCCAATTTGCCAGTCTGTGTCTTTTAATTGGAGCATTTACCCATTTACATTTAAGGTTAATATTGTTATGTGTGAATCTGATCCTGTCATTATGATGTTAGCTGGTTATTTTGCTCGTTAGTTGATGCAGTTTCTTCCTAGCCTCAATGATCTTTACAATTTGGCATGTTTTTGCAGTGGCTGGTACCAGTTGTTCCTTTCCATGTTTAGTGCTTCCTTCAGGAGCTCTTGTAAGGCAGGCCTGGTGGTGACAAAATCTCTCAGCATTTGCTTGTTTGTAAAGGATTTTATTTCTCCTTCACTTATGAAGCTTAGTTTGGCTGGATATGAAATTCTGGGTTGAAAATTCTTTTCTTTAAGAACGTTGAATACTGGCCCCCACTCTCTTCTGGCTTGTAGAGTTTCTACCGAGAGATCTGCTGTTAGTCTGATGCGCTTCCCTTTGTGAGTAACCCGACCTTTCTCTCTGGCTGCCCTTAACATTTTTTCCCTCATTTCAACTTTGGTGAACCTGACAATTATGTGTCTTGGAGTTGCTCTTCTTGAGGAGTATCTTTGTGACGTTCTCTGTATTTCCTGAATTTGAATGTTGGCCTGCGTTGCTAGGTTGGGGAAGTTCTCCTGGATAGTTCTCCTGTAGAGTGTTTTCCAACTTGGTTCCATTCTCCCCATCACTTTCAGGTACACCAATCAGATGTAGATTTGGCCTTTTCACATAGTTCCATATTTCTTGGAGGCTTTGTTCATTTCTTTTTACTCTTTTTTCTTTAAACTTCTCTTGTCACTTCATTTCATTCATTTGATCTTCAATCACTGATACCCTTTCTTCCACTTTATCGAATTGGCTACTGAAGCTTGTGTATGTGTCACGTAGTTCTCGTGCCAGGGTTTTCAGCCCCATCAGGTCATTTAAGATCTTCTCTACACTGTTTATTCTAGTTGGCCATTCATGTAATCCTTTATCAAGGTTTTTAGCTTATTTGCAATGGGTTCTTTGTGATGGGTTCGAACATCTTCTTTTAGCTCAGAGAGGTTTGTTATTACCGATCATCTGAAGCCTTCTTCTCTCAACTCGTCAAAGTCATTCTCCATCCAGCTTTGTTCCATTGCTGGTGAGGAGCTGTGTTCCTTTGGAGGAGAAGAGGCACTCTGATTTTCGGAATTTTCAGCTTTTCTGCTCTGGTTTCTCCCCATCTTTGTGGTTTTATCTACCTTTGGTCTTTGATGATGGTGACATACAGATGGGGTTTTGGTGTGGATGTTCTTTCTGTTTGTTAGTTTTCCTTCTAACAGTCAGGACCCTCACCTGCAGGTCTGTTGGAGTTTGCTGGAGGTCCACTCCAGACCCTGTTTGCCTGGGTATCACCAGCGGAGGCTGCAGAACAGCAAATATTTCAGAACGGCAAATGTTGCTGCCTGATCCTTCCTCTGGAAGCTTTGTCTTAGAGGAGCAACCAGCCGTATGAGGTGTCAGTCGGCCCCTATTGGGAGGTGCCTCCCAGTTAGGCTACTCGGGGGTCATGGACCCACTTGAGGAGGCAGTCTGTCCATTCTCAGATCTCAAACTCCATGCTGGGAGAAGCACTACTCTCTTCGAAGCTGTCAGACAGGGACATTTAAGTCTGCAGAAGTTTCTGCTGCCTTTTTTTCAGCTATGCCCTGCCCCCAGAGGTGGAATCTACAGAGGCAGGCAGGCCTCCTTGAGCTGCAGTGGGCTCCACCCAGTTCGAGCTTCCCAGCTGCTTTGTTTACCTACTCAAGCCTCAGCAATGGGGGACACCCCTCCCCCAGCCCTTCTGCCACCTTGCATTTTGATCTCAGCCTGCAGTGCTAGCAGTGAACGAGGCTCCGTGGGCGTGGGACCCTCTGAGCCAGGCATAGGATATAATCTCCTGGTGTGTTGTTTGCTAAGAGCATTAGAAAAGCACAGTGTTACGGTGGGAGTGTCCCGATTTTCCAGGTACTGTCTGTCATGGCTTCCCTTGGCTAGGAAAGGGAATTCCCCAACCCCTTGCACTTCCCGGGTGAGGTGATGCCCTGCCCTGCTTTGGCTGATGCTCCATGGGCTGCACCCACTGTCCGACAAGCCCCAGTGAGATGAACCCAGTACCTCAGTTGGAAATGCAGAAATCACCTGTCTTCTGCGTCGCTCATGCTGGGAGCTGTAGACTGGAGCTGTTCCTATTCGGCCATCTTGGAACCTCCCTCAAGATATCTTCTAATTTCCTTTGTAATATCTTCTTTGGTCAGTAAGTTATTTAGAAGTATACCATTTAATTTGCAGATATGTGGGAATTTTCTAGACAGTTTTTTGCTATTTATTATGAATTTAATTATATTCATTTCAGAGAACATATTCTGAATAATTTCAAGCCTCTGAAATTTATGAGATTTGTCTGATGGCCCAGCTTGTGGTATCCCCTGGTGAATGTTTCATGTGCTTTTAAGAAGAACATGTAATCTGCTATTGTTGTTGAAATGTTCTATAAATGTCAACTGAATCCAATTGGTTGAAATTGTTATTTACATTTTTCTGTATTCGTACTGATTTTCTTTCTGCTTATTTTATCAACTATGGAAAGAGGGCTGTTGAAATCTCTGATGTAACTGTGGATTTGTCTATTTTCCCTTTAATTCTGTCAAAGTTTTCTTCATGTACTCTGAAACTTTGATATTAGAGATATACACATATAATATTGCTGTCTTCTTGATTAATTGGTCCTTTATCTTTATGAAATGCCACTCATTATCTCTGTTAACACTTCTCATCTTGTAGTTTTCTTATCCAATCATAATTTAGCCTTACTAGTTTTCATATGAATTGTGCTTGCAGGACGTATCTTTTCCCAACTTTCCAATTTTTGTTTTCAGCAGTTTAAATATAATATGTATAGGTGTTTGTTGTGTATTTTTTGATTTGGTATTTCTTCTACTTGATGATCTCGGATGTTTTCGAAACATTTATTTGTAATTTGGTATTTATTATTACTTTTTGAAAATTCTTGGCCATTATTTTTTTCTCTCTTGTTTTAAGAAACAAAGTCTTGCTCTGTTGCCCAGGTTGGAGTGCAGTGGTGCAATCATAGCTCACTGCAGCCTTGAAATCCTTGGCTCATGTGATCCTCCTAAGTAGCTAAAACTACAGGTGCATGCCACCACATTTGGCTAATTTTTTTTTTTTTAAATATGGGGTCTCTTTACATTGCCCAGCTGGTCTCAAACTCTTGGCTTCAAGCAATACTCCCATCTCAGCCTCCCAAGTCACCAAGATTACAGGTGGGAGCCACTGAGCCTGGCTCTTGGCCATTATTTCTTCAGACATTTCTTCTGCCCTATACTCTCTCTCTCTTCTGCTACTGGAAGTCTAATTCACATATGTTTTATTATGTAATGGTCCACACCTCTTAGATGCTCTGCTCCACTTTTTTCCCCACTTATTTTCCTATTTTAGATAAGTAATTTCTATAGATCTACCTTCAAGTTTACTCATCCTCTTCATGACACTCTTGAATTTATGTATTATGTGCTTTCTTTGTGTCTGTTACCATATTTTCCAATTCTAGCATTTCCATTTGATTCTTACCTAGAGTTTCCATTTCTCTGCTGAATTATCCATCTGGTCTTGCATGTTATTCATTTTTTCCATCAGAGCCTTTGCCATATTATCATAGTTATTTTTAAATTATTTAGCACATAATTCCAACATATCTTGTCATATCTGTGTCTGGTTCTGATGATTGTTTTGCCTCTTGGAAGCTTTTTTTCTTGTCTTTTTGTATGTTTCATAATATTTTGTTGAAAGCCAACATCTTGTATAGGACAGCAGAACTGAGTTCAATAGTTTTTATCCCTGGAAATGGGCACACCTTTCTTTCCTCCAAAATTAGAGGTGGGGAGCCATGAGGTGTTCATCTATTTAGAAATTGGGCTGGGTTTGAGATTTATTGTTGCTATATAACCCTCAGTGCCCCCACAGGATCCAAAATCCTCTAATGATACCTTTTCCTTGGGTTGGGAACTTGTTTACCAGATGGGTGTTTTCAATGTCTGCTCCCCTTCAGTTTTCTGTCTTCCCTTTAAACTCTGCCTTAAAGAGAGTCCTCTCTCGCAAGTTGCTTGTTACTTAATGCCTGTTAGTCTAGCAGAGGGGAATGGGGCATTCTCAGTTATTGTATTAAACCTCAGTCTTAGGCAAGAACCATATTCCTTGGTTTCAGAAGTGTCCTTCTCACTAATTTGCAGCCCAGTTTGTATTTCTGCCTCTCCTGCAGAGGTAGAGAATTTTTTTAGTTTCTTCTCAAAGCTGCAATGGGTTTTCAACAAATCAGGAAATAGTGTTTGTTGTCCTTCCTGTCCCAGAATGAGACTTGTCCCATAAAAGAAGATAAAGAAGGAGGGTCCTGGTAGTGTTTAGTAGCCTCCTCATAGTGGTTGCTGTTCTTCTTCCTCGCTTCAGCATCACAAGGAAACTTTCCTAATGTTTTCTGTGAGCAAACAGTGGGTTCGCTGAAAAAAGTCTGGCAATAATATGTAGGCTTCCTTATATTTATAGCCCTCCAGAGCCTTCAGCCTTCTCTTACTGGTTGCACTCAGCCTCCATCAACATAGTGATTGCCCTGGCTGAACTTAATCTTACCATTTCTCAGAAATACCTTATCCCAGTAAGCTAGTGCTCATGTCACATCCACCCTTGTCTCTCCTCAAATTTTGGTCCAGCTGAACTTCTGGACTTTAATGTGTTCAAAAAAGTAGTGAACTTGCTGCCCATCTGGCTTTTTAAAATCATTAAGTTTGGGTGTGACATTCTTTCAAGCCCCCTACATCCTCAAGTGGAAAACCAACCTTTTAATTTTAATATATCTATGTCTTTATATTTAAATGTATCTTTAAACAGCATGGGGTTGAGGGTTTTTTTAAATCAATCTTATAATTTGTTCCTTTTAATTACATCTTTTTGTGCATTTAGATTTAATATGATCATTAATATGTTTGGGTTCAATTTACCAGCTTGTTATCTGTTTTTTTGGTAACACTTATTTTTTGCAACCTTGCTTCTCTTTACATGCCTTCTTTTGTATTAACAAAGTATTTTTAAAAATATTCCCATTTATATCTTCTACAATATATCTACCCCCCCAACTGTTCTTAAGATTTTCTTTTTATTTTGGTTTTCAACAATTTGACTATGATGTGAATAGGTATAGTTTACTTTGTATTTCTCATCTTTGGGTTTATTAATCTTGAAAAAATTTCAGTAATTATTTCTTTATTCTTCTGACCATTTTCTTCTATTTTTCTAAAACACCAAGTATATCTGTATTAGACTTTGTGATATTTTCCACATTTCTGATACTCTGATTTTTGTTTTTCAGCCCTTTTTTCTTCCCATTGTTTCAGTTCCTATTCCCTCTGTGCAAGTACATGCCCTTTCTACTGCAGTGTCTAATATGGTGTTCATCTTATCCAAAGAAATGTTTCAGACATTTTATCACGAAATTTTTAAATAATTTTAAAATTTTTACAAATAATATACTCACCATCTATATTCTACAATTAGGATTTATTGTAAATACTTTATCACATGTTTTCATTAAAAATTGTTTTCTATCCATCAACCTATCTTATTTCTTTTTTTTAACTTATATTTTAAATGCAGAGGTACAGGTGCAGGATGTGCAGGTTTGTTACACAGGTAAACATGTTTCATGGGGGTTGGTTGTACAGATTATTTCATCACCTAGGTATTAAGCCTAGTATCCATTAGTTATTTTTCCTGCTTCTCTCCCTCTCTCCACCCACCACCCTCCAATAGGCTCCAGTGTGTGTTGTTCCCCTCTATGTATCCATGTGTTCTCATCACTTAGCTCCCACTAACAAGTAAGGACAAGCAGTATTTGGTTTTCTGTTCCAGCATTAGTTTGCTAAGAATAATGGCCTCCAGCTCCGTCCATGATGTCCCTGCAAAGGACATGATCTCGTTCTTTTCTATGGCTGCATAGGATTTCACAGTGTATATGTACTAAATTTTCTTTATCCAGTCTATCGTTGATGGGCATTTGGGTCGATTGCATGTCTTTGCTATTGTGAGTAGTGCTGCAATGAACACATCTATGCATGTGTCTTTATCATAGACGATTTATATTCCTTTGGGTATATACCCAGTAAAGGGATTGCTGGGTCAAATGGTAGTTCTGTTTTTAGATCTTTGAGGATTTGCCACACTGTCTTCCACAATGGTTGAACTAATTCACACTCCCACCAACAGTGTAAAAGCATTGCTTTTTCTCCATAACCTCATCAGCATCTATTATTTTTTGACCTTTTTTTTTTTTTTTTTTTTTTGAGACAGAGTTTCACTCTTGTTGCCCAGGCTGGAGTGCAATGGCCCAGTCTTGGCTCACTGCAACCTCCGCCTCCCAGATTCAAGTGATTCTCTTGTCTCAGCCTTTCAAGTAGCTGAGATTACAAGCGCCCACCACCATGCCTGGCTAATAGCCATTCTGACTGGTGTGAGATGGTATCTCATTGTGGTTTTGATTTGCATTTCTCTAATGATCACTGATGTTGAGCTTTTTTTTGCATGATTGTGGGCTGCATGTATGTCTTCTTTTGAGAAGTGTCTGTTCATGTTCTTTGCCCACTTTTTAATGGGGTTGTTTTTTTCTTGTAAATAGTTTAAGTTCCTTATAGATGCTGGATAACAGACCTTTGTCAGATGCACAGTTTGCAAAATTTTTCTCCCATTCTTTAGGTTGTCTGTTTACTTTGTTGATAGTTTCTTTTGCTGTGCAGAAGCTCTTTAGTTTAATTAGATCTCATTTGTCAATTTTTGCTTTTGTTGCAATTGCTTTTGGCATCTTCATCATGAAATCTTTGCCTGTGCCTATGTCCTGAATGGTATCACCTACTTTTAGTTTTAATGCATCTTATTTCTTAACGCATTTCACAGTTGCAGATATCAGTATACTTCTTCCCATCAAGTATGTCAGAATACATATCATTTACTGGGGTTCAATGCTTGTTTGAACCTCCTCTCTCCCAGCTTACCTATCTTCATCCTTTAGGATGCTATTCAGGCCTCTCTTTCCCTAATCTGGTTAAGGGTCCCTCCTCTGTGTTCCAGGTACACCCCATGCACATATTTTTTAATGCATATCTTTATCCTTGTACTTACTACATTCCATTAGAATTAGTAGTATAAAGTTCTGCTTCTCTTGCTGGAATATAAAGTCCCAAGGGCACAAACCAAATCTTATTCTTTGTACAATAGGACCTGGCACAAAGTATGTGCTCCATAAATATTTGATGAATAAACAAATGAGTGAAGAGTTGCCATGCCCACACAAGGTAAAGTAATGCACAAGTTATAGCGGTCAAAAAAGAATAGTGAAATCCTGGTGGCAGCAGCTGCATATAACTTTCCTATAGTTGAGAGTACAAAAACCATGTTCTGTAATAATTGGGTCTTTAAGAAAGTACAGAAAGGATGTGAGAGATTCTACAGCAAAAAGATGGGAATTCAGGAAGGATAAAGTCTAAGGACAGACAGCAAATGTTAGGTATAGAGAGAAAATAAACAGAGCCCAGAATCTGAAGTGACACTTCTCCCGATATCCAAGATTTGACTAGCTTATTAATTATAAACCACTACTAACTTAAGAAGACTTCATCTGCATTATGCATGTTGTAATAATCAACATATGGGCAAAGACAGCTCTTAGTAAACCTACATATAGGTTCATTTTTGTTTCCAAATGAATGCCTCTTATTTTCAATGTCCTGAATCAAATATCCCACAATATACAGTCTGCAGCAAGATGCCCTGGCAGATGCTAAACTTGATTCCGTCTACCAGGTCCCCATTCACACAGAATAATTATGTCCAGCTGGAGCCCTCCCTGATTTAGTGACTTACGTTGGTCAGTCTTACAAACATTAAAGAAACAGTCTCTTATTTGGGAATCCCAGCTGGCCTTGTTGCAGCATAGAACCTCTTTATCCAAAAGGAGTTTAAACAAGAAAGAAAAAAAGCATTTTATGATTAACTACTTCCCCAGCAAAACTGCTTTCTGAAAGCACATATTTTGAAGGTTTTTACCTATGCCATCTTATCAAGTTGAAAATTACAAAAACAACAAATATCCATAGGATACTTTAAAAAAAGGATGCATAATTCTTTCCTGTGTGGATATAAAAATTTATTCAGCAAATCCCATATTGATAGTTCTTCAGGTGGTGATGCCAACATTTTGCTATTGTAATAAATGCTACAGTGAATACCTTTCTATACTCATTACTGCACTTTTATGCTATCTATTAAAATAAATTCCAAGATGTGAAATTTAATTTATGTAGGCCTCATATCTAGCAAAATCTACAACATAGAGTAAACATAACAATGAATTGACACTGTCCAAAGAAAAAGCCTTTTTGGTTTTACAAGCTGAGTGGTTATGTAAGTTTCCTTAAGAATAAAAAAGCAGCTTAACTTTTCTTTAAAAACCCCAAAACTCTAGACTCAGGTTTGCAGCACTTAGAAGCTACTGGGTGAAACTCTCTTGAGACTTGGGTCAGGGACTCTCCTCTCTGTAGATGAAGATCTGCTCTCAAGCAGGGGCTTGGGAGATAAATAACTTAGGACCCATAAGGCTTACGATTCCCCACAAATCTTTCTTTTCTACCTGAAAGAGTGGAAAATACAGAATTAAATAATGGACATCTGTTTCCTCCATTTGACTCTTCTTGGATTAAGATGCTGTATTTTCTAATTGTTTTCCTTCCATTAAAGAGCTGACTTCCCCTGCAAGGTGGAATAAGGGGAGGTCTTCTTTTAGTCTTTGCTTCTGAAGTTTGGTGCTTCAGGATGCTTGCTGCATCGTGAGGTGACCCTCACCCAAGCCTTTCATGTGTTTGGCATGCTTAATTTAATCAATCAGATCACCACCAACCTGAAACACAATGATGAGGATGTGTTCAGACTGTTCTGGAATTCTGTATATGTCAATATGGGGAGACTATTAGACCAAATTCTTTGCTACACATACACAACCTTTTAAAGTTAGGTGTATATGAAACAAAGTTATTTTATGAGACTATGCATTATGATATTCCTCTAACATCAGACTGTAAATAAGAAAAAAAATTTTTTGGAATAATTATTGTTGCTCTTCAGAAGGTAGTTAGAAGGGAAGTAGAAAGACAAGAAAATATATTTTAGCTTAAGTACTCAAACAGTTTAATTTTACTTAGATACTTACAAGAAAAAAAATTAATTTCAGGTGACATTATGGAAGGATTCATAAGAGTTCCTTGTCCAAGGTTACATACAGTCAATTAATCTTCCTGGGTCTTGGATTCCTCATCAATAAATGTTGGACTTAAGCAGTTTCTAAATAACCCTCTCACCCCAAATTCCATGATTCTATGTATTTGGAATGGAATGATTCATTGCTTTACAGGTCATATATCTCTTCAGGAATGCAAGGAGTTAAGAAAAAAAAATCTCAAGATATAAATATGGACTTTTTGTGAACCACCAATAATCTATATTTACTTGCAAATGTCCCACAAACAGCTTATTTGTATAATAATTTTACAAGTGCTTCAACTTAAGAAATCACTATTCTATCAGTATGTATTTAGTACAGCAGGAGTTGGAAGAAAACATTCATATTTTTTTCTCAATATTGAAGCGTAAGGGCAACAAATTTGGAAGGCTGGAGAAATCTGGACTTAGAACCACAGATAGAAAAACTTTTACTTATTTAAGTATGAGGTTATGTCTAACATGATCTACTTAATTTCTTGTGCTACTTTATTACAGTGCAGTTGTTTTAAATGCTGATTTTTAATTGTTCACTTATTGATTTTCCACCTCTCTGTGACATTAGCAAATTCTGAACATCGTATCTAGTTGTGTTATGACCCAGTCTGACTGCTTTAGACCCAGTATGAATAAAGGGGGCACGATGCAGTGAAAGAGCACCAAATAAAGCCAGGGAGACCTGGATTACAGGCTTGTTTCTGTGACCTTGGACAAACGGATTAACCTTCTAGGTCTCAGATTCCTCTTATTAAAATAAAAATATTAAATTGCTTAGGTTTCTTCTTCCTTTAAGGTTCTATGTTTCTATGAATAATCTGGTCAATAGTTCTTCTCACTGCCTGTTAAGATTCTAATTCTAATACAATGTATTTACAATCAGCATTTCTTGCTTTTACATTACCAATGACAATAACAACAACACAGCAATCATCCCTATCTCTTCTGGCTTTTGAGTGTCCCATTTGCAATTATAGCAACCAAACCCAGAAACATGAAGGCTCACAAATAGAACAAAGAATTAGAAAAAAAATTTCAGGAACAGATTTTCCCACCCAAGGAGAAAGAACAGAAATTAGTGAAGATTCTT
This sequence comes from Homo sapiens, assembly GCF_000001405.40. NCBI lineage: Eukaryota > Metazoa > Chordata > Mammalia > Primates > Hominidae > Homo > Homo sapiens. The sequence continues at coordinate 54,042,041 of NC_000014.9, forward strand.
GATTGCATGTTGCATTAACCTAACTCAAACAAATGTAGGCAAATTAAGAGAATTTATTAGCTCTCAAGAGCAGAGGATTCAGAGGATTAATCTGGCTTCAAGTACATCTGAATCGTGGATCAAAATGGCAGTATCAGGGCTCTGTCTCATTTCCTACTTCTTTGACAGGTTCCCTCCATATCACCACAGTGACTGGTGGAAGCTGAAGAGGCAAATTCTATATAAGTTTAATAACACTAGGAGAGAGAAACATGTTTTGTTTTGGTTATTTCCCCCAAAGAACTCCCACAGAAAGTTCCAGGGAGGAATAATTTATTGGTCTGGTATCCACCCCTGCATCAACCCGTGTGGCCTGTGGGATGGGTTCTCTGATTTATTAGGCCCACTTAGATGATATTTCCACTCCTGTAGCTGGAGGTAGGAGAATAGTCAGTCATATCAAACCCATATAGAATGGGTTAATCATAGGAAAGAAGGGTTTTGTACACTGAAAAAGTGGGGAAAGGGTGCTAGAAGGATCACAAATAGAAGGCCACTACAATAGATTTCTTCTGAATGCCAGTTCAAGGACAGGTGGCCGTTACCTGGGATGATGAGTAATGATAAAAATTATTCTGAGCTATGTAAAAGCTTAGTAAGAAAGAGTGTGAAAGTTGATTAGCAATATTTGCAGTGGATATTGGAGTGAAAAATGGAGATATACAAACCATATAGTTGCTGTCCTCGTCTAGGGTGAAATCATGATTCAGTTCCTACTTAGTACAGTCAGTTCAACCACTTAGTCTTCAGAATATTATGGGATAGGCCCTTCTTTTGTAAATTTTAATTTATTGATGCTTGTAAAGCTCCCCAGATTCTTAGAGACAGTGGCCCCCTCTATGACCAAACATTTAAAATTTTATCTGAGGTCATGTTGGCATTTAAGATATAGAAAATGACCCTAGCTATCAGATATTCTCAAACAGGAATATACATCAGAATCACCCAGACAGTTATTTTAAAATACATATGGCTAGCCTCTATCCCCAAACTTTCTGATTCCATAGGTCTTAATAAGGGCCTAGAAAAGTGAATTATGATCATAGTATATGAAAGTTATGCATGGTCATAGTAAAAACAAATAAACAAAACAGGCAGAGGAGTACAGCATGAAAAGTTAAAGTCCCTTTTCTAGTAGAGAATTGGGTGAGGGATAAGGAGAGGGGAAATATTCCTTTGTTCTATATAAATTTCTATATTGTTTAAACATTTTTAATGAGGAGCCGAATTTTTTTTTAATTTTACAACGATAATCTAAAACACTTATTTCAGCCATTAACTACAATATCCATCTCAACCAAATTTTCTTCACTGAAACGATTTTAGTTGCAGGTAACAAAAACAGCATAAAAGATTTTTAAAATTTCTTTCAAAGACTCACTCCCCTGAGGTAACCTTAATGAAAGTTCATATAATATTTCAAAAGCTTTCTATAAATAAAAGCATATATCTACATTTTTAAAATGTACAAACCCATAAGTATATATGTCTTTTATTATATATAATCTGCAGTTTGCTTTATTCACTAATTGTCTTGGTCTCTTTCCCATATTTGTATAGGATCTACCCATATTTGCATAAGATTTACCTCCTTTTAGTTGCTTCATAATATTCTAAAACTTTTTGTATTTACCAAGACACTACTTGGAGTAAAAGTCACACTTAAGCTCTAGGGATCATATCCATCTGGATCTCTTTATATGGCATCCCATGGCTGGTATTAAAACCTAAGGGCTTGTGAAACTTGTTGAAGATTCTAAGACCTTGCTTGGCTTACCTACTTCAGAATATCTGCCCATGGAAGCCAAACAGAGATGCGATTCAGAGACAACAGGATGGATCCTCTCTCTATCTGGACTTCTCTTTGTCCTGGAAGCTGCAGTGTGATTCTGACTGCTCAGTGAAGGCACAGGCAAGGCTGAGCACATTCGGAGGGACAAAGTGTTTAGAGCTTTCTGCAAAAAAGAATTCCCTAAGCATAAAGTACAACCCCAGGTATTTTACACACATACACACAACACACATACATGCACATACACACACCCAGGATCTAGACACTTCCCGATGAGACACAATGTTGGGCATTCTTAACCATGATGAAGATTTAGAAATTAACAAGGGAATGCAGAAACTTTCTCAAGCTTGTGTTAGGGTACCAAAATTAAATTTATGGCACTGGGTGTGGCCAATTTCTAATCTATGGAAGGAGAGAATATGATAAATAAAATCCCCAGATAATCTAAAACACTTCTTTAAGTCAGTAACCACAACATCTGTCCCTGAGACCATTTTACTTGTTGGTGACAAAAACCAACTCCAACTTAAGTTTCGTTTGCTAAAAAAACAAAATACAATATGGGTAAATAATTATAACAATACAGAGTTTCCCACAGACACCTGAGGACAGGAATTTCAAAAGTAACCAGAACCAAGAACTGAAAGGCCACAAGTTTCCTAGCAGGACTCACTCCACTTCTCATCCTCTTGCCTCTGCTTTACTTTTTCTTTTTAATCTCCTCCATTTCCCTCTCTGCAGGTCAGCATTCCATCAACCCTTGTGGTATGATGGGTACTTCACTGATTCTGAATTTCCACCAACTTGGTTCCAATGGCATGCTGTCTCTAATGAATTATCTGTAACACATTCTGATGTAGGTAAACCAAGCAAGGTCTTCATCAAAAGTTTCACAGGCCCCTAGCTTTCAATACCAGCCATGGGATGCCATATAAAGAGATTCAAATGAATATGATCCCTAGAGCTTAAGTATGGCTTCTTACTCCAAGAAGTGTCTTAGTAAATACAAAAAGTTTTAGAATATTATGAAGCCACTAAAAGGAGGTAAATTTGGATTTAAATTCCAAATTCTTGAAGAAAGAATTCAACTGGCTCAGCCTGGGTCAAGTGTGTTCTCTAGTTCCATTCAAACTTTGTCAGAGAAGATAGGTTCATTTAATAACGATACAGCAGGTAAAATTTCCTGGGTGCTAACTGCACTTTATAAGCATTACCTTTACCTTTGCAGAGCCTTTGGGAATCTTCCTTATTAGGACCCTGAAACAGTTATCAAAAAAAAAAAAAAAAAAAAGAGGATGATTGTGAGTTGTGCAGATTTTCCCAGAGCATGAGAAAATTATATGCAGAAAGATACATATGCATATAAAAAGCTAATTTAAACTTTACAATGCAACTCAATAATGTCATAATGGGAATAAGTTCAGGCTTAAAATACAAGACACCTGAGCTCTCATTCTAACTCCAGCAAGTTGTGTGGCTTGAACAAGTTCCTTCACCTGTCTTCTCAATTTCCTTTTCTTTCTGTGAAATCATGGCAATAATACACACTGCATGAGAGTATACACACAGTAATTAAGTACTGTGCTGTTGAGCATTTAAATGTTAACAAATATGAGTGCTTCTTCTTTAACAATGAAGCATCCAGAAGGGGTACATACCAGCAGGAAGGAAAAGAGAGAGAAACAAAGTGCCCACTTGCCCTGGTGGGTATTACCATTATACAACACCATTATATAATCACAAGAGGTAATATTTATCAATTTTTACATATATTCTATTGGGAAACTTTCTCAATATAACTGAGTATTATTATAGTAACATTTGAAGGCACAGAGAGTTTAAGTAACTTGTCCTAGGTCACACAGTTCATAAGTAGGACTGGAGACTAGACAGTCTGGCTCCATAACTCATGTCTTAAGCACTACTTTGTACTGCCTTCGCCATCGATACAATAGCATATTACCCACACGTGTTTCTGAAGCAGAGAGGTGTCTGTGGATATACCACCACAAAGAGAAGACGGTGTGGCTTCAAGATTTCAAACTTGCTAGAATCCCCCTTGTTTACTCCACATGAGCCCTTTAATAAGTTACCTCATCAGAATTAATGGATTGTTATTCTTCCCGATCAGTAGTGTAAACCGTAAACTTTGAGACGGTTTGCCTACCACACTTAGTTTAAGATTTAGAAGGTTTACTTGCAAAAGCTCTTAGAAGCACCCATGAATAAACAAGAGTGAAAAGTTAAACCAAGGACAGACGTTTTTATTTGCACTTTTTTTTCAAATCTATCCAAACAACAAGATTAGAAAATTTTCCCTGACACCATAGGCAAATGCTTCTTCTCCAAGTACAGAACAGCCTGTTGAAGACAGCAGTCACATTGTTGTGGTAACTGATGAAATTTATAAACGATGCACAACTTCATATTTTTGCCAGGTTTTACTTTAAAAGAGTCCCAAAGAGCAAGACAATGATAAATAACAGTGAAGGGTGATGACTTCTGAGAGCACTGGACAACATGGTAGCAGATGCCATTGGTTGGCTAGTCCAACTCCCATTTGCAAATCCACCTCCTCTGGCATCCTCCATTAGAGAGGCTAGAAAAGCCAAATATTTGCTTTTCTGCTCTCTTGCAGTGAGGGTTGTCCATGTGAGAAAGTCTGATTCCTATTGAGGTAAAAGCGGACGTCTCCAGAGGCTTCTGGCAAAGTGTTTCTTTCCTGACATAAAGGACATATGCCACAAGCATCACCCCTGCTGTGTCCCCTTTTTTCTGCCTTGGGAATAGACTAGTGTCTAGAGCTGTGACAGCCACCTCATGACCTCAAGAGAAAGGCCAACAAGAATTGGAGAAACACTGACCTTGGTATTTTTGAGCTCTTAACTACAAACAGTTGCTTACCTCCAGAGGAATGCTTGTAAGTAAAATAGTTTAAGTCTCTTAGTTAGGCTTTCTATTGATGCCAAAGGAATTCCTGTTGATACAATGTGATTGCAGACACTTTAGCCCACCTTTTGTCACCTTTTAATTCTACACCTATCTATCTGTCCCTCAGAAATCTCCCAGCAGTTTGGTTAAATAAACATTATTTAATCAAATCACTGAAATGATTTATAGAGCACAGCATAATCAAATGAATCTTCTTCATAGTTTATCTCCTAGTTATAATAGCTGTTTTAATATAACTTTAGTATCACATCCTTAATAGTACAAGGAGGGGTGATATAGTCTATTATTAGCCAAACTTTCTGTTAGTCCAATACATACATGGAGTCCAAAAGAATACACAAACCTGTCTTTTACTTTGGGCTTGAATTGTATCTTTCAACTTTATGAGTTCATGGCTGAGAGGCATGTTCATTCTGCTCCACCTTTCTCCAGATCTTAAAAATTTATGGGTCTTCCAAACAAGCCCTAAAGAGCATCACCCATGTGGCGACCCCTCTCATAGGCACCCGGAAATCAAATTCTTCTTCTTTGGACCCCCTCCTCCTTTTCTCCATAGCTAGAGATGAGCGGAAAGATTAATGCGAGCAAAATGACACCTATTGATTAATAACATTGAGTGCATAGTAAAGGCACTCAAAAAACTTTATTAAATGGTAAGTTAAAATGGAGTATCTTCCACAATATAGGGGCTTCTATAGAGGCTTTTTCGAGAGGGTGGTTTAAACAGAGGCATCAATATTGTTTGTGATTTAGCCAAGTGCAGAAGTAACAAGGGGAACAGGCCAGAAAGAAAGGCAGCATGAAACAAGATGTCTTACAGGAACAAGAGTAGTGTATTGGAAAGAAACAGGAATAATTTGGTGTGCAGAAGTGTGGAGTGTGAAGCAGAGGCATTAGCAGGAATCAAGTCAGCATGGCCCTTAGCAATGGGGAAATGTTGAAGGATTTTAAGAAGAAAATTGGCATTGCTTTGCATTTCAGCAAAACCACTTTGGAGACAGTTAGGGCTGTGGATTCAAGATAAGAGACTGGATCAAGGAAGAGAGGCTTGTTATGAGTTCCTCGAGGAACAAGAGGCCGTGAGATTTAAACTAGTTAATCCACTCCCAAACGCACTAAGTATAAATTTCTACATTTCAAAGTACTCTACAGTGTTGACTTCAAGTCAACCATGTGCTGAGTTATGTACCAGCCAGGCAGTGTAAAGAAAGGCTGTCCAAAGTTCCCCATCCTTTCACAGAAAGGGAATGTGACAACAAAGACCAGAGAGGGGTCTGACTGTGGGATGAGGCTGAACCTAGCCCTGAGCCTAAGCCAACCTCCAACCCCTAGCTGGTACTCCAAGGGAGGTCGTCCAGTTCTTTCCCAACGGCTCAGCCTTTATCATTCTGACAGGGACTCCAAAGCCCAGAAGAGCCCTTACCAAGGTCACACAGTGAGTGACTAGCTAGGAATAGTCCTAGTGGTTCCTGGACCCAATTCCATGCCCTAAATACCAGATGACAAAACCCGCTGCATAAAAATAGTTCAATTAAAATCTAAAATAAAATCGTCACTTACTCTCGAAAAGAAAGCTAGCACAGTATTTCATGAAAATGTCATGAACCTGAATGAAACTGTAATTTGGGAAGTTGTAAAAATATGGTTGCACCATTCTGAGGGCCAACGCCTATCACGTGACCCTGAACCGCGGGCTCCGCCCTGCTGTTCCACCTTGCCTGGCTTGTGCAAGGCTGTGTGCAGAAGGAAACGAGAGTGGGAAGTCAGCTACCCAGGATGGTCCATTTAACAGCTGATCTGCTGGGACCAGTGCCTAAGAAGTTAATTTCTAGCTTTGAGATGGTTTCTGGTAATTGTAGGTAATTTAAAATATAATTGCAATTTAGTTAAAAAAAAAAAAAAAAAACTCTGTTTGCAGTGTTTATGCTCATCACTCTAATTTAAGGTCTAGAATGTTGGATGAACTGCACTTGAGTACACGCTCATTTTGCGTCTTCCTGATTTTACCACCAGTGATTATAAAAACAGCCTCAGCAAACTCAGTCTGCATTGCAAGACAGATGCTGCAAAGTTCAGATATAAAGTTTCACATTTCCGGAAGGTTAACTATTGAGCATGTTAATGATTATTGAAGAGATGAAGAAAACCACAAGGCTTCAAAATGCAAACACCTCTCAAAAATATCCAGCTTCCTCGTGTTTATAATAAAGCCACCTTTTTTTTTTTTTTTTTTTCAAAGAAAGACTATGGTTGAGTTCAGTGTGGTCTGCATATAGGCTTAATGGAGGAATAATTACACGAGGCTGCTTGTGAGTAGGCCAATGGAGCTTGCATCTGGGTTGTATGTTATAAACTGCTCTGTGCTAAGCCAGGGCATCTACAGCTTTGCAAGGTTCACAGAAATTTCTTACCACAGTGACAGCATATGTTTTAAATGCAGAGAAATTCTAAGATCTATTGTGTGTGGATTTATACAGAATTTTCAAAATAATCCAAAATATAGGTAGGACAGCTACTTAATGGCAGGCATCTCAGCAATCAATTTACATTCCAAAGCACCATCATGGGCCCAATCAGCCATCGTTGCGAACCTAGACAAGTGGAGCTAAATGAGAAAACAGCTGAAATGAGCACTCAATCTAATAACCTCACATACAGTCTCCCATCTCCCAGCTTGCAAAACTTAATAGAATGGAGCTTAGGGCTGAAGCAGTACTGCATTGCACAGCAATTACACCATGTTAACACTGGCATTGGAAATCACTTTCTGAATTTGAAAACTCAGAGTCAGTAGTCAGAATTTGCAGCCCTAGTGTAAGAGGCCTGCCTTGAAACACAGGCCCAAATTAAAGTTGACCACCAAATAACACTATTTAGATAGTGGAGATTGTCTGCCTACCAAGTTTTAAAATGGAACCTAGAAGTTTAATGATTGAGAAAATAAAATGTGTTCCAAGTTAGTCTGGCTTCGCTGATACTGGCTTGGGAAAAAAAAAAAAGCCTTTTATTTTTAATGATTTATTACATATACTTTAAAAAATTCAAATATTACAAAAGTGAATATTAAATTTTTCTCCAACCTCAAATCTCTGTCTTCTAATCTCCTTCTCTCAAGATAGCCCCTGTTATCAGTTTTCTGAGCATCTATGCATATCTAAGTATGTCTTATACGTGCCACATACACACAGTGATGGCTCCAGAATTTCTACTAGAAGAGACTTAGGGGCTGCAATCTGATTGGATGTGAGTATGCTGCATAAAGCTGCATTTGCCTGGTATTTTACATAAATGAGAATACATAAATTTGAGCACTAAAAGAAATAAGTATAGCAAGGAATTATAAAGCATTGAAAAAATAGGAATTCACAAGTCCATACCAATAATAGTAAATAGTAAATAAGTGAGGGAAACCATGGGTTGCAGTGAAATGTAACAGCTGTCTGGTGAATGTGAAAGAGTGCCGGCACTGAAAGACCTTTACTTCACAACCATGATAGTAAAGATTGGGTCAGACAAGACTCATGAATGAATGCTACACCTACCAGGAAATTTTGATGAGAACCAGGATATTTGCATCATTTTAAAGTGCCACCTCACAGACTGCTTATTAGTTCCATGAGTGGGGAGTCAGGGGCGGAGTGGGGGGGGCGGTGATAAAAGCCCCAGTTTTATAAAATTGAAAATTTGGACAATATCTTGACTAAGTCATTGAAATTAACATTACCACTGAAGAACAAACATGATACCCTGAGAAGGACACATCACCTATGCAGTTCTCTGGCCTAGAATGCATAACTTCAATCTAATAGGACTGTATTCATTAAAAATGTCAATGTGATAAAAGACAAAGGCTGGGACAATGTTCCAGACTAAAAGGGGCTAAAGAGACGTGATAACCAAATGCAATAGTAGATCCTAGACTTGGTCTGGTTGAGGAAGAGAAAAAATTCTTCTAAAGAATATTATTAGATCAATGTACAGAATTGAAATACAAACAGTAGATTAGATTAAAAAAGCAATTGCAGGATTAATTCTGCTGCTTCTAGCACACAACCACCCCACCCTCATTCCTGCCAAGCTCCGAGTGGCCACACTCTTCAGGAGTGCTTGAACTTCTGCCCACAAAGCTCCTTCTTTGCCCAGGGAACCCGGAGGTGGGAAAGCTGGCGCAAGGTGCTTCTGCAACTGGAATTAAGTGCTGTTTTAAGTTTTGTTTCAGGATCTGGAAGTTTAGACTAGGTCAATGATAGAGGCCAAAGAGTAAAGCTCTCATAGAAACTGCAATACAAATTCCTTTCTGGTCCCCTCTGACCAGCTTATGCTAATCTCACTGAAACCTTCATCTTACCCTCTTTTTTCTGTTCATTTTAAAGCCAAACTCCACTCAAGGAAAGAATAGTACATGGCAAATGTATGCAGGTGGCTAATAATTGCTTGGTAAATAAACAAAAATGAATGAATGAACAAATAAGGTATATTTAGGTAGAGCTCTGATATCAAAGACTATTAGTATGATTTATGAGGCAACAACAAAAAGAAATTTTTTTTCTACCTTAGCTCCTACTGAGTTGTGTTTACTTAAGTAATATAGTCATTTTCCTATATTTACTTCCAAATTAAGATACCTTTCTGTTTGAACTAGTATTAAGTCTAAGACTACAATCCTTTAAGGGACACATGGCAACACAACATTCTTGTCAGCTGGCCTTTTCATCAGATAGATGAAAATAGGAATTTAAACCTATAATATTAGGACACTATTAGAATTGTACACTCACATGGAACCTTGAGATAAATATGCATGTGAGGAATACGGGACAGAAACTGGGAATGATTATGAAGAAAATAAAGGTTTGGGAAAAGCAGAATCCATAATTCAGCTTGGCAGAGACAAAGGAAAGTGAGTTAACACTCATCAGGCCCTTGGGATTACCCTTCTGTCTGGGATGCAGGAGGAAGCCAATGTGGATGAGGGACTGGTGGCGCCAGGTGAACATTCACAGCTAGGCTCTCCAGCCCAGTGATTTGGGATATTTGGAAATTTGTCCCCAAAGGCAAGAAAAAGTACAAGCAGAGAAGTTAATGTTTCTTAAAAAAAGAACAAGCATACAAATGTCTGTGGATCTAAGGGAAACGGTCTTGCAAGGGTATCTGGCCATCCTGAACACCCAGCAACCATTCCCATTTTTCTATCAGCACTTTGATTTTATGGTGGAGAAATAATCCTTTCTCTACTGAATGCATTATGCTGGGGCTGTCACTCAATTTGTGTATATCAGGTACCTGGCATGTGTAGTAGAGATCAATAGATATGTTAGTTGAATGAATGAATGAATGAATGTGCCGAGCTTTCTTCTTGTCAGGCCAATGACACAACTTTCTGCCAAACATTTGGATCTTAAGTATAATGTGGAGACTAAAAAAATGCCAACAGCAGATTCATTCTACTAGAGATGTTCTAATGACAGATCACCACTCATTTTTGTTTCCTAGATCTAGGACTTCTCTGTCATAGTTTCTGTCCTTTCTAAGTCAGATGACTAAGCTTTCTCTTTTATTCTAAGAACTATCATATATCCTTCCAATAAACTCTTCCTCTGCTTAAGTTATCCAAAGTTCATTTCTGCTGCTTATGAACAAAGAACCATGACAGACACACATTTCCCAGGCTGCCCCTATGGAATATGCCAATTATTATCTCCAAATATGGGCTTAGTATAATAATAAGATGGTTAGTGGAAGTTTATGGGTTTTTTCTTCTTTTTTTTTGCTTCCATGTGTCTCTGGGTGATCTCTTTAAATACACTCAAGGACAAGAACTTGAGGAGCTGAAATAAGAAATGTTAGTTATTTGCATTCCCCTGCAAGAATCCCTTATTATTGTGTCTAAAAGTATCTGTTGTTCAATAGATGTTAGAGTTACACATATTTATGTTCAGATGCCACTTATTTTTAGATTAATTTCAAAGGATATATTTACAATTTACCCATTTCCAAAGCCCCATCTCAGCTACTGCAAATTTTCCCTGCTTTTATGTCCAATCAACAATAGCTCGAAGCAGATTTTACTTCTCAAGTTTCAACTAGTTATGTAAAGAACAAATCTAAACAAGCCCTCACCCCATCTCTTTTAAAAAATATAGTTTAAACACCAGATTTTATTTAGCAGCTTAGTTTCTTTTGAGAGAGAAGCCTCTAGAAAATGTGGTTTCGATTTTGTTTTCAACTGGTTATTTTTTCAGTACTTAAAAAATATCCACTGGTACTTTTTATTGTTTTGCCATGATTTTAGTGCCTAGGACAGTTCTGAGCACCTAACAGATGTTAAGAAATAGTAATTAAATTCATGAACAAGGAAATGTTTTGTTATTTATTGTGGGGCTATTTTGGTTGAATCATCACTAAGAGGTGGCTAAAGGGAACCTATTGCATAGCCATCTGAAAGTTATAGGGCACACTTATCACAGCAAATTGCTATTTTTGATGCTTCCACAAACTTTCCACAGATTTTTTAGTGTCCTAAAATGGTTTCATATAGAAGGAAAGCCTGAACTGCTGCCTCAGACGACCCTATGGTAGGATTTATATTCCACAACTCCCCCTGCCTAGGGACCCCACCCTTGCCCTCAGCATCAAGCTATAAGTCTAGACTTTATCTGAAACAACATTCTTTCTTGGCTCCTTCCTCTTCCCGATCCTATTTCTCTTACTACCTTATAGGTTTTTCTTGAAGAGCAGCCAAGTCCTCAGGCTCTGCATCTAGTGAACCCAACCTAAGACAGTAATGTGCTACTAATCTGAATAGAAATCTTATATAACAATACCTATGAACTTTGTTTCCTTTGAATTTAAAATTTTACCAAAGATGTTGATAACTGCAAAGGATATACCATCATTGTACACAATCAACACAGACAATGACAACTGTATTGAGGGCCTTCTATGTAGATGCTACCTCCCTTGAATTTTATTCACAATCTTCTTCAGTAGGCATTACCATTCATTCCTCCAAAATGAAAAAAATATTAAAAGTCAACATATTAAATAACCTATCCAAAGTCAGACAAGGAGTACACGACAATGGATTTGGAGTGTTTCCTGAAAGATTTCACAGGTTGATCATAAATGTCCCAAAACACTATGAAAGAAAATGACAATGTCTAACTTCCTGTTTTTCAGTACTTGTGGAATAAAGCATAAGTAGTCAATTCAGAAATGACTGATTTAAGGCTTACCCATGAGATTTAAAGCAGATTTCCTTTTTTAAAAAAAATCTTGTCTCAGCCACATTAAGTCCTCTGTTAATTACCAAAAACGAACCAACCTCTCCATAGTCAAAAAGATGGAGCGATGTTGTTAAAATAATATTTTAGTTTTAGAATAAATTGAAATTCAGAGTAAGGAAAAGAGCACATAGCCCACTCTCAAACAAAACTACATATTGCCTTTATTAGGAAATGACATAGAGTAATTATAACCAGCCTCATAGGCTGTAGCCTCAGATATCCACCTTCCTCTGAATAGTCTGTGTGCTTCGACATCAGTGAGTTATCTTAACTTTTCTTTCTTTTTTAACTTTGATTTTAAGTTCAGGGGTACATGTGCACATTTGTTATATAGGTAAATTTGTGTCATGAGGGTTTGTTGTAAAGATTATTTCATCACCCAGGTATTGAGCCTAGTTCCCATTAGTTATTTTTCCTGATCCTCTCCCTCCTCCCACCCTTCATGCTTCGATAGGCCCCTGTGTCTGTTGTTCTCCTCTTTGTGTCCATGAGTTCTCACCACTTAGCTCCCACTTATAAGTGAAAACATGCAGTATTTGATTTTCTGTTCCTGCATTAGTTTGCTAAGGATAATGGCCTTATCTCAACCTTTTCTAAGCCTACTTTTATGTTCAGGCTGGCCTATCTCCTAGGATAATCATCTCCTAAGTTCCATTCCCATCAAGAAAAGCAGCACTACACGAATGCAACCCTAATAAAGCCAAGATACATATTGTTCAGTCCCCATATAGGTCATATTTTAAAAAGGACAGTCTGAGGGGAAAATAAGTCTCAAAGAAATTCATGTGTGAAGTGAAATAGGCCAAACACAAAAGGACAAAAATATTGTCTGTGTCCACTCATATGAGGTACCTAGAATAATCAAATTCATACAGGCAGAAAGTAAAATAATGGTTACGGGGGCTAGGAGGAGGGGGAATAGGAAGTTAATGTTTAATAGGTAGAGTTGCAGTTTGGGAAGATGAAAATGTTCTAGAGACGAATAGTTGTGATGGTTGCACAACAATGTGAATGTACTTAATGCCATTGAAATGTATACTTTAAAAAGGCTGGGCCGGGCGCGGTGGCTCACGCCTGTAATCCCAGCACTTTGGGAGGCCGAGGCGGGTGGATCATGAGGTCAGGAGATCGAGACCATCCTGGCTAACAAGGTGAAACCCCGTCTCTACTAAAAATACAAAAAATTAGCCGGGCGCGGTGGCGGGCGCCTGTAGTCCCAGCTACTCGGGAGGCTGAGGTAGGAGAATGGCGTGAACCCGGGAAGTGGAGCTTGCAGTGAGCCGAGATTGCGCCACTGCAGTCCGCAGTCCGGCCTGGGCGACAGAGCGAGACTCTGTCTCAAAAAAAAAAAAAAAAAAAGGCTAAAATGAGAAATTTTATATTGTGTATATTTTATAATTTTTAAAAAGAAATTCAATGTTTTCTTGCATCTCTTGAGAGATGCTAATGAGACTCTAATCTATAATATTCCCATCCTTGTCATGTATTTTAAAAACTCTCTTCACAATTAGAAGAACTAGAGAAGCAAGAGCAAACACATTCAAAAGCTAGCAGAAGGCAATAAATAACTAAGATCAGAGCAGAACTGAAGGAGATAGAGACACAAAAAACCCTTCAAAAAAATCAATGAATCCAGGAGCTGGTTTTTTGAAAAGAACAACAAAATTGATAGACTGCTAGCAAGACTAATAAGAAAAGAGAGAAGAATCAAATAGATGCAATAAAAAATGATAAAGGGGTTATCACCACTGATCCCACCAAAATACAAACTACCATCAGAGAATACTATAAACACCTCTCCGCAAATAAACTAGAAAATCTAGAAAAAATGGATAAATTCCTGGACACATACACCCTCCCAAGACTAAACCAGGAAGAAGTTGAATCCCGGAATAGACCAATTTTCTCAAAGCCCCACACTCACCAACATCATTCTCTTCCAAACCCACCCCCAAACTTCTTAATACTCCACTCTGATCACCACTTTGTATCTTCCCCTTTTCTTCCCTTTCCTCATGAGCCCGCACCATTTAAGCACACAAGAGATAGAACCTCTATCCAGGGGAAGGGAAAAGAAAAACTATGAGCAAGCAAGTTCCTCCGTAGCAGGCAGGAGAAGGAAAAAGTCTAGAAGTAGTCACCAATAGTAATTTAATTTCATCGCACTCATTTTAGCCTATTCTTAATCTTTATCTAGCTTCAAGTGCTTCTAATCATCTGAGACTTGGTGAATGAATCTGCATTTCACCTTATCTATTGACATTTATGATTTCAGTCTTCATTCAGATCATGCCTTAGCCCCTTGTTTATCACGGGTTCACAAACTGATTAGAGGTTTTAGCAGTAGTTCTCAACTTTTGCTGTTCATTAGAATTACCTGGGGGAGCTTTTAAAAGTTAAGGCCACAACCCATACCAACTCAATCAGTGGGATCCAGGTAACTGTATTTTTTAAACTTCCAATGTGCAGCTAAGTTTGATAATCAGTGTTTTAAGGAAGTGCATCCCAAATTTTAATGTGCACATTAATTACATGGAGATCCTGTTAAAAGATCTGATTATGATTCAAGAGGTCTGGGAAGGAGCCCCAAGATGCTGCATTTCAAATGAGTATCAAGGTAATGCTGAATTGACTGTTCCTGGACTCCACTATGAATAGTGAGGCTTTAGGGAACAAGAACCATTCAAGTTTCCTTTCTTAATGGAGCATTTATTACAGTAATACACAGCCAGTGATGGTGAAGTCACAACTGAGCCTCCCAGCAAAAAGGGTCTGAAAGATGGCTTGAGCCACAGCTGTGGTGCCCTGGAGACTGTAGCTGCACCTCAGTTGCAGCTCTGTGTGCGTGCGTGCGTGTGTGTGTGTGTGTGTGTGCTGATTCCACTGCTCTTCCTCTGCTTCTAGGTTGGTCTAGGTGGGAGCCCCAAATCAGCCACTTCTAAATTCAGGATCTTTAACAAGTTATTCGATTCTCTAACCCTCAGTGTCCTGACGTGTAAAATGGGGATAACAATGTCAGCTATTTCACTGGGCTTTCGTGAGGATTAAGTGAGATACTTGTGTACAGCACTGATATAAGGCTTGCCATTAAACATGTCTGTCTTTATTTCTGCCCTGGCTGTCAACAAAGAACCAACTTACTAATTCACTCTCTACCTCAAATGTCTGTTTATTGGATTCAGCTAACTGGTGGCTTCGCTCTATGCACTTTTTACCTCTGTCCCCACTACCAACTGCTGACTCCTTATAAGTCCAGGTTTGCATTCCTCAGGAGTGGATTTGATTGGTTCAATCAGTCCATCCACTATAGGCTATCCCAGTAGGACTCTGTGTTTGCACAAAGCAATCTCTGTGGTAGAGCAGGGTGAATGTATGGATTGGCTTCCTTTGGTTGCGATTTGACTTATACTAGGCTACAGTATAATTTATTCATAAGAAACCCTCAGAAAGAAATGGGCATATGGCAGGCAATCTAAGGCTCCTTGGGAGAGGACAGTGGAGGTACCTTGCTCAACTTGCCTAGTACACTCAGCAAATATTTACTGAACATCTACTGTGTGCAAGGCATTCATTGTAGCCCCATTCTTGAGATCTGGGCCCATCTGTGTTTCTTCGTTCTAGATAGGAAGAGTAAAACACCCAGAGTTCCATTCCTTTTTGTACAGATGGTAAAAGAAAAATACCAAGATCTTTTCTCATCGAATACTGTTTTTGGTTTGTAATGAATTTTGTGCTCAGAACTGCTACTCCAAAAGGAACAAAGATAACCTCTCCAATTCTCAGAATTTGGTACGGGGATAATAGCTAATATTGAATGCTTATGATATACCAGGTAATGTTCTAAGTGCTTTATGTGGCTTAACTCATTTAATCCTCATAACAACCCTATGATGTAGGTATTATTATCCCCATTTGGCAAACGGGGAAACTGGGGCTAAAAGATGGCCAAGTCATACAGCTAGTAAGTGACAGTGCCAGTTCCCAGCTCCAGTGGCCTGCTCCAGAACCTGTACTCTATCTGCACTTCACTGTGCAGTGTCTCTGGCCCTCTCTACAGTCTGCTCAGATTGATGGTGGCACAGCTGCTACATCAACATATACCCACCTTGTTTTTTGCAGAGATGTCTCACAAATGGTAACATTCTCATGTATATACAATGGAAATATATATAATACCTGGCCTTCTAGCAGGGAGCTAAAAGGATATTAAAAGATAAACTTGCAATGCCTACAGTTTATGTCAAAAAGCAAATCATTCATAAACCTCAGTATTATTACTATTATTTGGAACCAGTAACAATTAAAATTTGCTGCTTTCTTGCATATATATGTCATAGGGACTTTTTGTGGTTGCCTAGCATCTGAAGCTCACTCCTATTTTGGGGAAGAACCCACTGTGTAACTTCCTAAAGACCAGATTTTTGCTTTCTCTCTCCTCCTGTCAAACCCTCTAGGCCAGACATGTGACCTAGACTTTAACCAGTCAGATTTTCCTGCCCAGAACTTGAATACCAAGAAGTAAGGTGAGTGGAAGATTCATTCTGAGGACACAGCAGAGGGCCGCAAGGCCAGTCACACCAGCATCAGGAACCAGGAGCAGCTGCCGCATTACATCTGCCAACTGTTGCTAGGCATGATGTTAGCTGAGGCCTGCTGCCTAGCTTCTCTTTGTATTAGTTTCCTAGGACTGCAATAACAAAGTATGGGCATACCTTGGAGATACTGTGGGTTCAGTTTTAGACCACTGCAGTAAAGCAAAAATCATGATATAGCAAATTGCACATTTTTTTTTGTTTTCCCAGTATATAGAAAAGTTACATTTACACTGTAGTGTAGTCTATAATTAAAAATACTTTATTGCTAAACAATGCTAAAAATCATCTGAGCCTTTAGAGTCATAAACTTTTTGCTGGTGGAGGGTCCTGCCTCAATGTTAATGGCCGCTGACTGCTCAGGGTGGTAGTTGGTGAAGCTGGGGTGGCTGTGGAACTTTCTGAAAATAGGGCAAAAATTGAGTATGCATATCAATTAACTCTTCCTTTCATGAAAGATTTCTCTGTAGCATGAGATGCTGTTTGATTGCATTTTGTCCACACAAGAACTCTTTTAAAACTGGAGTCAAACCTCTCAAACCCTGCTGCTGCTTTTCAAATAAGTTGATGTAGTATTCTAAGTCTTTTGTTGTCATTTCAACAATGTTCACAGAATCTTCAGGAGTAGATTCCATTTCAAGAAACCACTTTCTTTGCCCATGCATAAGAAGCAACTCCTCATCCATTCAAATTTTATAATGAGACTGTAGAAATTCAGTCACATCTTTAGCCTCAACTTCTAATTATAGTTATCTTGCTATTTATATCACATCTGGCTTCAGTGGAGGAAATCTTGAACCCTCAAAGTTGTACATGAGGGTTGAAATCAATTTCTTCAAAACACCTATTAATGTTGATATTTTGGCCTCCTCCTATGAATCACAAATGTTCTTAAATAGCATCTAGGATGGTAAATCCTTTCCAGGTTTCACATTTACTTTGCCCAGATCCATCAGAGGCTATAGCCTTACAAATGCATTTCTTAAATAATAAGACTTTAAAGTCAAAATTACTCCTTGATCCATGGGCCACAGAAAGGATGTTGTATTAGCAGGCATGAAAACAACATTCATCTTCTTGCACATCTCCATCAGAGCTCTTAGGTGACTAGGTGTGTTGTCACTGAGCAGTCTTATTTTGAAAGGAATCTTTTCTCTCTGAGCAGTAGATCTCAACGGTGGGCTTAAAATACCCAGGAAACCATGCTGAGGAAACCATAGGTGTTTTGCCATCCAAGGTTCATTGTTTCATTTATAGAAAACAGGCAGAGTAGATTTAGCGTAATTCTTAAGGGCCTTAGGATTTTCAGATTCATCAATGAGCATTGGCTTCAACTTCAAGTACCAGCTGCATTAGCCCCTAACAAGGGAGTCAGCCTAGCCTTTGAAGCTTTGAAGCCAGATATTGACTCCTCCTTTCTGTGAAAGTCCTAGATGGCATCTTCCAATAGAAGGCTGTTTTTTGTACATTGAAAATCTGTTTAGTGTAGCCACCAGCATCAATAATCTTAGCTAGATCTTCTGGATAACTTGTAACATTTCCACCAGTGCTTGCTGTTTCACCTTGCACTTTTATGTTACGGAGATGGCATCTTTCATTAAACCTCACGAACCAACCTCTGCTAGTTTCCAACTCTTCTTCTGCAGCTTCCTTACCTCGCATAGCCTTCAAAGAATTGAAAAGCATTAAGGCTTTGCTCTGGATTAGGCTCTGACTTAAGGGAATGTTGTGGCTGATTTGATCTATTATCTAGACCACTAAATTTTTCTCCTCATCACCAATAAGGCTGTTTAGCTTTTTTATTCATGTGTGCACCAGAGTAGCATTTTTAACCTTCTTCAAGCACCTTTCCTTTGCATTCACAACTTGGATGTTTGGTGCAAGAAGCTTTCAGCCTGTCTCAGCTTTCAACATGCCTTCCTCACTAAGTTGAATCATTTATAGCTTTTGATTTCAAGTGAGAAATGTGTGGCTCTTGGAACACTTGGAGGCTACTATGGGGTTATTAATTTGCCTACTTTCAATATTATAAGGAAATGGCTGGTCAGTGGAACAGTCAGAAAACACACAACATTTATCAATTATGTTTGCCTTATTACATGGGTGTGGCTCATGGCACCCCAGAACAATTACAACAGTAACATCAAAGATCACTGATTACAGATCACTATAACAGATATAACAACAAGAAAAAGTTTGAAATATTACAAGAATTAACAACAGTTTGAAATATTGCAAGAATTAACAAAATGTGACACAGAGACATGAAGTGAGCACATGCTGTTGGAAAAATGGTGCCGACAGACTTGCTCAGCGCAGGGTTGTCACAAACCTTCAATTTGTGAAAAATGCAATATCTGCAAAGTCCAATAAAATGAGGTATGCCTATACCACTAACTGGGTAGCTTTAAAACTACAGAAACTTGTTTTCTCACAGTTCTAGAGACTAGAAATCTGAAATCAAGGTATTGGCAGGACCCTGCTTGCTCCAAAGACTCTAGGAAAGATCCATTTTTGTCTCTTCTAGCTTCTAGGGCTTGCTGGCAATCTTTGGCATTCCCTGGTTTGTGACAACAAAATTCCAATTTCTGCCTTCATCTTGACAGGCCTTCTTCCCTTCTTTGTCTCTGTGTGTAAATCTCCATTCCTTTCTCTTACAAAGATAACAGTCACTGGATTAGGAATCATACTAATGTAGTATGACCACATTTTAACTTGATTATATCTGCAAAGACTCTATGTCCAAGTAAAGTTACCTTGAGATATCAGGGATAAGGAGTCCGCCATATTTGGGGCTTAGGGTGGAACACAATTCAACCCATAACACCGATATCCCTGCCAAGTTTCTGGATCCGGATCTCCATCCATCCCAGTGACCTTGTGGGTCATCCAGTAATTTTCTTATAAGGTGACCCTTAAGCAACACAGGTTTGAACTGCACAGGTCCAGTTATATGTGAATTTTTTTCAATAAAATTTACCCCCAGTATGCCTGCCTCTCCTGTCTCCCCTTTCACCTCCTCTACCTCTTCTGCCTCTGCCACCTCTGAGACAGCAAGACCAACTCTTCTTCCTCCTTCTCCTCAGCCTATGCAACATGAAGATCATGAGGATAAAGACCCTTATGATCACCTACTTCAACTTAATGAATAGTAAATATATTTTCTCCTTATAATTTTCTTAATAACATTTTCTTTTCTCTACCTTCCTTTTTTGTAAGAATACAGGATATAATATACAAAATATGTGTTAATTGACAGTTTATGTAATTGGTAAAGTTTTTGGTCAACAGTAGGCTTTTAGTACTTACATTTTTGAGGATTCCAAAGTTATGTGTGGATTTTCAACTGCATGGGGGTTGGCACCCCAACCCTGCATTGTTGAAGGGCCAACTGTACACTCTTTTTCTACTTAAAATCTGTGGAATTAGTTTTGCTGCTTGCAACTATTGCAACTATAAACCCTGACCTGTCTTATGTCTAATTCAATTTCCTTGACCTCCCATCTGAGAGTCATCATCAAGATTCACTAGGGATGAGCAGAACAGTGACTTTCTGATGGCAAAGATCCATTTGCTTTAAGCCCAAGGTAGAGATTCCCATCCCACTCTCTGAATCAAGCAGACTGAGGAAGTGACATCCCAGGCCCATGTTGAAGGACTCACATTCACCAGTCCCAAACCTCATTACTGAAATGCCAGCAGAAACTTTTGATTTCCTAAATTATGAGTTTGTTCTCAAGCTATATCTCATTCTGGAGCAGAATTCAACTAATTTTTGCCTTTGGGACTTATGGATGGTGTGAGGGCTGTTTCAGTGGAAAGGACCACACTGCTTGCATTAGATCTCAGAGACATTGCCCCAGTCTGTATAATTTTCATCAAGTCATGACAGCAGCACCAAAGGGGCTAGCCATCATTTCAATTGTGTTTGGTCTAAAATTTCCAAAGCCTCATCAATGCTCTTAGGAACAATAACATTATGCCAGAAAGAGGTGCAGAGGAAACAAAACATTATGGGGTTCTAAGAAACATGGTAATAAAAGACAGCTGAATTTTAAAAGAGAAAAAACTATGTCATTGACTTCAGGGAAATAAAAACACATTTAAACTTACTGAATAAGTCATCTTCACAAACAGCCATTAGGAGAACAGTGGTAATGTTACTTTTTGATTTGCCCTGCTATGCTTCTTTTTATGCCCTGCCCCTTGCCAACATCATGGAATTGTAGTAGGGCTAGGGACCACATAAGCTTGGAACTGCCTGAAACTATCTTTGCCATCATTTGTAGAAAGCCTGTTTGAGAATGAAACCAACTCAGGAAAGAAGAATCAAATAGATATATACAAAGTTATTATTTTATTGAGTCCCTCAATCTAGCCATACCTAAAAATACCTATTAGACTTCTAAGATTTTTGAGCCAATAAATTGTGTTTGTTTGCTTAAGCTGGTGTGAGTTTGAGCTCTAGCCTTACAAATGACAATATGCTATCAAGTGCCCATATCTATTTTGACCCAATTTATTTGGACTGCTATTGGCAAGGGACTATTGTGTTGAATGAACCACAGATTTCAACTAGGATGGTGGTTTCTGAATTTCTGTCATCTGGCACACTGTTGGAAACATGTGCACACAAAAATACACACATAAGCTAATGGAGAAGAACCTTTGCAAGGCAATCTTTTGGCACATGTATATTGTTGAATTATGATTACACCTAAGGGCATGGCCAATAGGAAAGTAAATCAACTAACTGGAGGAGAAAAGTCATTTATTCTACCCAATTCAAGCTCTGTACATCCTTGCCTTACCACATCACACCAACAACATGGGAATTTACCTTCCTGAGCTCCAGCATTGTCTGTTTTTTTAGTGAAGCTGTGCTGTTACATCTCAACTCAGCATGTTCACAGACAACATATGGGTAACATGGCTCCCAGCTAGACCAATCTCCTACACCTCTCATCCTACTTCTCCCAACCCAGTTTTTCCAAAACCCCTGGGACTAGCCTGAACTTTCTCGTTCATTCACACATTTATACAATAAATAAGTATTGTGTACTCGCTATATGCTGAGCCCAGGTGTAGGCACTGTGAAATCAGCAATGAACAGAATAGAGTAAGATTTTGCCCTTGTAAAGTTTATACTGTACTGGGAGAAGATAGCCAACAAACAAATTTTATGTAGATATATGTCAGATGGTGACAAATGTTATGGAGAAAAATTAAATGGGGTCAAAACGAGAGGAATGCAGTGAGTGGCTATTTCACATATGGTGAAACTGTGAACCTTGTAGGTTACTGTGGGAAGACTATGCCAAGCCAAGGGAACAATATGTGCAAAGGCACTGAAATAAGAACACTGAGGAGGCCAGTATAGCTGAAGAGGAGGTAATGAGGGCCAGTGTGCTAGATGAGTTAAGAGGTGTTAGAGGGGGAAAGGTTGACAGAGAATATTTGGAGCATTTGTATGCCATGATAAGAACTCTGGGCTTTATTCTGTTATTTAAAAAACAAACAGAAAAACCATGGAATGCTGTAAGCAAAGGAGTCACATAACCTGACTTAAAGCTTTAAAGATTGTTCTGTCCACTGTGTTGAGAATATAACCGGTATTAAGGACAGAAACAAGGACACCAAGGAGATCATGAAAATAGTAGTGCAGGGTGTAAGAAGTAGTTAAATGTTGGATATATTCTGAAGGTAGAGACACCAACAGAATGGGATGTAAGCAAAAGTGTTCATAAATGTCTCCAAGAGTTTTGGCCTAAGCAACGGAAGAAATGGACTTGCCAGTTACTGTGATGCATAGATTTAGAAATGGGGGAGGAATCAACAGTGTAGTTATAACATATTAAGTTCGAGATACCTATCAGATATGCATGTAGAATAGATAATTAGCTAAATGAGCCTGAAGTTAAGGGAAAATTTCTGGACTGGAGACATATATTTGGGAGTCATCAGAATATAGATGAAATTAAAATCATGGACTGGATGAGGTCACCTAAGAAGTGGGTCCATACAAAGGAGAAGAGAAGAGGTCTAAGGACTATATTGTTGAGCAGCCTGATGTTTAGAGGTGAAGGAGAAAGGAGGCTCAGCAAAAGAAAATGAGAAGGAACAGCACATAAAGTAGGATGAGAACCGAAAGGTTCCTGGAACGCAAGTTAAGGAAAAAAGAACCACAGCAACATTTCAGGAAAGAAAGTAGTTAATGGGATCAAATGTTGAGACAGGTCAAATAAGATCAGGACTAACAATTACTAGTGGATTTGGCTACAAGGAAGTCATTGGAGTGGACTCAAAAGGAACAAGAGGAAGTAAATTGGAAATAGGTAGCACAGACAACTCTTTTGAGGAGTTTGCTGTTACAGCAATAGAGAAATAGAGCTATAGCTGGAGAGAAATGTGGGGAAAAGAGAGAATTTTCATTTAAGATGTGCAGAATTTCAGCATGTTTGTATGCTATGAGGATGATCCATTAGAGAGGGTAAATTTTGATAGTGCAATGGGGAGAGGAGACAAGTACTGGAACAATATTCTTTAATAGGCAAGAGGAGTAGAGTCTAGTGCACAAGTATAGGAGTTAGCCTTAGGTAGACATATAGATAATTTATCCACTGTAACAGGAGGGAAGGCAGAGTATAAAGGTAAAGATGCATATAGGTGAATAGATGAGTCAACAGGATCGTGTATAAATCTTCATCTGACTCCTTCTATTTTCAAAGTAAAATAGGAAGCAGATTCATCAGCTGAAAGTGAGGATGAGGGAAAAGGTTGCAAGGCTTGAAGAGAGATGAAAAGAGTTGCCTACGAAAGTGGGAAAAGCCTGAAATAAGACAATGTGATAGAACCCCTGGGTGGCATGAAGGGCCTGCATGGGTCAGTGGCCATCTTCCTACTGTGGGTTTTGGGCACTATGGTGAAGGGGATGATGTCCATAGGTGTTTGGAGTCAAGGGTGGGAGAGGGCAGAAGTGAACAGTCATTTACTTTTTAAAAAAATTGTTTGTTTGTATGTTTGAGAGCTCTGTCACCCAGGCTGGAGTGCAGGGCTGCCTTCATGGCTCACTGCAGGCTTGAACTCCTGGGCTCAAGTGATCCTCCCACCTCAGCTTCCCAAGTATCTGCGACTTCAGGCACACCACCACACCTGGCGAATTTTTTTTTTTTTTTTAATAGAGATGGGGCCTCATTGTATTGCCTAAACTAG
The DNA here is from genome assembly GCF_000001405.40 of Homo sapiens. NCBI lineage: Eukaryota > Metazoa > Chordata > Mammalia > Primates > Hominidae > Homo > Homo sapiens. Next base: position 54,065,917 of record NC_000014.9, read on the forward strand.
TCTGGAACTTCTGGCCTCAAGCCTCCTGAAGTGTCAGGGTTACAGGTGTGAGCCACCATGCCCAGCTGTGAGCAGCCATTTAAAAGTAAGCTAAGATTTAAGACACAGAAGTAAACATAGGTCTACAGTACAAATATGAAAAGTGCCTGAAATCTTAAAGGCAAAACATTAGATATAATTTGAATATACTCTTCAAAATAAAATCAGAGAATTTTACAACTTAAAATGAAAATGACCTTAGTGATTTTCTCATCTGAATTCACTTTACGACATTTGAAAATCAAGGGCCTATAAAAGTAAATGACTTTTCCAAGACCACAAGCTTAGTTAGCAGCAGACACAAGTCTAGACATTAGTCCTCAATCTTCATCCACTAGTCTTTCCTTTCTCATTTAGTGGCAGAGGACAAGGAAATTTCAGGCTGGTCCTCTTTTTCTCATTGCATGTCCAGGCCTTCCTTTCTCTTAACTGTTCCATCAGCTATCTTCCATAACAAAGTTCCCTTCTTATCTCTAACAGTCACCCAGCCCCCTCTCAGCACCTCAGCCAAGTGGGTACTTCATTGGACCTTCAAATCTAGTGCCTTAAGCTGGATTGAGAGCCCGGTCTCAGCAAAGTATGAGTTGGGCTTCCCCTAGAAGGAAGAAAGGGGGGTTGTCTCACCAAAATTCAACAGCTGATTTCTCTAGACTCAACAGACAGCACCGTGGTGCCCAGGTGCCAGTGATAAGGGCATTGCATTCTCTTAGCCCTACTTGTGTTCTGGTCAGAGAGAAGCACAAGACAGTTTTCAAGCCACAAGCCATATGCGCTCTTTGGACCAACAAATGTCAAGCCTTTGCATTAAGAAGAAAATGAATCTGAACCAACAAGCTTGGGTACAGCCTGCAGCCAGTGTCCCATCTGAATACCATTTGAGCACAACTGGTTAAAGTTCTTCAAATGATGGCTCTTGTTATCTATAAAATTAAGACTAAACCAGAGATCAAGGAATTTCAACTGGAAGCTATATCCTGTCTCCAGTCTCCCATCTTGGTGTAATTTAAGTGAGTTACAGGCCCCTTTAAATTCACTTATTTAAAACAGATACTCATCCAAAGAGGCACTCTATAAACATTTGGCACATCTTGATGAGCACTTCAATTGTCTTTCAAAGGCAGTGGAAACAACCTCAAAACCAATTACTTATGCTGTCCTCCAAGAAGTCCATTAATTGGAACAAGGGCCTGCCTCTGCCTGACTGTGTCCTCTCCTCTCTTTCATGTCTAGCAATTGTCCCTTCTGAGAAACAGTAGTACAGTTTCAGGCAATATTTTAAAATGTATACATTATTTAAATAGTATAGAGGTAAAGGGTATTGATGTGAACTAGGAGTTAACATATGTAACAAAGTATAGGGTCTTATGTCTGTCCTCTTTTCTCCTGGTTGAAACAAACAATTTAAAAAGTGGGAAGAAATTTACACACCTTGATATTCCCACATGCTGAGTGAAATATTGGGAATAGAATCTCCTAAATAAAACAAACCTTTTTTAAAAAGCTTTTATTATTTATTTTTTAAAATTGTTGTGGGTACATAGGTGTATATATTTAAGGGGTACATGAGATGTTTTGATGCAGGCATGCAATGTGAAATAAACACATCACAGAGAACAGGGTATCCATCCCCTCAAGCATTTATCCTTTGAGTTACAAACAATCTAGTTACACTCTTTAAGTTATTTTAAAATGTACAATTAAGTTATTATTGACTATAGTCACTCTACTGTGCTATCAAATAAATAGTAGGACTTATTCATTCTTTTTATTTATTTATTTTTAACCCATTAACCATTCCCACCTCCCCCCCCCCCGCCCACCAACCCCCTGCTACCCTTCCCAGCCTCTGGTAGCCATCCTTCTACTTTCTAGGTCCGTGAGTTTAATTGTTTTGATTTTTAGATCCCACAAATAAGTGAGAACATGTGATGTTTGTCTTTCCATGCCTGGCTTATTTCACTTAACATAATCTCCAGTTCCATCCCTGTTGTTGTAAATGACTGGATCTCATTCTTTTTTATGGCTGAATAGTACTCCACTGTGTATATGTACCACATTTTCTTTATCCATTCATCTGCTGTTGGACACTTAGGTTGCTTCCAAATTTTAGCTACTGTAAACAGTGCTGCAACAAACATAGAAATGCAAATATCTCTTCAATATACTGATTTCCTTTCTTTGAAGTATATTCCCAGAAGTGGGATTGCTGGATCACATAGTATCTCTATTTTGAGTTTTTTGAGGAATCTCCAAACTGTTCTCCATAGTGGTTGTCCTAATTTACATTTCCACCAACAGCGTACAAAGGTTCCCTTTTCCCCAAAACCTTGCTAGCATTTGTTATTGCCTGTCTTTTGGGTATAAGTCATTTTAACAGGCGTGAGATATCTCATTGTAGTTTTAATTTGCATTTCTCTGATGATCAGTGATGTTGAGCACCTTTTTTATATGCCTGTTGGCCATTTTTATGTCCTTCTTTTGAGAAATGTCTATTCAAATCTTTTGCCCATTTTTCAATCAGGTTATTAGATTTTTTCCTATAGAGTTGTTTGAGCTCTTTATATATTCTGGTTGTTAATCCCTTGTCAGATGGGTAGTTTGCAAATATTTTTCTCTCATTCTGTGGGTCATGTCTTCACTTTGTTGATTGTATCCTTTGCTGTGCAGAAACGTTTTAATTTGATGTGATCCTATCTGTCCATTTTTGCTTTGGTTGCCTGCACTTGTGGGGTATTCATCAGGAAATCTTTGCCTAGACCAATGTCTTGGAGATTTTCTCCAATGTTTTCTTGTACTGTGGCTTCATAATTGGAGTTCTTAGATTTAAGTATTTAATCCATTTTGATTTGATTTTTGTATATGTCAAGAAATAAGGGTCTAGTTTCATTTTTCTGCATATGGATATCCAGTTTTCCCAGCATCAATTATTGAAGAGACTGTCTTTTCTCCACTGTATGTCCTTGGCACCTTTGTCAAAAATGAGTTCACTGTAGGTGTGTGGGTTTATTTCTGGGTTCTCCATTCTGTTCCATTGGTCTATGTGTCTGTTTTTATGCCAGTACCATGCTGTTTTGGTTACTATAGCTCTGTAGTATAAATTGAAGTCAGGTAATGTGATTCCTCCAGTTTTGTTTTTTTGCTTAGAATACCTTTGTCTATTTTGGGTCTCTTGTGGTTCCATATAGATTTTAGAATATTTTTTCTATTCTGTGAAGATTGTCGTCAGTATTCTGATAGGAATTGCATTGAGTCTACATATTGCTTTGGGTAGTACAGACATTTTAACAATATTAATTCTTCCAATCCATGAACATGGAATATTTTTCCATTTTTTGGTGTCCTCTTCAATTTCCTTCATCAGTGTTTTATAGTTTTCATTATAGAGATATTTTGCTTCTTTGGTTAAGTTAATGCCTAGGTATTTAATTTTATATGTGGCTATGATAAATGGGGTTACCTTTTTTCTTTTTCACATTGTTCACTGTTGGCATATAGAAATGCTACTGATTTTTATATGTTGATTTAGTATCATGCAACTTTACTAAATTTGTTTATCAGTTATAATAGTTTTCTTGTGGAGTCTTTAGGCTTTTCCAAATATAAGATCATATCATCTGCAAACAAGGATCATTTGACTTATTTCTTTTCAGTTTGTACGCCCTTTATATCTTTCTATTGTCTTAGTGCTCTGGCTAGGACTTGCTGTACTACGTTGAATAACAGTGGTGACAGTGGGCATCCTTGTCATGTTCCAGATTTTAGAGGAAAGGCTTTCAGTTTTTCCCCATTCAGATGATACTAGTTGTGGGTCTGTCATATATGGCTTTTATTATGTTGAGGTATGCTCCTTTTATCCTCAGTTTTTTGAGGGTTTTTATCATGAAGGGATGTTGAATTTTATCATATGCTTTTTCAGCATCAATTGAAATGATCATATGGTTTTTATCCTTCATTCTGTTGATATGGTATATCACATCGATTTGCATACATTGAACCATCCTTGCGTCTCAGGGATAAATCCCACTGGGTCATGATAAATGATCTTTCTAATGTATTGTTTGTGATTTGCTTGTATTTTATTGAAGATTTCTGCATCAATTTTCTTCAGAGATGTTGGCCTGTAGTTTGCTGTTTTTGATGTGTCTTCATCTGGTTTTGGTATCACGTTAATACTGGCATTGTAGAATCAGTTTGCAAGAATTCTCTCCTTCTCTATTTTTCAGAATAGTTTGAGTAGAATTGGTGTTAATTCTTCTTTAAATGTCTGGTCCCAGATTTTTCTTTAGTGGGACACTCTTTATTATGGCTTTGATCTTATCACTTGTTATTGGTCTGTTCAGATTTTGGATTTCTCCATGGTTCAATCTTGGTATGTAGTACGTATCTAAGAATCTGTCAGTCTCTTCTATATTTTCCAACGTATTGGCATATAGTTGCTCAAAGTAGCCACTAGTGATTCTTTAAATTTCTGCAGAATAAGTTGTAATGTCTCCTTCTTCATTTCTAATTTTATTTATTTGGATCTTCTCTCTTTTTTCTTAGTCCGGCTAAAGGTTTGCCGATTTTATTTATCTTTAAAAAACAACTTTTTGTTTCTCTGATGTTTTGTATTGTATTTTTTCATTTCAATTTCATTTATTTCTACTCTGATCTTTATTATTTCTTTTCTTCTCCTGATTTTGGGTTTGGTTTGCTCTTGCTTTTCTAGTTCCCTTAAGATACATCATTAGACTGTTCATTTGAAGTTTTTCCTCTTTTATGATGCAGCCACATACAGCTGTAAACTTCCCCCTTAGTACTGTTTTTGCTGAATCCTATAGGTTTGGGTATGTTGTGTTTCCATTATCATTTGTTTCAAGAAATTTTTCAATTTACTTCTTGATTTCTTCATTGACCCACTGGTCATTCAAGAGCATATTGTTTAATTTCCATGTATTTGTATAGTTTCCACAATTCCTTGTTATTAATTTATACTTTTATTCCATTGTGATCAGAGAAGATGCTTACTATTATTTCAATTTTTTAAATGTTTTAAGACTTGTTTTGTGCCCTAACACATGGTCTATCCTTGAGAATGATGCATGTGGTAAGGAAAACAATGAGTATTCTGCAGTTCTTGGATAAAATGTTCTGTAACTATCTGTTAGATCCATTTGATTTATAGTACAGATTAAATCTGGTGTTTCTTTCTTAATTTTCTGTTTGGAAAATCTGTCCAATGCTGAAAGTGGGATGTTGAAATCTCCAGCTATTATTGTATCTCTCTTTAGTTTGAATAATATTTCTTTTATATACCTGGGTGCTCCAGTGTTCAGTGCATATATATTTAAAATTGTTATATTCTCTTGCTGAATTGAGCCCTTTATCATTATATAGTGACCTTGTCTCTTCTTATATTTTTTGTCTTTGAAAGCTATTTTGTGTGATATAAGTATAGCCAGTCCTGATCTTTTTTGGTTTCCATTGGCATGGAATATCTTTTCCCATCCCTTTATTTTCAATCTATGTGTGTCTTTATAGGTGAATTGTATTTCTTGTAGGCAACAGACCAATGGATCTTGCTTTTTCATCCATTCAGCCTATCTGTGTCTTTTGATTGGAGAGTTTAGTCATTTACATAAAACATTATTATTGATAAGTAAGGAATTAACTCCTGCTATTTTGTTATTTGTTTTCTGGTTGTTTTGTGGTCTTCTCTTCCTTCTTTCTTTCATCCCTGTCTTCCTCTAGTGAAGGTGATTTTCTCTGGTAAATGATTTAGTTTCTTGCTTTATATTTTTTGTGTGTTCATTATATGATTTTTGATTTGAGGTTACCATGAGGCTTGCAAATACCACCTTATAACCCATTATTTGAACGTGATAACAACTTAACACTATTTGCATAAGCAAGGAAAATGAAAACTATTAAAAACTCTATGCTTTAACTTTGTCTCTCTGCTTTTTATTATTATTATTATTATTATTATACTTTAAGTTTTAGGGTACATGTGCACAATGTGCAGGTTTGTTACATATGTATACAAGTGCCATGTTGGTGTGCTGCACCCATTAACTCGTCATTTAGCATTAGGTATATCTCCTAATGCTATCCCTCCCCCCTCCCCCCACCCCACAACAGTCCCCAGAGTGTGATATTCCCCTTCCTGTGTCCATGTGTTCTCATTGTTCAATTCCCACCTATGAGTGAGAACATGCAGTGTTTGGTTTTTTGTCCTTGCGATAGTTTACTGAGAATGATGGTTTCCAGTTTCATCCATGTCCCTACAAAGGACATGAACTCTTCATTTTTTATGGCTGCATAGTATTCCATGGTGTATATGTGCCACATTTTCTTAATCCAGTCTATCATTGTTGGACATTTGGGTTGGTTCCAAGTCTTTGCTATTGTGAATAGTGCCGCAATAAACATACGTGTGCATGTGTCTTTATAGCAGCATGATTTATAGTCCTTTGGGTATATACCCAGTAATGGGATGGCTGGGTCAAATGGTATTTCTAGTTCTGGATCCCTGAGGAATCACCACACTGACTTCCACAATGGTTGAACTAGTTTACAGTCCCACCAACAGTGTAAAAGTGTTCCTATTTCTCCACATCCTCTCCAGCACCTGTTGTTTCCTGACTTTTTAATGAACGCCATTCTAACTGGTGTGAGACAGTATCTCATTGTGGTTTTGATTTGCATTTCTCTGATGGCCAGTGATGATGAGCATTTTTTCATGTGTTTTTTGGCTGCATAAATGTCTTCTTTTGAGAAGTGTCTGTTCATGTCCTTCGCCCACTTTTTGATGGGGTTGTTTGTTTTTTTCTTGTAAATTTGTTTGAGTTCATTGTAGATTCTGGATATTAGCCCTTTGTCAGATGAGTAGGTTGCGAAAATTTTCTCCCATTTTGTAGGTTGCCTGTTCACTCTGATGGTAGTTTCTTTTGCTGTGCAGAAGCTTTTTAGTTTAATTAGATCCCATTTGTCAATTTTGGCTTTTGTTGTCATTGCTTTTGGTGTTTTAGACATGAAGTCCTTGCCCATGCCTATGTCCTGAATGGCAATGCCTAGGTTTTCTTCTAGGGTTTTTATGGTTTTAGGTCTAACATGTAAGTCTTTAATCCATCTTGAATTAATTTTTGTATAAGGTGTAAGGAAGGGATCCAGTTTCAGCTTCCTACATATGGCTAGCCAGTTTTCCCAGCACCATTTATTAAACAGGGAATCCTTTCCCCATTGCTTGTTTTTCTCAGGTTTGTCAAAGATCAGATGGTTGTAGATATGTGGCATTATTTCTGAGGGCTCTGTTCTGTTCCATTGATCTATATCTCTGTTTTGGTACCAGTACCATGCTGTTTTGGTTACTGTAGCCTTGTAGTATAGTTTGAAGTCAGGTAGCATGATGCCTCCAGCTTTGTTCTTTTGGCTTAGGATTGACTTGGCGATGTGGGCTCTTTTTTGGGTCCATATGAACTTGAAAGTAGTTTTTTCCAATTCTGTGAAGAAAGTCATTGGTAGCTTGATGGGGATGGCACTGAATCTATAAATTACCTTGGGCAGTATGGCCATTTTCACGATATTGATTCTTCCTACCCATGAGCACGGAATGTTCTTCCATTTGTTGTATCCTCTTTTATTTCATTGAGCAGTGGTTTGTAGTTCTCCTTGAAGAGGTCCTTCACATCCCTTGTAAGTTGGATTCCTAGGTATTTTATTCTCTTTGAAGCAATTGTGAATGGGAATTCACTCATGATTTGGCTGTTTGTCTGTTATTGGTGTATAAGAATGCTTGTGATTTTTGTACATTGATTTTGTATCCTGAGACTTTGCTGAAGTCGCTTATCAGCTTAAGGAGATTTTGGGCTGAGACAATGGGGTTTTCTAGATATACAATCATGTCATCTGCAAACAGGGACAATTTGACTTCCTCTTTTCCTAATTGAATACCCTTTATTTCCTTCTCCTGCCTAATTGCCCTGGCCAGAACTTCCAACACTATGTTGAATAGGAGTGGTGAGAGAGGGCATCCCTGTCTTGTGCCAGTTTTCAAAGGGAATGCTTCCAGTTTCTGCCCTTCAGTATGATATTGGCTGTGGGTTTGTCATAGATAGCTCTTATTATTTTGAGATATGTCCCATCAATACCTAATTTATTGAGAGTTTTTAGCATGAAGCGTTGCTGAATTTTGTCAAAGGCCTTTTCTGCATCTATTGAGATAATCATGTGATTTTTGTCTTTGGTTCTGTTTATATGCTGGATTACATTTATTGATATGCGTATGTTGAACCAGCCTTGCATCCCAGGGATGAAGCCCACTTGATCCTGGTGGATAAGCTTTTTGATGTGCTGCTGGATTCGGTTTGCCAGTATTTTATTGAGGATTTTTGCATCAATGTTCATCAAGAATATTGGTCTAAAATTCTCTTTTTGGTTGTGTCTCTGCCAGCCTTTGGTATCAGGATGATGCTGGCCTCATAAAATGAATTAGGGTGTCTCCCTGCTTTTTAACTTTTTGTTGTTTCTCTTTTTTTCTGAGAGAGAGTCTTGCTCTGTCGCCCAGGCTGGAGTGCAGTGGCATGATCTTGGCTCACTGCAACCTCTACCTCCTGGGTTCAAGCAATTCTCCTGCCTCAGCCTACCGAGTAGCTGGGATTACAGGCACATACCACCACGTCAGGCTAATTTTTGTATTCTTTAGTAGAGACAGTGATTCACCATGTTGGCCCACTGGTCTTAAACTCCTGACCTCGTGATCCACCCACCTCAGCCTACCAAAGTGCTGGGATTATGGGTGTGAGCCACCGCGCTCGGCCTGTTGTTTCTCTTTATATCTTATTGTACTATGTCTTAAAACGTTGTTGTAGTTATTATTTTTGATTGGTTCATTGCTTAGTCTTTCTACTTAGGGTAAGAGTAGGTTACGTACCACAGTTTCACTGTTATAATATTCTGTGTTTTTCTGTGTACTTACTATTCCCAGTGAGTTTTGTACCTTCAGGAGATTATTTATTGCTCATTAATGTCCTCTTCTTTCTGACTGAAGTACTCCCTTTAGCATTTCTTGTAGGATAGCTCTGGTATTGATCCCTCAGCTTTTGTTCGTCTGGGAAAGTCTTTATTTCTCTTTCAAGTTTGAAAGGTATTTTCACTGGATATACTAATCTAGGGTAAAAGTTTTTTTTCCTTCAGCATTTTAAATATGTCTTGCCACTCTCCCCTGGCCGCTAAAATTTCCACTGAAAAGTCTGCTGCCAGACACACTGGGGCTTCATTGTATGTTATTTGTTTCTTTTCTCTTGCTTGCTTTTCGGATCCCTTCTTTATCTTTGACCTTTGGGAGTTTGATTAAGTCTCCTTTGGAGACTACCTTGGAGGTCTCCTTAAATTTGCTTAGTGTTCTATAACCTTCCTGTTTTTGGATATTGATATCTTTCTCTAGATTTGGGAAGTTTTCTTTTATTATCCCTTTGAATAAACTGTCTACCCGTATCTCTTTCTCTACCTCCTCTTTATGGCCGATAACTCAGATTTTCCCTTTTGAGGCTATATCCTAGATCCTATAGGCATGCTTCATTGTTTTTTATTCTTTTTTATCTCCTCTAACGGTATTTTCAAATAACCTGTCTTCAAGCTCACCACTTCTTTCTTCTGCTTGATCAATTCTGCCATTAAAGGATTCAGATGAATTCTTCAATATGCCAATTGCATTTTCAGCTCCAGAATTTCTGGTTGATTCTTTTTAATTATTTCAGTCTCGTTGTTAAATTTATATGATAGAATTCTAAATTCCTTCTCTATGTTATCTTGAATTTCTTTGAGTTTCCTCGACTCAGTTATTTTGAATTCTCCGTCTGAAAGGTAAAGTATCTAGGGTCTTATTTAGTTCATTTGGTGAGGTCATGTTTTCCTGCATGGTGTTGATGCTAGTAGATGTCCTTCAGTGTCTGGGCATTGAAGAGTTAGGTAGTCTTCACTGTCTGGGCTTATTTGCAGCCACCTGTCTTGGGAAGGCTTTCCAGATACTTGAAAGGACTTGGGTGTTCTTATCTAAGCTATATCTGCTTTAGGGAGCACCCCAAGCTACAGTAACACTGTGGTTCTTGCAGACTCATGGAAGTACCACTTTGATGGTCTTATACAAGATCAGGAAGAATTCTCTGGATTACCAGGCAGAGGCTCTTTTTCCCTTCCCTTACTTCCTCCCAAACATAAAGTCTCTCTCTCTGTTCTGAGCCATCTAAAGCTGGGGGTGGCATGACACAAGCACCTCTATGGCCCTCACCACTGTGACTGCACTGGGTCAGACCAGAAGCCAGCACAGCACTGGATCTAACCCAAGGCCTGCTGTAACCACTTTCTGGCTACTGCCTATGTTCACTCAAGGCCCTGGGACTCTACAATCAGGAGGTGGCAAAGTGAGCCAGGCCTGTCTCCTTCCCTTCAGGGTGATAAGGTCCCCTAGGCCCTGGGTGGGTACAGAAGTGGCGTCTGGAGTCAGTGACTAAAGTAAAAAAAGACCTTAGAAGTCTACCTGGTATTCTACTGTATTGTAGCTGAGCTGGCACTCAAACCACAAGATACAGTCCTTCCCACTCTTCCCTCCCCTTTTCAAAGGCAGAGGAGTCTCACCCTATAGGCACCACCAACCCAGGCCATGAGGAGTACCAACAGACTACTCCTGATGTTCCCTTACAGCCCAAGGTCTTTTAAGTCAGCTTGGCATGAATACTGCCTGGCTTGGGACTCACCCTTCAGGGAAGTGGTCTCCCCTCTGTCCCAGGGCAGGTCCAGAAATGCCATCCAAGAGTCAGGATCTATAATCAGGAGCCCCACAAGCCTGCTTGGCTTTTTACCCCACTGTGGCCATGCTGGTACTTAAGGTGCAAGACAAAGTCCACTTTACTTTTCCCTCTGTTTTTCTCAAGCAGAAGGAGTTTTGCCCCATAGCCACCACAGCTGGTTACGTGGTGAGTCTCACCTGAGACCAGCAAGTCTCAGAGGCTCACTCAAGACCTTCGATGTAGGATCTGGGTATCACTGCTGGTTATTCAGGGCCCAAGGGCTTTTCATTTAGCAGGTGATGAATGCTGCCAGGATTGGGTCCTTTCCTTCAAGGTAGTGGGTTCCCTTCTGGCCTGGGGTGTGTCTACAAATGTCATCTGGGAGCTAGGGCCTGGACTGGGGACCTCACGACTTTGACCAGTGCCATATCTTGCTGTGGCTGAGCTAATATCCTAGATGCAAGACAAAGTCCTCCCCAATCTTCCCTCTCCTCTCCTCTCCTCAAGCAGAAGGGAGGGGTCGCTTTTAGAGCTATGAGCTGTGCATCCTGGGGTTAGGGGACAGGTGATGCCAGCACTCTCTTGGCTTTCCCCAGCTGGTATCTCAGTATGTTGCATGCATATGTTGCATGTCCACTGTCTCTGGGCCCAGTTCAGCACTAGGACTCACCTGTGAGTTGCACTCCTTATGGACTAGATTGCCTTTCAAGATTACCTGGAGACATAAAGCTGCTGGGTGTGGTGGAGGGGTGGCAACAATGATTCAGGACTGTTTTTTTCTATCTCTTCAGAGCCTCCTTCAGCAATATGAAATTAAAACCAGGTACTATAAGTGCTCACCTGATTTTTGCTTCTTATGAGGGTGTTTTTCTGTGCAGATGGTTGTTAACTTGGTGTCCCTCTATGGGGGATAATTGGTGGAGCTTTCTATTCTGCCACCTTGTTTCCTAAAACAAACCTTTAAAATGGGGCCTACATACTCTGTAAAAAATTAGAATGGATTCATCAGTGGCAAAATCATCTCAGTGCACACATTATACACCAGTGCTAGAGGGCTGAGGATCAAGACACTCTATTTTAAAGAATGGGTCATGTAACCTATTTGGAGTATAGTTTTGATTTTATATATATATCTATAAAATATATCTTTTGGTCAACAATTCAACACTTATAAATAAATAAAAAAACCATGGTTAGACAAAGATTTAGCTACAAAGATGACCACTACTGCATTATTCATAATACAGTAATGAAAAAATTAGAAACCACACATTAAGATATTGGTACATCCATACATGACTTAAGCAGCAACTAAAAGTGATGATACAGAAGAATGACATAAGATATTCTCAATATATTAAGTTTTAAAAGTAAGGCATAAAAACAACATTCATGGCAAAAACTTATACAGTATGTATATACACACACACATACATACTATGAATATATATATATATATATATATATATATATATATATGCATAGAAAGACTGGAAAGAAATTCATTAAGGTATTAATAGAATGGTGATAGAACTATAGAATTTTTGTCTGCATTTTCTTATCTTTCCCATGGTCATCATTGTCATAGATTGAGTTCCCTTTGCAAATAGTTTCTCAGATGAATATTTTCCTGATCTCAGTAACAATGTACAAAAAAGACTGCTCACAGAAACAACACCTATAAGAAGTAAGGAAAGCAGGGTCAGGCAGAAGAGGAAGTTGAGCTGCAATTGCAGTAGAGACCTCAACAGATCCCATAGGGAGTTCTGAAACTGGGATGGTCCTTCAGAGGCTAGAAAGGTATTCCTTGTACCCCTGTACTGACAAGCCATTAAATATGAGCTACTCCAAGGAGGGATATGACCTCGGAGAGGTAGTTCCCTTCAGCTGAGAGCACTGCCTGGTGAAGAACTCAGCTGTGACCTAGTTGCAGGTAGCATTACAGCAGTCAGGTGAAATGAGTGCCTAAATCTTTAGCTGGATGTGGGAAATTGGGTGGCACACCACATCTATAACAATATACCTTGTGCTACACATATCCACTCATTTTCTCTATTAAATTTACCTCATCTTTCTTTTTCTGGGGAAACTTACAAAATGAAGGCTAATCAGACAAACAACAGCCCTAGCCACTGGCAGCTGGTCATGGAGCTACAACTGATATTCATCACCTTCTTCCTCTATTTCTCAGTTTAAATTCTCCTCACTCTCACCTAGCATTTCTGCTGATTTAGTTGGTTTACTTAACAGGGAGGAGGCAAGGAACTATATCCTCAACCCTAGTCAACCCTGGAGGCCTAATCACCATGCCCTTCTCGGCCATGACTGCTGAATTTGCCCGTCTACTAACAAAATTGGGCATGGGAGTACCAATAGACAACTCAGAGGATCCAAATTCTTCCCTGAACCTTCTTCACCTAATGACCAGGGTCAAATAGCCCTGCCACTGATGACTCCTTTCTTTGACTGATGGTCTCTTTGTGCTATAAATCTATAGAGAACAAGCAATAATAATTTAAATTTAATAGTATTTTTTTTTCTGTGTCCTCTAGTGGAAGCATTCTCCTCTGGGAATCATAACCTCTAGATGACTGAACTTAGAATTATGGGGACTGAAAATACAGATTCTCCAAGAGGCAGTAAATGGATGATATGTAGGGCCACCCCTTTGTTCCTGGAGCCACATATTATACCTATTAGGAATACAGAACCACATGATAAGACATTAATTTGGGATAAATGCCACATCCTTGAAGATGGCCCCCCATCCCTGTACAGCATCATCCCAAAGTTGGCAACTCAGCTACACTTTCAAAAAGCTGTTTCATGCCACCATCTGACCAGCAGCTTCTGGGTGATGCAATATGTGACAGGACCAGGGATGATGCCACACCCCCACTGCCACTGCCATATTTTCTCTGCTATAAATTTGGTCCTTGGTCTAACATGCTATTAGGCAGGATTCCCTGTTTGTGGATCAGACACTCAGTAAGCCCTCAGATAGTGGGGCTGGTTGAGGCCCTGGGGACAGGAAAGCCATATTTATACCTGAAATATATGTTGATTCCAATCAAGATAAATTCTGTGTAGAAGGGGTCCAATATAATCAATTTGCATCAAATGATTGGTAGTTCTCCTTGAGCTAGACGTCAAGGCTGTTTCTCTGTTGGTCCTTGTAGCTGTCATGTTGGATTTTTGGCAGCAGCAAAAGCTAGATCAATCTTAGTGAGTGAGAAACTATACTCTTAAATTAATGCATAGTCTCCCTTTCTGCCATCATAGCTATTCTGTTCATGCAACCTTGTTCCTACCCTGGGGTAACCAATGACAGAGACTGGCTGACATCAACTGACCAAAGCATTAATTTACTTGGTTTTTTCTTTTTTTTCTTTTCTTTTTTTTTTTTTTTGAGACAGAGTCTCACTCTGTCACCAGGCTGGAGTGCAGAGGTGCTATCTCGGCTCACTGCAACCTCCGCCTCCTGGGTTCAAGCGATTCTCCTATCTCAGCCTCCCGAGTAGCTGGGATCACAGGCACACACCACCATGCCCAGCTAATTTTTAGTAGAGATGGAGTTTCACCATGTTAGCTAGGATGGTCTCAATCTCCTGACCTTGTGATATACCCGCCTCAGCCTCACAAAGGGCTGGGATTACAGGTGTGGGCCACCGTACCCAGCCGGTTGTTTCATTCTTTTCCTTCACATTCAGGAACACTGAAATGTGGTGCAAGTATCTTCACATTTAGGGCACACTTGCATAGGGCCATCCATATTTCTCTTCCCCATATCTGCTTGTCCCCAACATTCTAATCACTCTCCTTCAGACCCCTGACCATTTAGTCAAGCCATTTGCAACAGTCCATGAGGCAGTATATATTTACTCCTTTGACCACTTCTTCTACCATACAAAGAGGAAGATGAGCTGCACTGCCCAAAGCTGTGTTCACTGGAAGGATTCCTCTTTACATAACCACATACAAAACCAACATATCCACAACCAAGCTTGCCTTTGTCAGCTGATCATATGAGACTATGTATGTAGCCCTAGGTATAAGATGGGGGAGTAGAAATGGTGCAAGAGTAGTGGATGGCATGGGAGTCTGGGCTACTTGCTCATGCAGCCTTCTTGTGCCCTCTGACCCTGCTCATGCTCAATCCCAGATGTACCACTTCTATACTGGATTGCTGTTGGATTGTAATTTATGACTTAGTGGGTCTGATAGAACTCAAGTAAGGTAGACAGTTCAGGCCACATGGCCACTCAAAGTTCTGTGATTAGGTGCTCTGTTTCTACCAGAACCCAGAAGCACACAAGGATCTGATTTCCAATTAGTACATAATTCTCCGCCATAGATGGTATGGCATTGCTTCAGAGCCCTAGGTGTGTACATTGTCATGAACCCTGGAAATATTATTGGTCTGTCTCCTCCACCAACCCTTTCAAAGCATGGCTAGGATTGCACACCATACAGGCTGACCATTTTCTTGATGATATAAAGGCTTGTGAGCCTCTTCTAGATGGTTTAAACTCAAACAATACACTAGTAGAACTGACTGTGTCTGGCAATGGAGATGCTGTAAACGTCAAGCCAAATCAGAAGTTGGTGGTGGAAATAGAAACATCCTGAGTATTTTCAGAAAGCACACATCACAATCAGTAACAATAAGAACAATAAAACAGCCATGTCATTAATTGAGCATGTGCTAAGCAATCACATTGTTTCATTATTTTATTTAATCCTCACAATAATCACGTGTGAAGTAGGTGCCATTTTTCTCATTTTTGTAAATACAAAAGTTAAAGCATTGTAAGCCACCATGCCCAGTCAAATTATTTAATATGCTTTTAAAATTATTTTCAAAGGATATTAAATTATTTAAAAGCATATTAAATAATTTGGCTGGGCATGGTGGCTTACACCTGTAATCCTAGCACTTTGGGAAGGTGAGGTGGGAGAATTGCTTGAGGCCAGGAGTTCAAGGCTGCAGTGAACCATGATCATGCCACTGCACTTCAGCCTGGGCTACAGAGGGAGACCCTGTCTCAAAAAATTAGTTAATTAGTGAATTAATTTAAAAATAAATATTAAATAGTTTTCCAAGTCACACAGTAAAAGTGTCATATCAGGGATTTAAACACAAATTCATCTGACTCTAAATGCTAGGTTCTTTCCCGCTGTATTGTAACCACTCCTCAAATTATGAAATTCTCCCCATGAGATAATCTTTCAATATTTTCTATTGATTCTTGGTCATCTTCTAGAGAAAACAAGTGAATCTGGAAAGTTAAGGTGAGTTATAAAGAATGTTTAGCATTTTTTTTTAAAAAAGAAAACCATTTTTATTATAGAAGAAAATCATGTTCATTATCAGATAACCATAAACTATTTGTGGAGCCATCACTTGCCCCCCGTTCTTAGGCCTGACTATTGAGATTTACTCAGACATGCCATGTACTTTATTCGCCTTTCATTGTCCCTCACCACAAATTGAGTCCTTCCCAACCTACACAATTTAAGTCTTTTTAAGTCCACTGAGTTCATATACAATTATGGACATAGTTTGAATATTTTCCCAAAGAGGCTACTCCACTTTCTTATAAATCAAGGGTGTAGCTAAGTACTTCGAGGGCGAGGAAGTGGATTTATCTAATCCCACTGTCTCAAAGTCCTATCTAGTCGTTGCATCAAACTGTGCACCAATATCAAGTTCTGTTCTACTTCATACGTGTGGGAAGATGATAATCACAGGTGATTTGACGTGGCTAATAAAATATAAATGGAAAATGTGATGTATCACGTCTAGGTTGGAAACAGAATATTTAACATTTCTTTATAGCATTTCCTGATCAGAATCTATTTCAGACAAACATTTCTTCTAGCCAATGCTATTTGGTGACCAATTCCTACCATGGTAAGATAATGTAGTGGATACTTTATGAATCAATGTTACAATTTGACTATAAAATGTGTTTTATTGTGCATATATTGTGTAGCACCAGCTGAAGAATTCGTCAGAATAAGCTAACTGCTAATAACAAATAATTCCTGAATCTCAATGGCTTCCTACAGTAAAAGTTCATTTTTTCCTACTCATGCAAATGTTTGTAAGGATATTCTTTGATGGGCATAATTTCTGAGTAGCTCACCCCCAAGTGATGACTCAGGTATCCAGTCTCCATTAATCTTGTAAGGCACAATCT
The DNA here is from genome assembly GCF_000001405.40 of Homo sapiens. NCBI lineage: Eukaryota > Metazoa > Chordata > Mammalia > Primates > Hominidae > Homo > Homo sapiens. Next base: position 54,082,925 of record NC_000014.9, read on the forward strand.
TCATGCAGTCCCTCCAAGGTTGCCATGAAAGGTAAGGAGAGTATGGGCAAGGCACATAGAATACTTAACCACCTTAGCCAGGAAGTGACATGGATCATTTCCATTCATAGCCCATTGGCCAGAACTTGTCACATGGTCACACCAAAAATCAAAGAAGCTGGGAAATGGAGTCCCCAATTGGGCAGTTGCAACATAGCTACAACTCTACATTATAGGAGGGTCCATGTCTCAGGTAGTCACTCAGCTGTTTCAGCCACAGCTGGTGTCAGCTGATTTGGGTTTGCAAAAAGCTTTTTAAAAGCAAGATCACTCAAATAGTTTTCTTTACTAGACACTGACACCATAACTAGTTGTCATACAAATCAATAAGTTATCCCATGCATTTTGCTGGATGAATTAACCAGACTGCAGTGGGTTGAATGGTGGCCCCCCAAAAAAGATATGTCCACCTGGAACCCATGCATATGACCTTATTTGGAAAAGGGTCTTTTCAGATAAAATTTAGTTAAAGATCTTAAGATGAGATCATCCTAGATTAACTGGGTACACCCTAAATTCAATGATATCTGTCATTAAAAGAGAAAGAGAATGGAATAGAGAAGAGAAGAAGGCCATGTGCAAATGTAGGGAGAGATTGGAGTGATGCCACCACAAGCCAGTAAATGCCTGGAGCCACTACAAACTACATGAGGCTCCCCCAGAGACTTCAAAGGGAGCATGAATGGCCCTGATGACAACTTGATTTTGGACTTCTGGCCTCCAGAACTGTGAAAGACCACATTGCTGTTGTTTTAAGCCCCCAAGTTTGGGGCACTTTGTTATGGCAGCCACAGGAAACTAATACATAGCCTAAAGTAGTATGTTATGAACTGAACTGTGTCCCTCCAAATTTCATGTGTTGAATCCCTAATACGGTAGGACTTGTATCTTTATAAGAAGAGGAATACACACCAGGGGTGCATGTGCACAGAGAAAAGACCATGTGAAGACACAGCAAGACGACAGCCATCTATAAGCCAAGGACAGGCCTCAGGAGAAACCACACCTATTGACATCTCCATCTTGGACTTCCAGCCTCCAGAACTTGATAAGTATATTCCTGATGTTTAAGCCACCAGATGGTGGCATTTTGTTATGATAGCCCTAGTAGACTAATACAAGATGTGCCAGAGAGATTTTCTAGAGGTAAAACTTCTAATGAAAGAACCAGAAGGCCCAGAATGTCCACATTTGAGAGAGTACTTCTAATTTAATAAGCGAATAAATATAATCATAAGCCAAAAGCATGTATAATGTAGGCTTCTTACCTATGATACGTGCTTAGCATAGTACCTAGTACAGAGTAAACACGAACATTTTTTCAACAATTTCAGCAATTTCAACATGAACATTTTTTCATTTCTAAAACAAGTTATATACAGCCAATAAATATATTTTCCCTTAAAAATCTATTTTTAAATAATGATTTTTATTATAATTGAGGCATCTTATAATCAAGGAAATAAAGTATATACAAGCACAATATTAAGCACTTAACATGCTGTATTGCCTTTAATACTCCCAACAATCCTAAGGTTTGTGCTGTTAATGGAGCATTGGCAATGGCCTGCACCAGCTCAAAAGAGCTAATTGTGCTCATCTTTCCCCAACTCTGGTTGGCAACTTGAAATCAGCCACAGTGCAAGTATTTATACAATGGAAATTGCCATTTATCAATGTACCACTAGACTAGACACTATTATTATTCCTACCACACAACTAAGGAAACAGAGAGGCTTACTAACTTGCCTCAGTTAATGCTAAGCAGCAGATCTCAGATTTCAATCCAGGTAGATGGGATTCCCAAAGCACAGACTCTTAATGCCATTGTTAGGCTGCCACCCACTTGAATAGTATTTAACATAAAGCCATAGCTATAGTAGTAATTCTGGAACTTCCTAAATACCATAATAACAGCAATGTTTCCTTTGTTCAATTAGTTAAGTTTTGAAGATTATATACTAGCACACATGACAAAAAGTAAAACCATTACTAGGTAAAATGGAAATGAATTTGCCAAGTTATATGGGCACCTGGTTTTCACATCATTAAAAATGATACATGTAATAAGATGCTATTGAGATACCTAACAATAGTACCATAGGTTTACCACTGTCAAAACTTAATAATCCAACAATGTAAATTCCTTGTTCTTTAAATAATAACCTTGTTTAAAGTTATACAGTACATATAGTACATAATCAACAGTAATGCATTCTTTAAATGAGATATTTATCATTTTCTTCCTACAAAGTTTGGATTATGGTTGTTATTCAGGAATGTATAAACTATGGACTGGAGAGGGAGTTATCTCTCTTTTTTCTGGTGGTGAGGGAAGACAGGATGTAATCTAACTTTACTTTTGCTTCCAAAGATCAGCAAGTTTACAACTGTAAGCAAGAAAGGAATTTGGTCCCACTTAAAATGCCTGCAATTACTGATTTTGACTAAAAGCTAGGAAGGAAAAAAAGCTGCTTCAAGGGATTATAAAACTCCCCCAAAGGCCAGAAAATAGACTGCATTTATTTTTCTTGCAGCTCACAAATATTCATAGTTTCAAGAGTACTTGATAAAGGACAAAAAAAAAAAAAAAAAAGAATACTAGACTCTTTTACCCTATTCCCTAAAGTTGATGGGATAAACAGTTCCCAGCCACTCCCAGTCACTTTCATGAACCTAAGAAAATGCTGTTGTCTCTTTAAAAACAAGAGATTGAGAAAGGAAAGGCAAAATCTGAGATCCTATGACTATTACCTCATGGAAGCATGCAGATTCTAGCTTGTTTCCAAATCTTTGGTTGTGGAACAGAAGCAAAAAGGACCTCCTTCCTTCCTTTCTTCCTTCCTTTCTTCCTTCCTTTTTTAATAACTTAGGGGAATTGATAAGTGGGACAGTAGGAAAAAAATGCTTGTCACCACACAATGGACCATAAGTAATGTTAAAAACAGGACGGAGAGGTTAGGGTCCTCAGCACTCCTTGCTAATTACCCATCTTTTTTCCACTCTACATTCTTAAAGGTTTCTTGAAATGAAAACAAAGGAATCCAACCAAAACCAACATTTTGATGAGTAAAGTGTAAATGAATGAGAAACAGATGGGCTTGGTTTTCCCAGGAGTCTATAAATGAAGGGCAAGGTACTTGGGGCAAAACGCATCGGGGCTTCACTGGCAAATTCTTTGCTCTGTTAACGAACCCAAAATGCAGCCAAAGTTCATGCACCCACATCTCCACATATTGGCAGGACTCAGAATGAAGGATCTGGATGCCAAAGAAGCAGGCTTTGGAGACCCCCAGGACATTGTTCGGCACCTCACAAATCATATTTTACAGGTGCCAAAGGCAGTTGCAAATCTCACATGTGCAGCCAGAAGTTTTCATTCAAGAACCCAGCAATTTTGGCTTTGATCAGAAACCACAGATTGGTGTAAACATTTTTCTTGCCACGTTTTATGATATTTATGCTTTGCGTGGATCCTCCTGGTCTTATGATGACAAAGTGTTCTGCAGGCATCTGCTGCCAAGTCATCTCCACCTTAGCCTTCAGGTGGAGAAACAAGGCCTAAGTAGAGGAAGCGTGATGTGCCAGAGGTCATTCCCTAAATCAGAGGGGAAGAGCTCGTCTTTGTGCATCCAGGCCAAGGCTGAATGCCCCTCCTGTCTCTCCTTGGGATTAGTATCTCCCTACTGTCTTCAAATCATGTATATATCAAGTTACAGCTCAGAAAGAATGCATTTTTGGTTTTTCATTTTGGGGGTAAGTATAGGCCCCCAAACCACGGATAATTTGAAAACCATCCAAACTGACTTTAAGATTTTTGAAAATAATTTATTTGGCAATCCTAAGACCCAGGATTGGCTATTTGGCCAAAGTAACATTCCCTTCAGTGCAAATACTACAATTAATGGGCCACATCGTCCTCCGCTCTAGAGCAACATAAGCGGCCAGCTGCTGGAGAACGCTGTGCGGTCTTCCAGTGTAAACGCCACTGATATCGTCACCATCAGAAGGCTATAAAACTGATTGATTATAAACACAGCTCTCATTTGTTTACAGCTTACATTTTTGGGTTCATGGTAATTAGCACATTAGCCATCTCTCAGGGTGAGGGCTCACAGGTGCTGGGAGAGAGCCTTCCAAGGGAAACCAAGCCAGGAGGAGACCACAAAACCTTTCACAAAGCAAGCACTGGCCTTTACCAAAAACAGACTGGGAAAACGCTGATTCTGCTGAGTACAGGGTAGTTGGTAACACCTACATGGGGTCACCTGTAAGGAAGGGCATTTAACTCCCATAAGCAACTTCTTCTAACACAAGGTAAGGTTGGAAAAAATCCAAGACATGTTAGAAATGTGCGGGAGATGTCCTCTGTGAGGAGCCCACAGCTGCTAGAGCCTTTTAAGATTCCTTCCCTTTCTCTCAGGTCAGCAAAGACAGATAAAGATCACCCTTGCTAGTGGTAACTGGTACTTAGTTTCTTTCAGTTATGGTTAAAATAAACTCTTTTAGTCTTATAAAGATGCTGCTTCTCAGACACTCAGAGAAAGCAGCCGGCTCGGCTGTCTCCCTGGATTTTTATTCTTGTCTCAGTTCCTGCCCCTTCCAGTTTTGCTGAGCTTTCCACCATCAAGGCAGGTTTTATTTGGACAGCTGGGGCCATCAGATTGGTGCAGATTGTCTAATTAGTCAACCAAGCCTCTTGGGTAAGTGAGTTTTCCATATTAGCCTCTGTGAGAACTCCGGAGAGCCTAAAAAGCTTCCTAAATCATTAAAAGGATATCCTTTTAAAGGAATGTGCTCGTGGTTTTGGTTGTGAGATCAGAGAACTAGCCTTTTAAAAACAAACAAACAAACAAAACAAAAACCCTGTTTTACTAAATTCCTAAATCTTTTTGCCTAGCACAAAATTATTTTCAGTATCTTGTGATGAACGGTTAACAAGTCAAGGGCTCTGGATCTGAATACAGAACATTCAAATTTGTTCATCACAGGCCACATTCATGGTCAGAAATTTGAATTCCATTTTCCATTCATGATATTATTTTAATAATTAATATTCATATTGAGTTTTACAGTTTTCTAAGTTCCTTTATCTATATTATCTCTTTTGATCTTCATAGCAATGCCACGAAGTTGGGCGAGCACCACGATATCTGCGTTTTGTAGTTTTGGAAACAGACTCAGAAAGATTAACTGACCTATGCCAGATGCCAAAAAGCAGTAAAATGCTAAGTCTTCTCATTTGAAATTCACTTTCTTTGACCTTCATCACACAATTTGTGGGAGTTTTAATATGAAGGATATTCCTTTGAAGTCTTTGTTTTGTCTGCTTTCCAAACTTTAGCTGCTAGAATAGGAGAGTTGGCAGCTAATTTCTTGGTGTAGAGAAGTAGCTGCAAATAATAATCAAGTGGTCTTTAGGTATTTCAACTATCTGTAAATACCTAGTTAAAACACTACAGATATATTGTGAAAGAGCTCAAATAGGAGCATGTGCTTGCTTCATCGAGTTGCCGAAGTTCAATTTATGTTGTACTGCAGTGTTTCCATTGGCACTGCATATTGATTATTTCCACAATTTTTAAAAGATATGCTCAACACTTTGCTTATATTTCATTGACTTTACTTGCTGTAGTGATTACTTGAGGGGTCACACTAAAATTTTGGTATTCGTGAAACCTTAAGGGCAAGAAATAAAAATGTCAGACTAATCAATATTTCCAGATACATTTGTTCTCATAAAGAAATTCTAAGAATCAAAGAATAGGATTTGGGGCAATATCTCCCATTGGGATGATTTCCACTCCAAGCAAATGAAGATGGGTTTTGATGAGTTCAATCATTCAACTTATTTTTATCAGCTTCTATCACATACTAGGCACTTGTGCTAGTTCTAGGGATGTCTGAGTGAGTAAGAGGAGATCAGGTACTGTTATCCTAGAAATTCCAGTCTAATAAGGAGCCTTCCTTGGGGAGCCTCTCCAGCTGCCAAGAGATGCCCTTCTTCTTTGCTCTCATAACACCATGTGCATATTGAATTTCCTTACATTTGGCACACCAAATAATAACTGTTGACTTGATCTGTTGGCCACCTTTCTGTCTTACTCATAATCATGTCCCTAGTCCCTGGGTCCTTGACTGGCCTGCAGTAAGTTTAATAAATTCTTCAGTGAATAAACGAATCTTATTTCATGCTGGATTAGAAACCCAAACCACAAATGTCAAAAAAACCATCTTATCTATATAGCCCAGTGTGATGCCTTTAGAAAACCCCCTTGTCAAAACTGACTTTCAGAATTTGTTAGGACGCATAAAACACACTTTGTAGCTGGAGAAGATTGGGCACTATTACAACTCATTGAATACACATTTAAAAAAAATTCCTCTCTACCCCCATTTATCCTCCTCCTCTTCTTAGCCATCTCTCTACTTTTTCAGCTGTTATTTTCTTTAGCTACCTTTCGCTCGCTGCTTCATAGCTAATGTTGTAGCTGTACCTTCTGCCCTTCACATGTCTAATTATTCTCATGCTTCATCATCCCTTTAACTTCTTTTCATATTTCATTCTAACTTACAAGAGTTCATTCTCGACAACTGCTATAGAAGAGATCATCAAAAATTCTACTATATAATATTAGGCAGAATTCAAATAAGCCTTAGGTTTTCCTGGTAAGCTCTTTGATAAAAACACAATGTAAATTTTTCAGGTAGAAAGTCCCATGAAGAATACAAGGTGGGGCCACACAAGTGAGCCACACAGACAGGTCGAGGAGAGATCTTGCTCCAGGTCTGAGTTAGCTGTGTAGACCAGACCAGTTCTGTCAGGATATCTGACATGATATGATGCCTAGATGATGATAAGAGATGATAAGACCTAGGGAAGTCAACTCGTCCTAACCAAGCCCAAAGAAGTCAAATGTCATTTACTTCCTTTAAAATGAGATTTACAACTTCTCAACAGATTAAATTCCCAGTTTTTCAAATTAGTCCATTTTTGTTTGTTTCCACTTATTTTTATAGGCAGATATATATAAGAAGCTAAATCATAATCCACTTCCTCATTCAGCACAGAATTAGAGCAAGGGGAATTGATTGGATTCAAGAGGCATTTATCCACTTCTCTTAAAAATTCTGGAGACGAACTGAAAAGTATTCAGAGCATACCTCTTTCATAGATGCAGTCACAGATCACCCATTTTCTGTCACCACAATCTTCCACATGGGTATCATAATATTAATTTCTCTTCATCTAGGTTGATATACTTTACTAGCTTAAGGCTTGATTGTAATATGCATACAACCACAGATACCTAATGAGTACCTACTAAGGGCCAGGCACCATGGCAGGATCTGAGGACACAAAAATAAATGAGACAAGGCCTAGGTCCTTGAATCTAGTAGAGGGAAATAGCCATATAAACAAATAGATGTCTTAAAAAGATGTTATAGATACTTTGAAGGAAGTCCATGCCAGGTACTAAGTTCAATTCTAGCTGGCTAGCATGGGGTGTGGCTGGTTAGAAAAGGTTTCTTAGTGGCAAATGACTTCAGTTGTATATATGAACCAGCTAAAGGGAGGAGGAAGGAGAACATTCCAGCCACAAGGAATACTATGGGCAAAGACTGTCATTACATAGTTTTGTATATTTGAAGAATTTCCACTGGTTTGTAGAAATTCAGAAAAAAAAGACGCAGGCTAAACATAAGAAGAAATAATGAGCTAAGTTGTATGCATGTCAAGTTACAGGTGTCCATGGAAAACTCTAGCAGAATGATCCATTAGGCAGTAGATAATAGGTCTGGAGATGGAGAAGAAAGTAGAGCAGGAAATAGAGATTTGAAAATCATCAATACTCATGTTGAGTTGCAGTCTGGGGAGTGAATGCAATTGCCCCCAGGAGGGCATCCAGAGTGAAAACTGGGAAATAACTGAAAATTGTTTCAAAAAATGACATCTGGGAAACAATTTAAAAGGCATACAGAAAAAGAGGTAGCCATGATGGAGGCTGAAAGGGATTCAAAGTAAGTGGTTTGAGAACCAAGAAGGGAGAGAGCTCTAAGGACAAGGATAAATGTATAGGAAGAGCCAGAAAAGACAAGAACTGGGAAAGGCCTGTTGGATTCTGCTATAAATGGGTCACTAGGGCCTTTGGCAAAGTGGCTTAATATAGAGTACCTTAGACAGAAGCTCATGTTAGCAGACTAAAAGATGAAGCACACAAGTAGGCAAAGGATGTGTAGCTATTATTTGAGGAGATCAGCTTTACAGGAAAGGAAAGGAGTATTAGCCAGAGAATTAACAGATTTTTTTTCACCAATTTTATTCAACGTTTTACTGGCAGACCTATCCATTGGAATAAAGCTATAAAAAAAAATCAAAGGCCTAAATTTTGGAAGAAAGAAGTAAAGGTGTTCCTACTCACAGATATGATTTTTTTTTTGTAGAAAATCTTAGGGAATCTATAAAACAATTACTGGAGTAATAAATGAGTCTAACAAGGTCACAGAATACAAAGCTAATCAACTGCATTCTTATATACTACCAATAACAATTTGGAAAATAAAGTTTTTTAAGAAACCAATTTCAGTAATATATAAAACAAAAAAAAAACCCTGGAAATAAATCAACAAAAGATATATAATACTTCTACACTGAAAACTATAAAACATTGCTGAGAGATAGTAGAAAAGTTCAAAATAAATGAAGAGATAAACTATGTTCATGGATTGAAAGACTAATTAAGTGGTGCACAATTACTCAAAATAGAAGGAAGAAATGCTGGTTAGGCAATCAATCAGTTAGAGAGATATCCCTGAGAAGCAATAAGCTTTCCATTTTTAAAAAGTCCACTGCACTTAGGGTCTTACCACCAGGTGAAATATGCTGTGTTGGGCAGCTCCAATTTGGATTAATTTGTGGTCTCACCATCCTTTCCTGCAATAAAAGCCCTCATCCCAATTGCTGAACTGTCTTTAATATATTCATTTTTAATAACAATTTATTTGGTTTATCCATCTACCCAACCCCAATACTTACTCCAAATAGTATGTGATCCTTATGTGCAAGGCCCCATCATATTCATTTTGTCAATAGTGCAGGGCACATATTAAGTGTTCAACACATGGTTGTTGAACTGGGAAAAGACAATAGAAAGAAACTATAATTCAACATACATTCCTTACAATATTTTAAATTTATATATGCATATAATAATAGGAATCTATTATTTTTCTTTCCTACTCCTAGACCACAAAATGCCACCAGTTCAAACAATGTTTAAAAGGCATACATCTTAAGTAACAGTTAACTGCCTTTAACTCAAGGCAGTATGGTGCTCTTTGACAGAAAGCTGGAGCTAATAGTAACTTGGTCACTCAATCACTCAGGCATTGTTAGCCCTATTTTAAAAACGAGTAAACCATAGCTTACAGCAATTCAGTTACTGATAGAATTAAATGAAAGAATCCCAAATACAGTACACTTTCAGTAATTATTCTCTATTTTAGTTAAAGTTATATGTTTTAAGCTGTATGTAAGCAATATGTTTCCCTAAATAGTGCATAATTATTCTTTCCATAGGCTGTTTACCTCGAATTATAGTCAGCCACAGTGCTAAAAGCAGATGTTAGTCACTTCCTGAAAAGTCTTCATCCCCAAGATCTCAGGTCCTACAACTCTTGGTTTTTCCTAACCTAAGTCATCCTTCTATTTTCCCAACCACTGTGTTAGCTTCCTTCTCTTCTTCAACAGACTCTAAGCTGCATGATTCTGTTTTATCTTCACTAAGCATGGTTTCCTTCAAATAACTTAATGTAATTCATTTGCTTATTTGTTATTCATTCAAAATCTAATGGGAACCTCTGTCAAGCTGCTTCTAATCTTGTTTTGCCTTTTTTCTGACTTGCCTACTATACAGGAAGTTCCAAATCTGTTTTACTCACCACTGTATCTCCAGCTCCTATCATAGGATCAGACACATAATATACACTCAATAAAACTGGGTAAAGGTGTAAATAAATGAAAGAATTAACATATAAGATTTCCACTTCTGCATAAAAGTACAAGGAGCTCCATGAAGCCACTCTCCAGTGAAACTGGTGAAAATTATGATTAAGAAAAAAAAAGGAACACTTAAAGGAAATGGTTCTAAGGGCTTGCAAATGAAGAAACATTTATTCAACAAAATCTACTAAAACCCAGTAAGAACTGCAAGAGTGTGTAGGATTTGAATGAAGAATCATACCCTCCCTCCTCCTAGCAGTGAAACAGAAACTCCACTCCTGACTTGGTATAGCCAAAGATACAAGGCTTCCTTCCTCTCTCTCAAGCACCCAGTCAGAGGCTATTTCCCAGGAGGCAAAGGATGTCAGCAATTCTCATCCTGCCCTCAGCAACAGCCTCAACTGTTGCTGACACTAAATTCTTGGAAAGTGCAACAGTGAGGTGGGAGCTGCCATTTTCTGCCCAACCTCCACTCATAGGATGAAGAACATGGTGCCACTGAGAATACCAGGGCTCTTAATGCCCTAACTGCAGCTCATGGGGTAGGGGTTCCATACCAAGGAATGCAAGCTGAAGACACCAGGGTCTGCTGCCTCCATCCAGTGAGCACTTAGCTCTGAAAGCAGGCCTGTCACTCAGAAGGAAGTAATTTATTGTCTCCATCCCTCCTACCCCATTCAAAGAGCTCCCAAATCTCTTCCCCAACGAATTTACTTCATTTGCAACAAAGTGTGGAGTTTAGCCCCAAGGGCACTCTCGGAAATAAGGGAATTGTGGTGACAGGAAATTGGGAAGAGATTGATAGATTCAATTGAAGGGGACTAGTTCACTGGAGAGAAATGGGAAAACAGGCAGCTGGGAAGAACAACTGGAGTCTGAACAAATCCCAAATACTGCCCTCTGCAACGTTATCTTCCAAGGAGCCTGAATTTAATTAGTTTATGAAGCAATTTATGCCCCAAGACATTGTTGAAAACAATAGAGCAATCAGCTGGCAATTAGTAGTGCTTAATAGCTGGATGTGGTCAGAGAAAGAGACTGTCAAAGACTGTCACTGCCAAAACCACTTTCATCTTAGGGTGACTGTAGGCATACCCAAGATTGTGTCCCCTGAGGAGCAACATCAGAGGCTTCACACTGTAGGGGGGAAACAGACTGCACTAAAATAATCCAGATAGTCATTAAATAAGTACATAAGCAAATAACAATAATAAGTCCCACAGTGGGGAATCAATACCCAGAGTTGCTACAATATATTATCTAATATGTTCAGTTTTTATTTTTAAAATGGGACATGCAAATAAACAGGAAAGTATGATTCATTCACCAGAAAAAAGTAGGAAACAGAAACTGCCTGTGAGAGCAACCAGATGTTAAATTTAACAATGACTTCAAAGTAGCCATTATAAATGTGTTCAAAGAGCTAAAGGAAATCATAATTAAAGAGCTAAAGGAAGGTCTGATGACAATGTTGCATCAAATACAGAATCTCTATAAAGAGATAGAAATTATAAGGAAAAAACACAGTGGAAATTCTGGAGTTGAAAAGTACAATACCTGAAATTTTAAAATTCACTAGAGGAGCTCAACAGTAGATTTGAACTGGCAGAACAAATAATTAGCAAACTTGAGATAGATTGACAGAGATTATACAATCTGAGGAACAGAGAGAAAAAAGAATGAAGAAAAACAAATAGAGCCTTAGAAGATGTGAGACTCCATTAAGGATATCAATATACTCATAATGTAAGTATCAGAAAGAGAGGAGAAATACAAAGGGAAGAAAAAATATTTAAAGAAATAATAGCTGAAAAGTTCCCAAGTTTATTGAAAAACATTAATCTATACTTCCAGGAAGCCCAGAGAACTCCAAGTAGGATAAACAAGGATCTGCAAATTGATATATTGTAGTAAAAATATTGAAAGCCAAAGACAACAAGGAAATCCTGAAAGCAGAAAGCAAAAATTAACTCATTCTCATACAAGGGAACCCCAATAAGGTGAACAGCTGACTTCTCATCAGGAACAATGGACTCCAGAAGGTAATGGTATAATACATTTAAAATGCTCAGAGAAAAACAGCTGTCAGACAATAATATTCTATCCTACAAAACTATCTTTCAAAAATGAAGGCAGAATAGATTCCCAGATAAACAAAAACTGAGCAAATTTGTTATTAGCAGACATGACTTACAAGAAATACTAAAAATATTTCTTCAGGTTGAAAGCCCCAGATAAGAATTTGAATCCGCATACTAAAAAACAAAAAGAACCTGTAAAGGTAATTATGTAACTATAAAAGACAGTATAAATGCATATTTTTCTCCATTTCTTAACTGATTTTTAAAAAACCAATTGTATAAAACAGTATATTAAAAAAATTATTGCCGGGCCGAAACACATAGAAATGTAATATATTTGCCAATATCCTAACAAAGGAGGTGGGTGTAAGCAAAGCTCTATTGGACTAAAGAAATGACTATAGATGACTCAGGTCTACAGGAACAAGTAAAGAAAATAAGAAATGATAAATGAGAAGATTAATATCATAAAAGCTATATATACTTGTTCTCCCATCTTCTTTCAGCTTCTTTAAAAGTCATAAAATTATATAAAATAAGTTATAATAATATACTTTGAGGTTTGTAACATTTATAGAAGTAAAATGTATAACAATAATATGCATAACCAATATAAATATAATACTATGTATATAACAAAAAGGGAAAAAATATAATAGAGCTATATAGAAATAATGTTTCTATATCACACTGAAATTAAGTTAGTATAAATCTGAAGTAGACTCAACAATAGATAAAATCAACAAAACTAAAAGCTGGTTCTTTGAAAAGATTAACAAAATTGACAAACCTCTAGCTAGACTGACTGAGAAAAATATAGAGAAAACTCAAATTATTAGATTTGGAAATGAAAGACTGGGTATTACAACTGATCTTACAGAAATAAAAAAAATCATACAGGAATACTATGAAGAATTGTGTGCTAATAAATCCAACAACTTAGATGAAATGAAGAAATTCCTAGAAAGACACAAACTATTCAAACTGACTCAAGAAGAAATAGACAATATGAATATACCTATAACACAAGTAAAGAGATTCAATTAGTACACAAAGAAAAGCCCAGGCCCAGATGGCCTCACTGGTTAATTCTACCAACACTTACTTAAAGAAGAATTGATACAAATCCTTCAAAAACTATTTCAAAAAATACAAGAGGAGGGAACTCTTTCCAACTCACTCTATAAGGCCAAAACCCTCAATTATCCTGAAAATGAAACCAAAAGATATCACAGAAAAGAAATCTACAGACCATTATCTGTTATTAATATGGACACAAAATCCCCAAAAAAATAGTAGCAAACGGAATTCAGCACCATATCAAAAGAATTATAAACCATGACCAAATAGGATTTATCTCAGGATGCAAGGTTGGTTTAACAACTGAAAATCAATTAATGTAATACACCATATCAGCAGAATAAAAAATAAACCATATCATCATCTCGATAGACAGAGTAAAAGCATTTGACAAAATCTAAAACCTTTTCATGATAAAAGCACTCAACAAACTAGAAATAGAAGGAAACTTTCTCAACTTGATAAAGGGCATCTACAAAAACTCGCAGCAAACATCATGCTTAATGGTAAAATACTGGATCTTTTTTCCCTAAGCTCAAGAACATGACAAGGATGTCCATTCTTGCCACTTCCATTCAACATTATACTAGAGATTTAAACTAGGGTAATTAGGCATAAGGAAAAATAAATAAATAAAAGGCATTCATATTGGAAATGAAAAAGTAAAACTATCTCTACTTGCAGATGGCACAATTTTGTATACTGAAAGTCCTAAGGAATCCCTGAAAAACTACTGGACTAAATAGATGACTTCAGCAAGGTTATAAGACACAAGATCAATATACAAAAATCAACTATAATTCTATATATTTTTAATGAATAATCCAAAAATGAAATTAAAAAACAATTCCATTTGATAGCATCAAAAAGAATAAAATATTTAGGAATAAATTTAACAAAAGAAGTGTAAAACTTATACTCTAAAATCTACAAGTCATTGTTAAAATAAAGAAGATGTAAATAAATAAAAACACGCTATCTTTATGGATAAGAAGACTTAGTATTTTTAAGATGCCAATACTCTCCAAATTAATCTGTACATTCAACACAATCCTCATCAGAATTCCAAGTGGTTTCTTTGTGGAAATTGACCAGCTGATACTAAAATTCACGTGGAATTGCAAGGGATCCAGAATAGCCAAAACAATCTTGAAAAAGATGAGCAAAGTTGAAGGACTCACAATTATCAATTTCAAAACTTACTTCAAAACAACAGTAATCGGCCGGGCGCGGTGGCTCACGCCTGTAATCCCAGCACTTTGGGAGGCCGAGGCGGGCGGATCACGAGGTCAGGAGATCGAGACCATCCTGGCTAACAAGGTGAAACCCCGTCTCTACTAAAAATACAAAAAATTAGCCGGGCGTGGTAGCGGGCGCCTGTAGTCCCAGCTACTCGGGAGGCTGAGGCAGGAGAATGGCGTGAACCCGGGAGGCGGAGCTTGCAGTGAGCCGAGATCGCGCCACTGCACTCCAGCCTGGGCGACAGAGCGAGACTCCGTCTCAAAAAAAAAAAAAAAAAAAAAACAAACAAACAAAAAAAAAAACAACAGTAATCAGGACAGTGTGGTATTGGCATAAGGACAGACATAGATCAATGGAATAGATTGAGAGTCCTAAGACAAATCCATGTGTCTATGGTCAACTAATTTTTGACAAGGGCACCAAGACCATTTCATGGAGAAAGAATAGTCTTTCAGCAAATGATGCTGGGTATCTTAGTACATTTTGGGCTGCTATAACACAATGCCACAGATAGAGTATTTTATAAAGAACAGAAATTCATTTCTCACAGTTCTGGAGGCTGAGAAGTTCAAGATCAAGTTGCCAGCAGGTTTGGTTGTCTGACAAGGGTCCAGTCTCTGCTTCTAAGATGAAGCCTTGAACAATGTGTCCTCCAACAAGGAAGAATGCTGTGTTCTCACATAGCACAAAGTGGAAGGGTGAAAAGCAATGAACTTCTTCCATTAAGCCCTTTTATAACAACATTAATCCATTGATGAGGATGGAGCCATTAGGACCTAAACATCTCTGAAAAGGTCCCATCTCCTAACATTGTTGCATTGGGGATTATGTTTCCAACACATAAATTTGGGGGGACATATTCAAACCCTGACACTGGAACTACTGGGTAATAACATGCAAAAGAATAATATTGGACACTAACCTCATAGGACATATAAAAATTAACTCAAAAGGATCAAAAACCTAAATGTAAGAGCAAAAGCTATAAAATTCTTCGAAGAAAACATAGGTATAAATATGCATTACTTTGCATTTGACAATGGCTTTCTAAGTATGGCACCAAAAGCACAAACACCAAAAGAAAAACATAGGTTAATTGGACTTTGTCAAAATTTAAAACTTCTAGGCTTTGAAGGGCACTATAAAGAAAGCAAAAAGACAATCTACCAAGGAGAAAATATTTACAAATCATGTATCTTATCAGGGACTTGTATCTAGACTATATAGAGAATTTTAAAAATTCAATAATAAAAAGAGACGTAACCCTATTTTAAAAGGATTGCAAAGGATCTGAATAGATATTTTTTCCAGAGAATGTGTACTAATGGCCAATAAGCATATGAAAAGATGTGTGACATTGTTAGTCATCAGGAAATGCGACTCAAAACCACAATGAGATATAATTTCACACCCACTAGGATGGCTAAAATAAAAAAAGACAGATAAAAACAAGTATTGGCAAGGATGTGGAGAAACTGGAACCCTCATACATTGCTGGTGGGTATGTAAGATGGTGAAGCCACTTTTGAGAGCAATCTGTCAGGACCTTAAACTCTTAAATAGAGTGTTACCACATGACCCAGAAATTCTACACCTAGGAATATACCAAAATAAATGAAAACATGTCCACGCAAAAACTTGCACATGAATGTTTATAGAAACATTATTCATAACAGCCAAAAGGTGGAAACAACCTAAATGTCTATCAGCTGGTAAAAGCATAAACAAAATGTGGTATATTCATACAATGGAATATTATTTAGCCACAAAAGGAAAGAAGTACCAATACATGCAACATGGCTGGACCTTGAAAACATTATGCTAAGTGAAATAAGTCAGTCACAAAAGATTAAATCACATTATATCACGTATTATATGAAATGTCTACTTATATAAAATGCCCAGAATAGGCAAATTTATAAAGATAGAAAGTAGATTAGTGGTTGCTTAGAGTTGGGGACAATAGAGGGTATGGACTGATCGCTAAAGCACACAGGTTTTCTTTTTGAGGGGATGAAAAATTCTAAAATTAACCATAGTGATGGTTGTACATATCTGTAAACATATTAAAAACCATTAAATTGTACACTTAGATGAATTAATTGAATGGTATATGAATTATATCTCAATAAAGCTATAATAAAAATAATATGCATATACTGTTTTAGGAAAAGGGAATAAAAGATTTTAAAATGTTTCTTTTTCACCTGTTTTTGTAAAGGGGCATATTCTGAAGCCTTATGAAAATTTTGAAATTAGAAGTGAAAATGAAACATACCTTAAACAAATTTAAACAAGGTAGAACTTTTTGTTTGGAATACATTTTCCTAAATCTGCTGTTCTATCTTGATCACAAGGATCCTCCTTAGGGAGGCCTCTCCAGAAGCTACTGGGTCACATGATACCATTCACATGTCTTCATGATGGATTATCACTACCTAAAATTTTCTTGTTTATTATCTGTTTCCCTATATGAAAATAAAATTCCATGTTCTGTCACCAGGCTGGAGTGCAGTGGCGCCATCTCGGCTCACTGCAACCTCCGCCTCCCAGGTTCAAGTGATTCTCCTGCCTCAGCCTCCCATGTAGCTGGGACTACAGGCATGCACCACCATGCCCAGCTAATTTTTTTGCATTTTTAGTAGAGACGGGGTTTCACCATGTTGGCCAGGATGGTCTTGATCTCCTGACCACGTGATCTGCCCACCTCAGCATCCCAAATTGCTGGGATTACAGGTATGAGCCACTGCGCCCGGCCTGAATCTAATAATTTCTAAAACTTGACTTGTATTTATATATTGTTTGTTTATTTTACTTTCCTAGTAATTCATTTTTACGGAATTTTTTTCAAACATCAGGTTGTGACAGATTTAAACTTTCAAAAAACAGAACTGGTCCTTCACCACAGATAGTTTGAGAAATACTGGTTTAGGTGACCATCAAAAATTTTTGCTCTGCTTCCATAATGTGTTAATGCCAAGAAGTGTTCACAAAGCCAAGGATTGTATTTCCCCATGCCCTTACGTGGAGGTAAGAGAAAACAATTATCCTCAGAAAAATAATGTGAGCAAAAGTGATGTTGTGTCCCTCCTGAAATGGTTAATAAGGGACTGTGCCCCTTAACTGTGATAACTTTATGCATCCACTTGACTGGGTTAAGGGATGCTCAGATAGCTGGTAAAATATTATTTCTGCATGTGTCTGTAAGAGTGTTTTAGGAAGAGATTGGCATTTCAATCCGTAGACTGAGCAAAGATCTATCAACATGTGCAGGCATCATCCAATCCATTGAGGGCCTGCCTGAATAGGACAAAAAGGCAGAGGAGGGTGAACACCTACCTTCTTCTTGAGCTGGGATATCTACCTTCTCCTGCCCTCAGATATTGAAGCTTGCCTGGTTCTTAGGCCTTCAGATCATAGGACTTTCACCAGCAGCCTCCCCAGGTTCACAGGCCTTCAGCATGAGACTGAGAGTTACACCATCCCCTCTCTGGGTGCTCTGCCTTCAGATTTAGGCTAATTTACCCCTGGCTCTCCTGTTCTCTAACTTGCAGACAGCATACTGTGGGACTTCTCCGCCTCTGTAATCACATGAGGCAATTCCCATAATAAATCTCTCTCTCGATAGATAGATAGATAGATAGATAGATAGATAGATAGATAGATAGATCTTATATATCTATATATATATACCCTTTTCCTAAAGACAACACAGAAGGCCATAGACCAGGACAACCACAGAGACTCTGATATGTCTGTGAAATAGGTTTTTATTACATTAAGCTCAGGACTTATTTGTTACACTGCTAGGATTACCTTAACTAATAAGGTGCTTAATAAATGCTTGTTGAATGAGTGAAAGAACAAATGAATGCTCAAATGGTAAAATGCCATTGGAGCAGCACTACTACAAGCACCAGGCAACAAACTACTGTTCGCCAATCAATAAGAACATAAAGATCTTGTGCCAGAATAGAAATCAAGACATTCTTGCAAAAGAAAAATTTAGTAAATTAAGCAATGTGCTTATTATTGCTACTAGGAACAAATTATGAACCAACATCGGTCCACAGACCACACTTAGAGAACACTGAATTACAGGACATTTTCTAAGTATTGAAAGAATCTAAAATTATGTTCAAAACCACACAAATAGTATTTATAAAATCCATTCAAACTAATCTCCCATTTTCGGTTCACTTCTAAATTGCTTATTATCTGATAAAGTATGATTGTTAATTAAATTATATATATTTAAAACAGATTTATACATGTGTTTATGCATCCAGCCATCCATCATCTATCTATCCAAATTTTAAACTCTTTAAAGAGGAGCATGGATCAAAGGACTAAATACATACCAGAGAGTAACCAACTGTTTTATCTAAATAATACATACATATGTACAACATGCAAAAATATGTCAGTGCTTCAGAAAGTACGAAACACTTTTTAAACACACTTTTCATATTTGTTATTTAATCTTCGTTATAATCTCATGGGATAAAGTTACCATTATTCTCATGTTACAAATTTAAAAACTGGGGCTACCTAGGCAAAGTGATATTAGGAGATAATACAGGTAATTATTGACAAGCTCAAATATAAATACTACTAAAGAAAAAAAATGGGAAATGGGGACCCGAATTATCCAGTTAATCTACCTTTACCTGTCAAACTCTTTGAACAATGTCTTCACTTTGTTAATGCTGGCACAGTCATGGTACTGTGGCACGTAAGAAAAACAAAGGGTCTGATTTACATTGCTGTTTATGTGCAGCTGTTATGTATAAAAAGCGAAGGCTCACATTTGGCCATAATTTCTGCTTGCAAAAATAATTTGAGTAAACACAAGTTATTTTTTAAGAATCGACTATTCCCATGTATTAAGCCTTCTTTTGCAAACACACTGACCAGGACTGGGAATCTGTTGCAACATATCAATCCTTTGAAGTACTTTCCTTCTTTTAAGTTATCTTTCATCTTTCAACCTATAAACTCACAATCTGCCAGAGTCTTGTAGCCAGGTTTCTAGAGTAAGCACGCCAGAGGTCAACCTGCTCAGTTCCTGAGCCACCTGCACCACATATTTGTCAGATTTGAGCTTCAAGTTTTCTGATACTTATATAATCTTCAGTTAAAAATTTTTAAATACATGTTTTATTATGACAAGCCCACAACTCTGCCCACTTTCATCTCAGAAATTCCAAAGATCTGGGAGAATCCATTTATTCAGATAAGCCTCTAAACACTTAGGTGGTCCTTGGAAACTGACCCAAACTCAGACATGCCAAGGTCTCCTCACCACTAATCCACATCCTTAGGCTCAGGCTGCCCTATAACTGGATGTACCAGAGATTTCTGCAGGACCTATTCTCCATGTTACACTTTTTCAATATGATTAGGAAGGGAAGGAAGTAGCATTTACCTTTATTCTTTCCTTTACTCATTCATCATCCAACATGTACAAGGCATGATGGAGAATACAAAGACAGGTTTACACCTTCCAGACATTGCAACCCACTGAGAAAGCTAATACAGGGACCTAAATAACTACAAAAAATGCATGTTATAGGCCTTAAGAGTAGTCCCAATCAAATGCTCAATGAGAGGAAGGCAAAGAAAGCTTCTGACTTAAGTGCCCTGAAAAGGCTTTATGGAAGAAGGGGGATTTCTGACTTAGGTTTTAGAAGACAAGCTAGATATTATCAAGAAGAGACAAGAGGAAGTGACAGCCCAGATGGAGAGAATGGTATAAGCCAAAGGTGAGAAAAGACAAGATGAAGTTAAGAAATGAAGGGGTAGCCTGGGCATGGTGGCTCACGCTTGTAATCCCAGTACTTTGAAAGGCTAAGGCGGGCAGATCACCTGAGGTCAGGAGTTCAAGACCAGCCTGGCCAATATGGCAAAACCCCGTCTCTACTAAAAGTACAAAAATTAGCCAGGCGTGGTGGCGGGCGCCTGTAATCCCAGATACTCAGGAGGCTGAGGCAGGAGAATCGCTTGAACCCAGGAGGCAGGGGTTGCAGTGAGCTGAGATTGCCCCACTGCACTCCAGCTTGGGCAACAAGAGCGAGACTCTGTCTAAAAAAAAAAAGAAAAAAAAAAGGGTAGATAGGTGTCCTTTGGCTGGAGCATAGGAAGTAGCATATGACAGGCAGCATAATTTGGAACAAAATTGTAAAAGGCCTTGAACAACATGATAAATTGCCATAATCTTACGCAGTAGTCAATGGGAGAGCCGTTGAAAAAGTTAAACAGAGAAGTGAGATGAGCCAAGCAATAATCCAGGATTGTCTGGTGGCGGTGTATAGAATGGCCTTTAATTTTGAAAGGCTGAAGGTCTGGGAATGAGTAAAGAGTCTTTTACAACAGACCAACTTAAAGCAATAAGGTCTTAAAGTGAACTAGTGGCCAAGAGAGTAGAAATGAAGAGAAGGAATAACAAACAATTTGGTAGGGAAAGAGGAAAAATGAAAAGATATCTCTCAGGTCTTGAGTCAGTGCCTGGAAAAATTTACGGTGTGAATGAAAATGTTTGGGCTCAAATTTATACAAAGATCTAGAGATTTAAAAATTTTATTTCAAGACTGTCTATGATGTTGTTCTTTTTATTTTTTATTTTTTTCAAAAAAGACCATCAATTCCCAGGATCACCCTGGACAGCTGGTTGCTCTCACCACATTCCTTCATAAGGCTGCTTTTTCCATGGTATTAGCTTGTTTTGGAATATGGACAGGAGTGTTGGAAAGAGTGAAGAGTTCTTATTATGATCAATCTAATGCCAGCCTCACTATCTTTCCTATTTGGACAGCCCCTAAGGATGCATATGGACCATCTCAATCTGCTCTCTCGTCTAGACAATCAGACATATCCTTCATGGCAAAGGCAAAGAAACACATTCTTTTGAGAGCATCAGAGACCCATGGGTCTATTGTAATGACATTCTCTATGACAGCACTAGGTAATTCTTCAATACATTTTAATTCACAGTAACCAAGGTGCCTCCAGGGACAGCAGGTCCTTCAACTCAGGCAGCAAATGGGAAATATTACATTTCCTCAATGTCAGGGCATCGATAGTAACATTCTGCATTAAGAAGCAGGTCTATGGGAAAGTTAGTGGAACCAGACTCTTTACCTGTAGTGGGCAGGGGCCAAGAGAAACAAAACTGGCATCATTTTCAGGGTTGGGAAATCTAACCTGACCACACAAATAATTAAGCTGAAAGGCCACTTCATGCTCCCCCAATAAACCCAGATGTTGCACTTCACTTTAGGTAAACGTTATTTTTAGAGACATAAGAATTCAGCATCCAAAATTTATCACCCATCTGAGTGGGAGACACAGAACACAGAACAGATTTATATGTTTAGGGGGTAGGAATGGGGTTTAAGCTCAATAAAATCTTAACTGTGCTTTACTTTTTAATTTAACTTTCAAACATTTCTTTCCTGTTTTGTGACTGAGAATCTCGTACATGTCACCCTTTCAGTGAAGTATCACAGGAAAGACATTTTTGTGGTGTTTAATGGAAATAATTTTTCTTGTGGTATTGCTCTGATACCCTGGGAAACTGGCTCCCAGAGATAAATTAGACTAAAAGCCATCTAGTGCTAATTTATTAAGCAGTCAATGGTTTAAAACAACTTTCTCTGTTTCAGCTCACTGGAGATCTGTTACCGGCTCTTGAGAAGACAGCAAAGAGCCAAAGACTGATAAATTTCATAGATTATCCTGACACAGACAAAGTGAAGTGTTGGCATAGAAGGGTTTTGTAGCTGGGAAGGGGTAGTACACACTGTGGGTATGTCTATGCATGTGTACTTTACACACCTCCAACATTCAAACTTCAGTCTTCCACACTGGACCTCCCATAATAGTAGTTGAATATGCTGAAGAAACAAAAATTCTCTCTCAGGAACAAGTCTCTATAAAGAAATATCTCCTAAATTTTCTCCTACTAGAGTGTACCACAGATCAGAAAAGTTCCATCTGTAACGGAAAATATTCATGATCTTCCCCAGGGTTCTAAAGACCTCATTTTTCTACAGATGCCCTATGACAATGGTTCTTAGCCTTGGTTTCAAATTAAAATCACCAGGGAGCTGATGTCTGGGCCCTACCCTTAGAGATTCTGATGACTTTGGTCTGAGGTATGGCCTAAACTTTGAAAGTTTTAAATCCAGGTGATTCTAATGCAGTAAAGCTCAAGAACCACAGCCCTATAAGATACTGTCAGAGATTCAGGTCTATCCCACATCCGTGACTACCAGGTGACTAAGCTGTTACTATGTATCCCTTTTTTTTTCTGAAAATTCAGATCATGGTCACTGACCAGAAACACAGGGACATCAGAAATAAAGGACCAACAGTAAAATGTTTTGCGTAGCTGCTCAACTCCAAATGCTATTCTATGTGAAGGAGACTGGATGATTGAACCTGTGGAGGAAAACGCAGCTAGAATAAAGTATTGAGAAGAGGGAAAATGACTTGCTGTTCGTTTAAATTGAATTTTTTTTCAAAGGCAATATGCCACTGACCCTCTCTTCAAAGACAGAGAAGCTCCTGAGCAGAAGGCAATACTACCTTTTATGACCAGAACTAATAATTACCCTCTACATCTTAAGATGCATAAGAATCACCTGTAGAGCTCATTAAATATGCAACTGCCTAGGTCCCACCCCGGGGAGATCCTGACTCAGTAGAGCTGGAGTGGGGCCCAGGAATCTGATGTTTTCAAAGCTCCCCAGGTGATTCTGATTGAGGTGCGCTGTGCCCCACCTTTGAGAAACACTGAGTCATTCTATCTCCAGGCAACCTCATGAATGGTTCTTTTGCACAAACTGAATTGCTCTTCTTTGGTAAAATATATTATCAAAGTCAAGGAAAAACAGGGATTGTGTCTTTAGTGAAATACACTGCAAAATATTTTTTGGAAGGCATTTAACTAAAATTTATATTGAGAAATCTTCAGTCCTTTTTGGGTATCCAAGTGCCTCAGCATTTCCTCAAATTACCTACAGAGAAGAATGAAGATGAATTTCTACCCACATACAACTCTACCCACAAATTACAGCCAATATAGTTCTTGGGAATAATGAGGGATTTTTCAAAATCAAAATCCCTTCATGCTTTGAGGGATCACAAACACTGATGAGGAAAATACAACCATGAAAACAAGCACACATGCTTTATTCAAGGAATTTGGGAAAGGGAATGGATATATTCCTCCATGCTAGAAGTTACTCCCTTTTCATGATTAATATGGAAAAGCTGTCCATATTTATGTTGATTTTTTAAGGTGACACATTTTCATTATGGCAGTTTTACCCACTTAGCATCAAAGATAATGGAAAGAAACAAAATGTCATTTCCAGTTTGGGATGGAAATGTAATAACTGGAACTTACCCAGTCTCTCCTTCCAATTCAATGTGTGTGTGTTATCAGAGTAGAGCTGTACATCTGCAAGATGCAGCTATAATTATTTGGCACAAAACTTTGGAATCCATAGCTTGTGAACCTAAAATTTACTCAGAATTTATAATTCTACTGTAAATAGGGAAATGTGTATGCGTTGAGTGTGTGTGTTTGTGTGTGTGTGTATGTGTGTGTGCGTGTGTATGTGTGTGTGTTTGAGTGTGTGTGTGTGTGTGTGTGTGTGATGGGGGCAGAGATGGATATTCCTCACTTCTTTGTGTTTTTCACTCAAAATTGCCCCGGTACTCTAAAGCTCTCCAGCCTTGAACATTGTTCCCGTGCTGTGCCCACGTTCCATTGGCACAGGCACGGAATGGTATGCTTGGAATGTCTCCACCCTCCAAAATATTTTTGGATCAAGCTTATCCCTTTTCCCTGAAAAACCTCTGTTGTACAGCATTTGCTTCACTGACTTTTATATTTTTGAATGTGGACCAAATCATGAAAACTCCAGGGCCCCAGTCAACTGTTAAAAGTTCTGTTAACCCTCTGACATCAACAGAATTCTCACTGAAGGAGAGCAAACATGGAGTTCTCTGCTTGGAGTCTAGTCTCTTGTGTCATATTTACCTGCAGGCTCATTTCTAAATGCTCTTGAATTTAGACTTCAGCTTAGAGAAGCTAATTACCATCCAATTTATGTGAAAATAAATGACTTTCTTTTGTAGTTTCCTCTAGATGGGCTTGTTTTTCCTAGTGCGAACTGACAATCTCAGTCAAAGACTGGAGCCTCAGAGGGACTTGCAGGGGAGACTGCGTTTCCTCTAAGTCAAATTAGTGGGGATGTTTTCACTTGTATCCCTATGAAGTCAGTCAATAAATAATAATGTTTATAACAGTAATAGCACTATTAAAGTGTTATTATATGTGCCAGGTACTGGGATAAAATTGTCACATACAGTATCTCATTTAATTTCCATAATAATCATAGGAGATGGCATCCCTATTTTACTTTATTATTTATTTATTTGTATTTTTGAGACAGAGTTTTGCTCTTGTTGCCCAGGCTAAAGTGCAATGGCGCGATCTCGGCTCACTACAACCTCCATCTCCCAGGTTCAAGCGATTCTCCTGCCTCAGCCTCCCAAATAGCTGGGATTACAGGCATGTGCCACCACATCCGGCTAATTTTATATTTTTAGTAGAGACAGGGTTTCACCGTTTTGGTCAGGTTGGTCTCGAACTCCTGACCTCAGGTGATTCAACCATCTTGGCCTCCCAAAATGCTGGGATTACAGGTGTGAGCCACTGCACCTGGCCAGCATCCCCATTTTAGTCATAAGAAAACTTAGATCACAAAGGTAGCATGTGGCACAGTCACAATTTTTTCAATTACCATGGGTTTATAAAAGAAAAAATGACAGTGAAAAGATTTTATGTATCCTCAAGAAAACTATGATTAAAATGAAAATTAAACTTTGTTTCTAACGTATCTGTGATAGCAACATATTTTGGGGTCACTTAAGTGGGTATAGTGAAATACTTTGGAAAAAAATTCCTTTTAAAATCTTGTTGGCATTTAAGTGACACTTTGGCAAAACACTATGAAAACATCTGGTCACATCTTCTCAACACTAATTTCTTCCCTAAATGTTGTTTTTAATATGTCACAGTTGTTAAATTTGTAACAAGTAATGCCCTTGAGACTAAACAACAGTGCCTGGTATGTGAAAAATGGACAATGCATTTACAGCAGTAAAAACCAAAAGGAAATTTTAAATAAACATTTAATTGAGTACAAATAGCCTGAAAGTTATTTTGGTGGAACTTGCCCAATCTGTGTGCTGACATTAGCAGCAGGATGTTCTAAATAAACTCTGTTAAAACAAATGTTGTCTTCTTCAGTTGAGACATAACTGATCAGATTCAGTTCTTCTGAAGGATTATGGCTAGGGAAGGAACACTTGTTAGTTGGAAGGAAACTCTCCATTCATAGTCTCAGAACAAATGCATAACCACCAAAACACCAGGGAGAATGGAGCTGGGTATTTGGATATTGTACAGCAACTTCAAAGTAGACAACAAAAAGGAGAAAAACCACCACCAACCACCGATGTTTGCATATCGGTTACCCAAAGTCCATGGGCCTGATTCACTTCCTCTCTAACTCTAAAAGGATTTTTCCTTCTAGATAAAGCCCTGCATATTTGAATAGAATCCAACATATGTACTTGTCTCAGGCTATATTTTGCTCTTGCTGTATTATAATTTTGTGCAGTGGAAAGTCTTGCAAAGTTCTACAATGAGGGAAAAATTCAAAACACAGATCATATTCAGGCAATTAGTAATGCAGCTGAGAAAGAGGGGCTGTGTATGTCATATAGCCAATTATTTGAAAACAATTATTTTTCAGTTTCATGTATTGACTATTTCCACATATGGATAGACAGATGCTTTTGAGCAGAAATGTTTTTCCACTGATATGGAATCCTTGAAGAAACCAGATTGGCTTTGATGTGATTCAGAGATTGTGTCATTCATCAAATGGTTTTAAAGAATGTGACTAACCTTAGGGTTCGTTCAACCTGAAAATAAACACAGATGGTTTTGGGTGAACAAACTATTTTCCATAGCAGATTTAACCATACATGTAATGGAATATGCATCCTTTGTATTTAGTGCCACATTTGACTTAACATAAAAGCAATTAGAGTGAACATGAGTCAAACTTTCTAATATAGTAAATGTGTAACTTAGTCCCATCCCATTGAAAAAAATTTTATATTGAAATATTTTAAAACATACAGAAGAGTTGTATACATATTACAAAGAACTTTTATTCTTGAATCTTTTTTTTTTTTTTTGAGATGGGATCTTGCTCTATTACTCAGGCTGCAGTGCAGTGGCATGATCACAGCTCACTGCAGCCTTGACCTCGTGAGCTCAAGCAATCCTCCCACCTCAGCCTCCTGAGTAGCTGGAACTACAAGCATGCACCATCGCACCTGGCTAATTTTTCTATTTTTAGTAGAGATGAGGTCTCACCATGTTGCCCAAGCTGGTCTTGAACTCCTGAGCTCATGTGGTCCCTTCACCTTGGCCTCCCAAAGTGTTGGGATTACAGGCATGAGCCAACTTGCCTGGCCAATTCTTGAGTCATTTAAGAGTAAGTTGTAGGCATAATTTTCTATTTCTCCTGAATAATTCAGTATGTTCTTCCTACAAATGACCTGCAAAGCAGGAAATTAACACTGATATATTATTACCACCTACTCCAGAGTTTCAACTATTGCCCCAACAATGTACTTTATAGTAATGGATCTCAAACTTTAGTGTGCTACAAAATCAATGGGAAGTCTCAGTAAATACAGATTAGTGGGCCCAAATCCAGGGTTTCTGATTAAGTGGGTTCAACATGAGGTCCAAAATTTTATATTTCCAAGCAAGTTCCTAGGTGGTGCTGAAGCTGCTAATCCTGGGACCACACTTCAAGAACCATTGCTTTATGGCAAAAAATCCAATCCAAGATCACATGTTGCATTTAATGACTGTGTCTGTTTAGTTTCCTTTAATATGAGGACATTTTTCAGCTATTCCTTGACTTACATGATCTTGTGGTTCTGGCAGCGTACAGGACAGCTAACTATACTCTACAGACTATCCCTTAATATGGGTTTGTCTGATGCTTCTTCGTGATTAAATTCAGGTTATGATTTTTAGCAGGAATATATCACAAAAATGTTCATCTTATTGCATCCTCTTGGGTGGTACAGAATTTTAATTTGCCTCATTACTGGTGTTAACTTTGATCACTTGATTAAGATGGTCCTTGCCAGGCTTCTCTACTACAAAGCTACACTTTTTCCTTTACATTTGTAATTTTAAAACATATTGTAGGGAGATAGTTTGTCACTTAAGTAAATATCCCATCTCTCATCAAATTCTTATCCACTAGTTCTAGCAGCCACTGATGTTTTTTGCCTGAATTGATTATTACTACAACAATTGCCAAATGCTGTTTTCTAACTCTGTCTTCCCTTCTACATTTATTCATTGCTATTCTACTGTTTTATTTCCCCCATTTATTTATTCAGTATTTATCAGTATAGACTGATGGATTCCTATTTTATTTAATGGGTTACAATCCATTATTTTGTATTTATTTTGATGCTTAAATTGTCCCAGAGTTGGCCTGTGGGAGTCCAGTCAAGCTGACTTCTGTGTCCTTTCTTTATGTCCCAGCATTACTTCAACATTCCCTTGCTCTCTTATATCAAAAGATGTTCTGGCTCTTCTTTTACTTTTTCTACCCAGACCCAAAATCAATCATTTTCTCAAAGAGACCTAGTTGCTTTTAATGGGGAATGGTATTTTAAGATCAAGATATAGGTTCAATTTATCTTTTACTATTGGTATATTGCTGCTCCTAGTCTCTCTCAGTAGACAGAGCTAGCAGATATATGTATATGTAAACACACTCACACATACATACCAGAGTTACATCTAAATTTAACTCTCTGCTTATATTATTGAAATGTGCATGTGTGTACATATAGGCTTGCATCTATATATTTCTATTTTGGCCTATGTATTGATAATCATGAGTTCATGCCTCCAATTCCAACCCAACATCACAGGATTCAATCTAGCTTTCTTCCTCTCTCTAACTCCATTATTCTCAATATTTTTACTTAATTAGCCCCCAATATGTAACAATCTCCCAACTTAACCAGAATAAGAAGTTACTAATTACTAAAGGATACCTGAAGTTTCAGGAGGCTTTGTATACCCAAAGAAAACCAAGCTAGCATTTTTTTGGTGGCTTATAGGTCATCTTACCACAATAGTATCATCCTAAGCAACTCAAAAAATTAACTCAGCTGCATTACAAAAAGTCAAGTGCTTTGAAGTGTGAGCTGCCTGTAGCTATCTCTACTTATACTCATCAGATACACAAGTTTTCCATTCTCTTCAGGGTCAGATCATGAAGTTAGAGGTGATCTCACAGCCTAACATAGTTTAAAGTTTAAGAGCTGACTCCTCCCTGTACCCCCTCCATAGGAATGACTGCTGTCAAGAAGACCCTCCAGAGCTCCTGGAAGGGGACATTGAGTTAAATATGACTAATTGAACACATATATTTACCTCCTATTCCACCTCAAATCTCACCAAAAGAGGGAATGGGGAGAAAGGAGGTATTAACTCAAACAAAGAGAACGGGATATCAGGAAAATGCAAATCAAAACCACAGTGAGGTATCATTTCCACCCTACTTGGGATGGCTATTATCAAAAAGACAAAAAATAAATGCTGACAATGATGCAGAGAAAAGGGAACTCTTA
Source organism: Homo sapiens (assembly GCF_000001405.40). Classification (NCBI taxonomy): domain Eukaryota; kingdom Metazoa; phylum Chordata; class Mammalia; order Primates; family Hominidae; genus Homo; species Homo sapiens. The sequence continues at coordinate 54,112,133 of NC_000014.9, forward strand.
CACACTGTTATTGGGAATGTAACCTAGTATAACCACTATGGAGAGCAGTATGGAGAGTCTTCAAACAAAAAAAAAAACAGCTATGAATAGAACTACCATATGATCCAGGAATCCCACTTTTGGGTATTTATCCAAAAGAAAGGAAATCAGTACATAAAAAAGACATCTGCACCCCCATGTTTATTGCAACATATTCACAATAGCCAAGATATGGAATCAACCTAGGTGTCCACCTACAGATGAATGGATAAAGAAAATGTAGTATATGTACACAATGGAATACTATTCAGCCATAAAAAAGAATGAAATCCTATCATTCCCAGCAACATGAATGGAACTGGAGGACATTATATTAAGTGGAAATGAAATATCTCATGTTCTCACTCATATGTGAAAGCTAAAAAAAATGAGTGCATAGAAGTAAAAAGTAGAACAGAAGATACTAGAGGATGGGAAAGGTAGAGGGAAAGGGAGAGATTTGTTAAAGGATATAAAATTACAGCTAGATAGGACGAATAAATTCTAGTGTTCTATAGCACCATAGGATGACTATATAGATATAGTTTCAAATAGCTAGAATGAGAATATTGAATGTTCACAACACAAAGAAATGATAAATGAGATGGATTTGCTAATTACCCTAATCTGATCACTATACATCATATGTATCAAAACATCACTATGTACCCCATAGATATGTACAATTATGGCTTCCATTTAAGACATTTTAAAAATATGATTCTAAAAAAATTAAAAATTTAAAAAGCAAAACACCCCACCGATATGGTTTGGATTTGTATCCCTGCCCAAATCTCATGTCGAATTGTAATCCCCAAAGTTGGAGAAGGGGCCTGGTAAGAGGTGACTGAATCATGGGAGTGGATTTCCTTCTTGCTCTTCTCATGATAGTGAGTGAGTTCTTATAATATCTGGTTATTTAAAAGTATACTGTAGCAACTCCCCCTTTCCTCTCTTCCTCCTGCTCTGGCCATGTGAATATGTGCCTATTTCCCCTTTGACTTTGGCCATGACTGTAAGTTTCCTAAGGGCTCCCCAGCCATCCTTCCTGTGCAACCTGTGGAACCATGAGTCAATTAAACCTCTTTTCTTTATAAATCACCCCAGTCTCAGTCTCAGGTATTTCTTTATAGCAGTGTAAGAATGGACTAATACACCCACAAAAAACCCCAAAGGAAATGGAAAAGAAAATAATGGCAAAAAAAGTTTAGAAAAAATAAGAAACACCAGTATCTCCAAAATTGGGCATGGAAGGCAAACTTGAAGACAAGAAAATTCATTAAAGTTGACATAGGAAGCTACATTCATAAATCCTCTTCCTCATTGTTTGTTGCAGGCTGCAGTCTCTTCCATATCTGAGCAAAAAAACTTTCTCCACACTAGAAAAAAAAAATCAAAAACCATAGAGGCCAGATTCAGGGATGATAGACAGAGCTGAGAAAAGGTATCCATATTGAAAATGGGGATTAAGTGAAAGTCAAATTACTGAATGGTGAAAATTCTGACCCCCGTACCCCCACCTCAAAATATTCAACATATACCCTTCTCCCCATATGACTCCAAGGACCTGACACAGGCTTTTATAATTCAGTAAAAGATTTAAGATTCCTTTGGGAAAATACACCAGCCCAAAAGATAAGACTCAAAATTCTGACAGTTTGGGGTTCTCTGATAAAATGACTAAGCCAGATCATCCTACACCAAAATCCACCATTCGACAGCACACTGACTATCCTCATACCTCTCCCTTAACTATGAATGAGCTGGAAAAAGAAAACTTCAAAGCTCATGGGAGTATGGAAAAATTGTTTCTTTCAGAACATCATTTGCAAAGTTTTATATGGTGCCTGAACTTCCCAAGAACTCTTATCCCTCACAACAGATGACTAGAAAGGGACTTTTCCTTCATTTGAAACTGGAGGAACTATGATGTCAAGAAAATGGAGACAACTTCTAAAGGTGCTTTGCTCTCTCAACATCTTGGTGATTTTACATTAGGCACCTCTGGAAGTCACATTAACCCTTCCATATAAAATGTAATTATTTACTTTGTAAATGTAATTAGTCCTGTAATTTTTCAACTTGTAGGAACTCTAAAACTCTACTGTATAGATTGAGGTCATTCTAACCTCTACTAATTAGAGTCACTTAACCTATACTAATGCCAATTGACTACAAGTTCAGGGACTATAATCTGAGAAACCATGTACCTTGCTGTTTGGACAAAAGTTTCCCTTCCCAGGAATTCCAGCTCCACTTCCTGCAATTGAGTACCACAAAATTCTTCTGAATTCTTACATCCTCTGTCAGTTTAGGCCCTCTAAGAAGCAGACATCAAGACAAAATTAAACATGTAGTTGTTTTGAGGGAAATACCCATGGAAGATAAAGGTGAGAGTGAGAAGCAGCAGGCAGGAGATACCTTCAGATCACAAAGGAGTGAAGGAGGTTTGAGTAGGAAAAGCCTCAGACTACAATCAAGGTCTGAAATAGCAAGGCCAGGCCGATGAGAAACCCCAGAGCAAAAACTGCCCATCAAAAGAGGCCCACATTGGGCAGGAAAGGCCCAGCTCCTGTACCCACAACATGCTCAGCCATTGGCTGGGAGCAGCAGCTTTGTGAGATCACGAACTTGGTGTGAGTGAGTGTTGCAGTGGATCCCAAAGGTGCGGCAGCTGGAGGCTTGTGCTCCTGGAGGGAAATCTGAGCAGGGCTCTCTTCCACAGCTGCCATACCTCCTTTACCTGGAACCTGGAGATGCTCCTTGCAATGAATGATCCAGAGCAGCTTATAGTCAAAGGGAAGGCTGACTCTGGAACTCAAGCCTTCTCACTCAAAGGCCAGTAGTCTTTGTTTCTGGTGAGGGCCAGATGAATGAAGCATAAATAGTTTGTCCTGTTTTATCAGTAGCTGTCACAAGGCATCATTTCTTTGGCAGCAGATCTTAGCACAGTTTATATGTTTAATATTTAACATATATCAGTAACCTATGACTCAAGCTGATCACAGACTCAAATATAATGTACCTTGTGGATGAGCAAGAAGTAAAAATAGTGTAAGCATTTCATCTTGGCCGGGAAATAGATATGAATGTTCATGGAAGAATGAACAAAGGAAGAGGCTTGCAGGTAAATGTTGGCCACACTTGCTTGTCCTAGAAATGCCAATCACTGTCTCCCACTCCACTCTCTTCTCAAAGAATCTTGTTCCAATTTCAGCCCTAATGAGGAGATGAGTGCATGAAGCTATACTTGTACTGGGTTGTTCTTTTATTCTTTCCAGGTTGGGTCAATTAATTCTCTCTCTGGAATTTTGAACTGAGATTCACAGAGAAGCTGTTGTGAAGGAGCCATGGATAGCTGGAGGTAATGCCCTATAAAATCAAATTGGAGTCATAGGAGGTGTTATAAGTTCATGCCATTTTCTAGTCAAACTTTTGAGGAAACAGTCCTTATCACCTTTATCCCATCACCAATTTATCTCATCTGCATGAGCTTTGGATCTAAAAGATCTGGGTGCCAGTCACAGCTCAGCCACTCACTAGCTTGCCTCTCTGACCTCAGCTTCCTCATCAGTAAAGCACACAAACTAAGACTTGCTTTTCAGGCCTTTCATAAGGAACAAAAATGATAATGTATATCATATACATTTTGTTTTGTAGGCTTACAAAACAAAAGTTGGAAATGCAGAGAAAATAGATTAGGAGTTAAGAACTGTATCAGCATTAAGTAAGAGTTGGTTTAAGTTAACACTGAGATTATTTTGATTCCTTGACATTGTGCAGTTTTGTGGGACAAAATAGTTATCAATTGTCCTAACACCATCCTGGAAATTCTAAGACTCTACCATGACGTCTTCCAGGGTCTTCCTAGTTAAAGCCTGGACTGAAAACAAGTAAGAAGCACTTTTTGGGTTCGTTCAGTTTTGAGGTAACAATAAACTCATCTTCAGACTGCCTGTGACCTTTTCATAATGACACCAGAAATATGAATAGGACATATTTTAAAACTAGCTTATCTAGAAAACCTCTTGCCCATTCCCATTCCCATTTCCTAACACAACTTTTTTTCCAGATCTTGCACAAACAGGAAATCAGAGTAAAGCCATCATTAGAGACAGGTGAACATATTTCTCTTAAGGCAAACAATACTTTGCTATACATATGCAAAATAAAAACGGGCAATAAAGCAAGTCATAGGGTGATTCAGAAACACTCCCCTCCCTACTCCCCTAGAAAACACTTCCTATGCTTGAAGTATTTTAATGGAGTGCAAGTCATTTGTGAGCCTGAATTATTCAGGTAAATGCCTCCTCTACTGTAGTTTGCATGTGCTGACATATATATGAGAATAAATGCAAACTAGCACAAGATTACCCTAAACACATGTGCTTCCATTTCCTTGGATCTCAAAACCAATGAGTTACGCTAAAACAATGGTTCTCAAAGTGTGGTCCCTGCACAGGCAGCATGATATAACCTGGGAATTTGAGAAAATTGCCAGTTATTGGACTCCACCCTACACCTACTAATGAGAAACTTGAGGGTGTGGCCCAGCAATCTGTGGTTTCTAGATCCTTTAGATAAGCCAGTGAAAATTGGGCCTAGCATCACCCATAATCAAGCTTTTCTTTCAAGGGTGAATAATATTAATACTTGTGCTGGGCCTAATAGTTTTGTTCTTTAGCTTTGTTTTGTTTTTCCTGACAAAGGAAGGATCTGAGTAAGGGAAGTCAATACTCTGGAAGACAAGTGACTTTCTGGGGGAAGGTGTTAAGCCCTTTCATTTTGTCCTCTTTGTTTAGCCCTTTTTATTCCAGTGGATATTTCTACTCTTATCTGGGAAGCTAACTTGGTTTTTAATTTATTTTTCATCCTAATTCATCTGCAATGGATTTCCCATAATATTGTATTTACCTCCTCTCTATTGGACATGATGAGTCTGCTGGTCTACTCACTCTTGAGAGAAGCTCTTTCTTTGAAAAAGCTATCTGTTTAAAATCTGTGTGATTCATCTTTTCTCCATCCATTTTGAGGCTCCAAGGCCAGTGGAAGAGTTCTGACTCAGGTCCAGTTGCAGGGTACAAGCCAGTAAGTCATGTTGTTTCTTGATACCACTTTCCCGTTTTTTTTTTAACATCATAGCCAGTGTGTCAAGTTGGTTTGCGTCCCCCAGGAAGCAACACCAGTGACTGTTAGTAAAGGAACACTACTTGGAAAGACCATTTTGAAGGCTCTAGTTAAAAGCAACAACTTAAAATGAAAAATTTTTAAGCCGCTTTATTTTGAAAGATTTTTGTTTTCAAAAATTAAACATTGTAGTTCTTCAAGAACTCTGTAGTTGGAAATATTTTCTCTCATTAAAAACGCAAAGCCTCTGGAGGAAATGATACTCTGAGCTTTGTAGCACAAATCAATGCCAAATGAAGGCCATAAACCATGTTTTGTTCTGCACTTGGCACAGTCTCCAAATATCTTGAACAAACAACGGCACTGTGCTTCAGACCCAGGGACCCTTACTTCTCTGGAAATTTATGATTGTCCATTATAGGAAAGTAGAAATGCTGAGGATTAGCAAGTCTGGACTAGGATTGGAGGAGAAACAAAGAAATTATTAAAAACATAAACAATTTGAATATTATGAGCACCTGTTTTCTAAAACCATTGCTTGGAAAAGCCATTCTTGCAAAGCCTATGTACTCAAAGGAAACTGGCTTTGGGTTTAGATGATCAATCTCAGCTGGCTTTGGGTTTAGATGATCAATCTCAGCTCAATGAAAGTACTCAGAACTGGCCTAGGTTGAGGTAGTGTGAGAAGGTAAAAGGGGATAAGGCAGGTTGCTTCATACAAATCCCATTCGTGGGAAAAATCAGGAATTCCAAATCATGATTCCCATGCCTTTGTCAGAATGCCTGTCACTTTACAGTTTGAATGCCGTTTCTAAATAAACAGTAGCTCTCCTATTTGTGTGGGCTGGTTGCTTTGCGGGCAAAGGCCACAGCCATGGGTTCTGGCCCTGCAAAAATATGCAGACTACATATTTTGGGGGCCATTTCTGTGATCAGGGAATCACAGGAAATCAGGGGCCCCATATGTCACCCATTTACCAATCCAAGCCAAACCTAAAGTCACAGGTAGAAAAAGGTGTTTACAAATGTTAAGAATCAAGAAAGCAACACTTGATATCACCAAACCACCTCAAAAAAAAAAATCTGGCATGACTCATTTCTGATCTTTGCTCAAAAGAAACCTAATTCAAAGAAGCATATTTTTTAAAAATGTCAGTAATTGCCAATGATAAAACTGAATGATAAAAACCTGATGTGAGAGCTTAATGATGCTACATTCACTTTCTTTTGCATACAGTGCATGTGGCTACATCTCTTTCAGGAATGTGCAAATTGACGGTTCATGCCTCAACTGTCTGATCACTAATCATTGCTTAATATCACTGCTTCTGCCTGAACCTGAACCTGAATGTGAACCTGAGTGGGACACTAGGCATCCTAGGAGCTACTGTTAAGAACTGGCATGGCACCATCAGCTTGTGGTGGTGGTGGTCTGTGTGTGCCGGTGTACGGTTTTGAGCTGGTTTGTCTTTCTTTTGAAAGAAAAAACTGTCCCTTATATAATATTTTTGCATTGTAGCTCTATATCCAGAAATCTGTGAGACGTTCTTATTAGTATGTTGTACTCCTGAAGGTCATCCCCTTTTACAAATCCCTGCCCCCAGCAAGTGGGCTGACACTTACAATTACAATGACATTAATAATAAGAGTTATGACTAAAAGTGAGCAAAAGTATTGGCCAAGGCTTATGGACTTCATTTGAGGCTTAATGTGGCACTTTGATTTTTCATTCAACTTTTCTTTTAGGAATTACTTTGCTAAACATATCCAGATTGTCTTTTGTGCTTAATACTATTATTATTTGTTATTTACTGCTACTGATAACTAACAGAAGTAACTGGCCTAAACTTTAAGTTACTGAAACTTGAAATAAAATTTTTTCCTTGCCATTTATATATGTAGTGGTTTTATGAAGCTCCTTGCCTTCTAATAGCACTGAGGAACTAATCAATATATTCTCTGATTTGTTGACTTATTTTGTATTCATTCATTTAGTCATTCAGTAAATACAGAAGAAACATCTACTATTCAGAAACCTTTTCAAAGAATTATTCCAAATCAAGATTTACTTTTAAAACCTTGCTAAAAAGACAATGTTTGCACTCTGAACAATGAAGTTCTGATCTATTAGAAATAAAAAAGAAAGGCTTGAGTTCTCAAATTCATCTCAACATAGACTCCATAAAGATTATATAACTGGAAGTAAATACCAGCAGTCTTTACCCTACAATGTTTGATCAGTGTCCAGATATCTTTATTTCCTATGGCCAGATTTTATACATTGATCCTTACAATTATCATAGGTAGGGTTAGACTAAATGCTCATTTCAAATAAATATTACTATATATGTCTCACAGTAAAGAGAATCTTTTGGAATGGCAAAAGTCTCTGTTGATTAGGTTTTCCTGGTAGTCTTGCAATGGATTCCCTGAAATATAAACTAAAACCAATGTTAATATCACATGTATTCACTATGTAAGACTAAATCTATCAAGTATCTATCAGTAACTAGCAATAAAAATTCTGTTGTGGTGTTTTGAATCTGGAATTGCTTATACTTTTATGAAGCTTATTGATTCAGACACTATTTTTAATAAATATTAATAATAAATATTTAGTAAGTGAACATATGCTAGAGCCAGGCATCACACTAAGTCCTAGGGGTATAATTCCAAATGAAATGGACATTCTCTTTGTCTTCATAGAACTTGGAATTCTGTAGGTTGTAATCATAATTTTTTTTTCAATTTTGACCCCATGAAAATAACCACAGACTAGTTTCCTTTTAAAGAAACAGAAAGCCAGCCATCAGGCAACTCTGAGAGCCACCTACAACTCTCTTGCTTAGATATTCTTGAGTTTGTTTCTCCATAATGGGGACATTACTTACAGCTTTCTATCTGAGGTTTTCATGACACCAGAGAGATGAGCCATAAAGAAATACCCTTGGCTGTTCAAACAGAAAAGCAAAGCAAAACAGAAAACAAACAAACAAATTTTATCATTCACATTCTCTTGCAGTCTAAAGGACATCATTTTTGAAATTCAATTCTCCCTTACCCCTGACCTTTCTCCACTTCCCATTATGTTCCCTGGATAAATCATCCCTTTGAATGGTTTTTTTTTTTCTATCTTTCAATTGTCTGGAGCATTCCTGCTGTGTCTGGGCATAGATCTCTTCTTTGGTATTTGATTAATTTCATGCACTTGACCTAACTAAGAAGCTGGACTGTACTTTGGACATACTTCAGTTGGCAAAATTAAATAAAACCCTAACCAGAGAAGCATAAGAATCATTAAAGCCAAAGTTTCTCATTAGCATTGACAGAAATTCAGATTTTTCCCAAATCGGTAATAGAACAGAAAGTACTAAAATTGTCAAAGGTACAGACCACAATGCAAAAAAATAAGGAGAGAGACTAGAGAGTGGATTCATACAGAGGGAGGCTGGGAAGGTTCACAGGATCTGAGCAGGGTCTGTGGAGAATTCCAAATGAAAAGTTTTTAATCATCTCCACTCCCTATCGCCACTTTGCGAGTTGCCATTATTGCATAGACCAGAGTACCTTTGAGTGAGGGGAATAAAAGGAATACAGTTCATTTTGTAACTAAAGATTAGAAATAGTTTTGCAATTATCTCCTTTCCTAAGTCACACATAAATCATTCAACTGCGAATCCAGATTGCTTTGTTAGGATTTAACTTAGTTCAAATGAACAGGCATAAACACGACTTGAGATGGAAAAAATCGTTTTCCTCTCATGAGAATCAACTTAGTCTGCTAGCCTAATTATCTGAATCTGTTGCTCCCTTCAGACATTGAGAATTCGATTACAGCATGGCTCTCAATCTTAGTACCCATAGAAGTGGAAGCTAACAAAACATGGTGAGGTAGACACTATGCTCCTTGGCATCCTGCTTTTAGCTGGCAACTTGAATACATTGTCCAGCATTGTTGGTCCTTTCCTGCCCACAGGTGCAGATCTGAGAAGCTCCAGGTTCCAGACAGGCATTCTGCCCACATCTGTGGGATATGTACCACTTTGCACTCCAAAGATGAGTTTTGTGGTTGGCATTTTTCTCCCATTTTCTACAGATAAAGCATCTCTTAACTGATGAATAGAAGTGGGCTTCCATTTCCTTCTCTATTACTCTTTTAAGAGATCTGGTGACAGGACTGAATTCCCGCTAATTCTCAGATGGACTGCCTGCTCTCTGCACCATGTCAGTGGTCCCAAATGACCTAGAAAGATAAATAGGTAGTGGTTCCCTCCTTCAAATATTCAGCATGACATGATACCACTGTGGATAGCAGAGACTCTGGCTCCCTGGTCGACGGTGGAGATGTGTTCTGGGGATTTTGGAATGCTGGTACCCTAGCCAAGGAGCACAACAATTCAGGAATGCGGTAGCTGTTTTTAGTGGCTCATGCATTTAAGCATCAGGCCTGCTTGTCTCTATAACAACTTTAAGTCTGTTTTTGTTGCCTAACTCTAAAAGTTAAAGAATTCTATGCATTTCTGTATGCATCAGATTTATTTAGTCTCTCTTCCAACCAGCAGATAAAGCGTTTCTCCAAAGCAAACTGCCAGCCTCTCACTTGTCTCATGATTGAACTTCAGGGATTGAAGCTGTATTCATTAATCCCCTTCTTACTCAACAAGGATTTATAACACATTTTCTATGCACTAAGCGCTAAAGAATAGACTCTGAAAGCTAGAAACAGCTCCAACAAGTCACTTATTTAGAAGGGTCCAAAAAATATGCTTGCTATTTTAAATCTCTAGAAGAAATTTTAAAGCCCCATCTCTGGAAAAACTGCCCTAAAAGTGAATCCCACCAAAGTCAAGAAATTCTTTCTATGGCCCAAAACCATTCTTGATCCAAGTTCTGCCTCACTGCCTTGAATGAAGATGGATAATAATAACTTCAGCATAATTCATGGATAATTCTGTATATTCATTGTTATTGAGTTACCAATTCCTCTTTTCATCTAGCTAAAAGTCTATAGTGTTTTTATGTTTACTTGTGGTACTATTCTCTTATTCCTTTAATCAAATTAGCTGTTTTTATTCAACAAGTATTTACTGAGTGGTCAGGGAAAGCTCCAGAGAAGATGACTAATTGAACTGCATCCTTAAAGGAAAGGTAAGATTTGGACAGACTGAAAGGACACAGAATGGCATTCTAGGAGAGGAACTAGTACAAACAGAGGCATAGGAGTAAAACAAATCAATAAATTGAGTGAGGGTAGAGTGAGGTGCTGAATGGAAAGAAACAGACAGGTATGAGAACTCTGCAATAACCCAGTTCTTCCCTAGATGAGTATTCACTTTCTTCCAGGAAGACAGGATGATCTTCTCTGTGGAATTCTCTTGAAGGCTTTTTAGATTTAGGAGTTTCTTTTTGTCAAGGCTATTTTATTTTTATTTTTATTTTTTTTTTAATTTTAAAGAGTTTATTTGAGCCAACAGTGATTCACAAATCAGGCAGCCCCAAATCACAAGTAGTGTGGGCTCTAACCAGGTAGGAATCGGGGAAAACTTTTATAAGGTGTTTCCAGAAGTAAGACAGAAAATATTTAATTGGTTAAAGTAGAACACCCCTAGTTGGAGATTAGTTGGCAGTTTCTTATTGATAAAATTTCTAGTTAGAGGTTAGTTTGTGGTTTCGTGGTTTCTGATTGGTAGATACTCTAATTAGATGTTAATTGGCAGTTCTGATTAGATAAGCTTAAACTTTTTTTTATTTTATTATTATTATACTTTAAGTTTTAGGGTACATGTGCACAATGTGCAGGTTAGTTACATATGTATACATGTGCCATGCTGGTGTGCTGCACCCATTAACTCGTCATTTAGCATTAGGTATATCTCCTAATGCTATCCCTCCCCCCTCTCCCCACCCCACAACAGTCCCCAGAGTGTGATGTTCCCCTTCCTGTGTCCATGTGTTCTCATTGTTCAATTCCCACCTACGAGTGAGAATATGCGGAGTTTGGTTTTTTGTTCTTGCAATAGTTTACTGAGAATGATGATTTCCAATTTCATCCATGTCCCTACAAAGGACATGAACTCATCATTTTTTATGGCTGCATAGTATTCCATGGTGTATATGTGCCACATTTTCTTAATCCAGTCTATCATTGTTGGACATTTGGGTTGGTTCCAAGTCTTTGCTATTGTGAATAGTGCTGCAATAAACATACGTGTGCATGTGTCTTTATAGCAGCATGATTTATAGTCCTTTGGGTATATACCCAGTAATGGGATGGCTGAGTCAAATGGTATTGTAAGCAATAGAAACGCACTCAAATTAGCTAAGGAGAAAAGGATACTTTATTATAAGAATCAGGAGTATCACAGTTAACCTGAAGGCTGGAGGCAATGGTCCTGACAAGAAACAGGACCAGAAGGTGGCTATTCTCTCTCTCTCTCTCTCTCTCACACACACATACACACACACACATACACACACACACAGAGTTCTGTTTCTCCCTACATATCAGACTCATCCTTCTCTCTCAACATTCATCTGCTCCTCCAAGTACCTGTTTGCCTCCACAACTCCTGACCATACAAGCCTCTAGTCCCAGAAGAGAGTATACAGGATCAACATAACCCAATTCCAATCAACAGGAAAGATAATCCAATTAGCCCAGCTGTGGTCAGAGCTCCACCCTGCATCCACCAACCATGGCCCAAGTAGGATTAAATAATGCAAAAGTGGTGCTGCATACCCAGTTGCAAATGAGTAGGCTCATTCTCAGAGAATATGCAGTTGTGGTCACAGACACCAGAAAGAAACAGTCATGTGAACATTCCTGAAAAGTGGACTGAAGAGAATTTACATGTTTTCAATTAAATGTTTCATTTGCTTTGGTAATACAGTCTGGGTGGGCAGAATGCCGTGTGTGAAACTCAGTGAAGGACCCTTCACTGAGCCAGGGATGTGAGCGGCCCCACACTATGGGGAATAGTGAAGGAACTGAAGCTGCCCTTCTAGAGAAACAAAGACTTCAAGAAGATCTGCTGCTGCTGCCTTTCTTCAAATGCTTGATGGATCATCATTTTGAAGACAGATGAGTCTCTAGCGGAAATAACCAGGTCAGTAATAGAACAGCCTGGAAATGATGTGATGGCCTTGAGGTTAGTAAATTTTCTATCAAGAAAGGGATTTCGAAATTGTGGAAACAATTTTATGTGATGTTTATAGAGATAATTCAAGTGTCCAATAGAGGATTAATTACATGACTTACATTTAGCTACAGACCTGTAATTAGATGGCCTTCCAATCCTCAAATTTAACAATTTTTCTAATCATCAGTCAAGGCCTATCTTAGAATACACAAGAAGAAAGGATCTTTCAACAACAGGCATTCAAGAAGAGCTCTTAACATTGAGAGACAGGAAATCTGGGCAACACAGTCTAGTTCATTCTCAAACTCAACTCCATGGCATGTTAGCACCCATGGGGTATCTATAGGTATTCTACAAACACAAGACCTACTGTCAAGTAAATGCTACTTAAATAAAGCAAAACAGGCTTCTTTACTGCAGGATATTGCAGAGCCTTTAATAAGTTGATGTTTATCATGAATCTCCAATAGATGAAATACACTAAACAATGTTTCCCAAACTTATCTGACCACAATGAGGACTTAATGGCATCACCTAGCACATTAACTTCCCTGAAACAAGAGTTTAGGAAATGCTGGTATAGCTCTGGTGCCTGATTCTATCCCTTTTTTGTGTCACATATCCTTTTGAGAACCAGGTAAAAGCTATAATACCCTTCCACTCCCACCAATGAAAAATAAACATGCAAAAATGCACACCAAATTGTGCACATAACTTCAAGGTGGGTCGCAGACTCTAGTGACTCATCCATGGATTCTTAGGTTTTCCTGAACATCAAGTAATAAATCCCTATCCATAATTTTCTCTACCTTCATACATCCCTAAAGGGTCATAAAATAAAGGCACAAGTCTTCTTTATTGCATTGTTTGTGCAAGTTGTACACAATTTTCTCTAGACACACCTTAGCGCTATCCCTCAGTACATACCACCTGAAAGAGGGCAGGACTCCTACAGCCTCTGGGACACCTCCCAGTTTATCTTCTCTCAGTTGGACTCTCATGCAACTGAGTTTGGATCTTTCCAAACCAGAAGTCCTATTTAACGTGGTGAATAAAAAGATGTTTGAAGTACATTTTGCTTTTTTTTTTTTGAGACGGAGTTTCACTCTTGTTGCCCAGGCTGGAGTGCAATGGCGCAATCTCAGCTCACTGCAACCTATGCCCCCCGGGGTTCAAACGATTCTCCTGCCTCAGCCTCCCAGTGGCTGGGACTATAGGTGCACTTCAACATGCTCGGCTAATTTTTGTATTTTTAGTAGAGGCAGGGTTTCGCCATGTTGGCCAGGCTGCACATTTTTAAGATAAAGTTTTTTCTAACACATAAAAAAGTCTGGAGAACTAAGTAAGTGTATTATTCTTATTCTACTATGCGGATCATCAAGAAATGCCATTATTTATAAAAACATGATCTTGGAGGCAGAGAAGCCCCTCTTTATTTTTTTACAAAAGGGTTCTTCTTGGCCACATTTCTGGGTACCACCAGAAAAATGAAATATCTGGGGACAGGTATAAGATGAACAAGTGAAATAGCACAGGGCAAACAGTTCAGATCAAATGAGTTGTGTAAACCAGAGGTTATAAAATAGCATAGGTAAAAAGAACAAGTTTATCGTTTCAAAATTACTTCACTTGATCTTAGCCAAAAAAACCAAAAAGTGACTATTTCAAAATTACTTCAGTCCTATAAAAAATGAAGAGTCTTAAAATGGACATTAAAAGGGCCTAACTCCAGTGCGTGCATGTGGAAGCCAGATATATTACTTCTTGTGCATCTGTCATTCATTTTATAATTGAAGCTTATGAATACCCCAGTTGAAAAACAAATGGTTTATATCAATGGGAATGATTTAGTTTTTATTTTTATCAGAGTTAGTACATGTTAATAATTTTTTCTTAAAGTAATAGTTGTTTGCACATTATAAGCACATGTCTTGTGCTTTCCTTATAAGGATATCCAATGAAAAATTTTTTCTCTTTGGCCTCCTTATAGTCAGCATATTTCCATTTGTACGAGAAGCAAGTAGTCATTTGAAGTCATGGAGAAATGTCTGTTTGACTAACAGATGTCTATGCTGGAGTAAGCAGGAAGTCTTACAGTTCCTTCCCAATACAAAGGCCCACTTATGATAAAAGAAAAGACCAAACAGCTTGGGGATAAATAAGGCAGTTTCTATTCCAACAAACATCTGTTCTAAACCTGCCACAAAGGTGGAACCAAGGAAATCCCTAGTACCTCATAACTAAATGCATTTTTCTTTCTTTTACCCCTTTCCTACCCTCTCGGTGACCATTCTCAACATTACTGAAAATCAGCCAGAATATTGCTTTATTTGTTCCACCACTGATACTTTAATCTGGAATGCTTAAGAGCCAACCTCTAGCTATAAGGAAGCAAGTCTGCTCAGAAAGTGATGAACTCTGTGACCTGGAGATTAATTTAAAATACAGTTTAGTCATTTATTGAGCACCACTGTATGCAATTCACTGTTCTAGGCACTCTGGATACAAATGTGTGCATGGTGGGCATCCCTTATCGGTAAAGACAGCCAATCAATGCGTACTCAAAGAAGCGAATAAGTTAATCTTACAAAGTGATAAAACAAAATAAGGTGATATGATAGCAAGTAACTGACAGAAGATAGAGAGGAGGCTAATTTAGAGTGGGTCATATGTGGAGGTGAATGTGTACAGAATGCCAAGGAGCAGTCTGCCTTCTGCAGATCTAGGACAGAGTGTTCCAGAAGGAGAAAACATCAAGTACCAAGGACCTGAGGTGGAAACAAACTTGGTCTGTTCAAACAACAGAATGAATGCTCAAGTGGCTGGAGCATAGTGAATGAAGGGAAAGTGAGAGGTGATGAGTCAAGAGGAAGGCCAAATAGAAATTACAACCCAGAAATCATAAGGGAAAAAGACAACTGTGGCTCTAAATAAAGGCAAATGTTATGCCATCTCCTCAGCTAAGCGAACAAAATAATTACCCAGAAGGTGATACAAATCTCATTTTTTGTCACCTAGAAATAATGCAAATCTATGATAGTGGGATCCTAAACAAATGTTCCAGAAAGGGACTTTTTAATAATATAGCGCAGACTAGACCTGTCCTCATCAATAGGTACTTTCTTCTTCTCTAGGGTAAGGTTCGTCCAGAAAGTGGTTTGCTCCATTCCTTTTCTCAGGTAGCAAATGCCCATTCATTCATCACCTCCTTTGCACCCTGGAACCTGGGTGTTCCATATTACCAGAGCGATAAGATGCAAGCTCTGGCCTTAAAGGATTATTCTGGAAGTTTGCCAGACCACTGGATTGTTTCCCAGTGCTCTGCAGAATGAGCACATTGTTTCTAGGTACAGTTAACATGGATTATTATCAGAGAGCTGGTTCACCCTAGATGAATTAATGAATTCTGACACCATACTTCAGATTACTGTCTTTTGCTAACCTTTTTGTAGCCTCTAAAAAAATTGAAATGAGACAAAATCTGGTATCCCCTCCTCCATATTAGGCCAGGCTCTATTCCACTCCAAGTAGCAATCACCAAAGGGAAGAAAAGGTACCAGGTAAGTAAAGAATGAAGAGGGAGATTTTCACCAAAGAAACTTTTACAGTTTTAGGAGAGCATATATATTTATATATTAACTAAGTAAAAGGCAGAGAACCTGGGCAACATGGTCTAGTTCAACAGCCTAGAACTAACCAGTTTAATTCAAATATACACACATACACACCCAGAGGCATACCTCACTTTATTGCACTTTACTGTATTACACTGATATTGCATTTTTTACAAATTGAAGGTTTGTGGCAACCTTGCACTGAGCAAGTCTACTGACACCATTTTTCCAACAGCATGTGCTCACTTCATGTTTCTGTGTCACATTTAGTTAATTCTTGTAATATTTCAAACTTTTCATTGTTGTTATATCTGTTATGGTGATCTATGACAGTGATTTTTGACGTTACTATCGTAACTGGTTTGGGGCACCATGTATCATACCCATATAAGATAGCAAACTTAATAAATGTGTGTGTGTTCCGAATGCTCCACCGACTGGCCATTCCCTCTCCTCTATCTCCCTCTCTTCAGGCCTCCCTATTCCCTGAGACACAACAATATTAAAATTAGGCCAGTTAACATCTCCACAATGTCCTCTAAGCTTTCAAGTGAAAGGAGCAGTCGCATGTCTCCCAGTTTTCCTCAAAAGCTAGAAATGATTAAGCTTAGTGATGAAGGCATGTTGAAAGCTGAGATATGTTGAAGCTTCTCGCACTAAACAGCCAAGTTGTGAATGCAAAGGAAAAGTTCTTGAAGGAAGTTAAAAGTGCTACTCCAGTGAATACACGAATGATAAAAAAAAAAAAAAAAAAAAGAAAAAATGGTGTTATTGTTGATATGGAGAAATTTCAGTGCTCTGGAAAGAAGATCAAACTAGCTACAACATTCCTGTAAACCAAAGCCAAATCAGAGCAAGGCTAACTCTCTTCAATTCTATGACATCTAAGTGAGGCAAGGAAGCTACAGAAGAAAAGCAAAGCTAGCACAGGTTGGTTCATGAGGGTTAAAGAAAGAAGCCATCTCGATAACATTTAAGTGCAAGGTGAAGCAGCAAGGGTTGACATAGATGCTGCAGCAAGTTACCCAGAAGATCTAGCTTAGAGCATTGATGCACGTGGCTACACTAAACAACAGATTTTCAGTGTAGATGAAACAGCCTTTTCCTGGAAGATGTCATTTCAGGCTTTTCCAGCTAGAAAGAAGTCAATGCCTACCTTCAACAGACAGGCTGATTTCCTTATTAGGGGCTAATGCAACTGGTTACTTTAAGTTGAAGACAATGTTCAGTGACTATTGCGAAAATCCTAGGGCCCTTAAGAATTATGCTAAATTGACTCTGAGCCTGTGCTTTATAAATGGAACAACAAAGTCTGGATGATAGCACATCTGTTTACCACATGGCTTCCTGAATATTTTAAGCCCACTGTTGAGACCTAATTCTCAGGAAAAAAAAAAAAAGATTCCTTTCAAAATATTACTACTCATTGACAATGTATGTAGCCACCCAAGAAGTCTAATGGAGATGTACTAAGAGATGAATGCTGTTTTCATGCCTGAGAACACAACATCCATTCTATGGCCCATGGATCAAGAAATAATTTTGACTCAAGTCTTCCTATGTAAGAAATATATTTTGTAAGGCTATAGTGGCTATAGCTGCTATAGCTAGTGATTCCTCTGATGGATCTGGGCAAAATCAATTGAAAACCTTCTGGAAAGAATTTACCATTCCAGATACCATTAAGAACATTTATGATTCATAGAATGAGGTCAAAATATCAACATTAACAGGAGTTTGGAAGAAGTTGATTCCAACACTCTGGATGACTTTGAGGGCTTCAAGACGTCAGTGAAGGAAGTAACTACAGATGTGAAAATAGCAAGAGAACTAGAATTAGAAGTCAAGCCTGAAGATGGGACTCATCATGAGGTACTGCAATCCCATGATAAAACTTTAATGGATGAGGAGCTGCTTCTTACAGATAGTAAAGAAAGTAGTTTCTTGAGATGGAATTGACTGTTGGTGAAGATGCTGTGAACATTGTTCAAATGACAACAAAGGATTTAGAAGAGTATAGAAACTTAATTGTTAGAGCAGCAGCAGTGTTTGAGAGGACAGAGTCCAATTTTGAAAGTGTTCTAGTGTAGGTAAAATGCTATCAAAACAGCATTGCATGTTTCACAAAACATGTGAAATATGTTTCACAAAACATGTGAAATACGTTTCACAAAATAAATCTTTTGTGAAAGGAAGAGTCAATCGGTGCCGCAAACTTCATTGTTGTCTTATAAGAAATTGCCACAGCCACCCCAGCCTTCAGTAACTACTATCCTGATCAGTCAGCAGCCAACAATATTGAGGCAAGACCCTCCATCAGCAAAAAAGATTATGACTCACTAAAGGCTGAGATGATTGTTAGCATTTTTTAGCAATCAAGTATTTTAAAATTAAGGTATGCATATTTTTTGTCATAATGCTCTTACATTCTTAATAGACTACAGTATAGTGTAAACATAACTTTTCTATGTACTGGGAAACCAAAAATTTCATGTGACTCACTTTACTGCAATATTTATTTTATTGCCATGGTCTGGAGCTGAACCCACAATATCTCCAACGCATGTCCGTATATGATTTATATAAATATATATTTTATACATATGTATGATATATAATCATATATACATACAAAATAAAATGAAAGTTGTGCAATAAGAGGGCCTTAAAAATGTTTTTTTTCCAAAGTCAGTATATACAAGTCCAGCTTTCCTTATCCAACTAGTGAAGTGATGATTTTCTCCACTTCCTATCATATTACATGTCTATATCACGAACTCATTTCCATTCTCTTTTTTCTTTTTTTTTTTTTGAGACGGAGTTTCAGTCTTGTTGCCCAGGCTGGAGTGCAATGGCGCGATCTTGGCTCACAGCAACCTCCGCCTCCCAGGTTCAAGCGATTCTCCTACCTCAGCCTCCCACTCATTTCCATTCTTAGAAAGAATATAACGCTGTCTTCAACTTGTGTGCTGCTGTTTCTGTTCCACTGTTCTCATATGTGTTATTCATTTTAGGTAAATAGCATTTGGAGAGCAGTAAACCACACTTGTTTAAAACAAACATGCTGGTGATGCCTTCCGATATTAGTTTAATTACTTTCACGTTGTTGACCTTTTTGTTCTATAAAGTAGCCCAAAATATTATTCTGACATTTGGTTTATTCAAGATAAAGAAACCAAGTAGATACCTTTTAGACAGAGTTTAATGCTTACATATCACCTTAGTCATTTACTCTTTTCTCATCCATTAAATATTACTTTTTTGTTTTGTTTTTAGAGACAGGGTCTCGGCTCTGTTACCCAGGCTGGAGTACAGCTCACTGCAGCCTCGAACTCCTAAGCTCAAGAGATTCTCCTGCCTCAGACTCCTGAGGAGCTGGGACTATAGGCGTGTGTCACCACACCCAGCTAATTCTTTTCTTTTTGTAGAGACAGGGTCTTGGTGTGTTACCCAGGCTGGCCTCTAACTCCTGGGCTCAACTGATCCTCTTACCTCAGTCTCCCAAAACGCTGGGTGTGAGATACCATTCCCAGCCTCATTAAATATTACTTTGGAATGGAATAATTAAAGCTCAGAAAATAAATTTCCCCTAGATTGGCTATTAGTAGACACAAACTCTAAGTTTTACCATCTTTCAATTCATTCTTTGCCATTAGATTTTCTCCTTTCCCCAAAAAGGGGGCAATAAAATAGTAGGCACTGACCCAACTCCTATGATTTCACATTGTCATATTTATATGACAAATATGTGTGTGTGTGTGCACTTGTGTGTTTATGGTTTATGTACATGCACATATATGCACACTATTACCCATTTCCCTTATATATAAGGACACTCAAGTGATGTCCAGGGTAGCACATACAATTTTTTAAGCACGTAAACATACTTGAATATACTCAAAAACATAAGCAACCATTGCTTTACATTTTGCATTAATTACCAAGACTCTATTTTAAAAACCAGTATCTTTAAAGATATTTCTGATAATGTGAGTAATACATCAATTGGGTAAAGGAGAAGTGTTTGATGAGTTAAGGATGACAATTAATGCTACCTGGATACTAGCCACTAGAAATATTAAACCACTAGCCCACAGTCTTCAAAAGACTTCCAACTTTTGACTGACCAACTCCCTAGATACTAGCTCTAGAACAGCTAACTTGCTATTGAAGGCCTCTAATGAGCAACTGATAATGTTCCCTGAGATAATTACATTCACAGCTAATTAGCCCTTCATTATCTTTTAAACAAATGAATTTCTTAGTTACCAGATTTCCTTGCAGAATTACTTTTTAATGCTCTAAAACGAAGTTCTGTTAATACTTTTAATAAACTGTGTATCAAAAATCATTCTACAAAATGTAGCCTCTTTAGACTTTTGCTCTGAATAAAAAATATACAAATAATAATAATTTAATCTGAATCAAGAAAAGCCAAAAACAAAAAAAACCCTCTGACCATGAACAGAACTACCAAGGAGGAGTATATACGGAACACACTGCCTATGTACATTAATGTTTCAGCTTCAGCTGACCCACATCTGTAAATCTAGACAGCTAGTTACCATGTGTCTTCCCAACTGAAAAAGGCAAAAGACAACTGGCTGCCACATGCTTTTTACAAATAAATTGTAAACAGGTTACTCAGTATAGGCCACATATATAGGATTTACACATGAGTGCCCCAGGAATAAATTTGGCTCAAAGCCTCCTTCAGCTAAAAAGCTTCAGGCATCACGATATTCCCATATGTCTACTGTATAATGAAATGTATAACAATTTTTACCCTGAAGGTTGTTTTGTACTAAGAATGAGATTGGGCAGTGGGTAACTCAGGCAACCATCCAAAGGAGTTCTTATCGCTTATCCATGTGTATGTATATTTAAAGATGTGTACCACATTCTTTGGAAACCATAAATAATGTACCAAAAAATTCTGGAAGTACATTGTATCACTCTCCATGCCATAGTATACATACACGCACACACACACATACACACATACACACACACACAGCCATAAAGGTCAAGAAATGCTCAAGGTTGGGACATTTGTTACAAACAACAGTGATAATTCTCTTTATAAAGACTTCTCTTACCTCCACACTGGCTGAGGCTTACTAAGATGGAGAGGAAAGGTACCTGATGCTTTGGGAAGAGAGCTCTGAGTGAGAAGCCAGAATAACAAAGAGAAGGTTTCGGAAAGAGGCTGCTTTCATCCTGTTATGTTTCAACATCAGAGGGGGATGGTAAAGAGAATTCTTGAGGTTTCTATCTTGTCTGTCTTAGCTCAATAGAGTACGAAAACTAAGAAGAATTTATGCAAAAGCTTCAACTATGAATAAATAGCACCCATCTGCTTGGAGTGGCTTGTGTCTTACCTTCCCAAGAACTTCAAATGGGGCAGCAGTTAGGAATTGAGAAGGATCTGGGGACACAGCTAACAGTGTTGCAATTCATGCATGCATCCATTCACCCAATGTTAACTGAAGTCCTATTAGATGTAGGGTCTTGTATTAAGAAGAGAGAAAGATGGTTTGGATGAGAATTTTGCCAACATGTGTAGAAGTAAAGATGGATAATTACTAATACAAAATAATAATGATAAATGCCCCAAGAAGGTACAAATAAAATACAGTAAGAGTTAAGTAGAGATGGCTTCCAGCTCAGGAATAGGAAAGGAGTTAATAGCTTTTCCCAACCCTCTAGAATCTAATTTCCCATTAAGACTTCATCTTTTCAAAATGCCCTCATGGTTCCTCCTTACCCTTATCTTCATGGATACAAGTGTTCCTCCTTACTGTTCCTCCTCATTGTTCCTCCTTACCCTTATCTTCAAGGATACAAGTGTTGGAGGAGGGTGTTTATACAGTATGTTTTATTTGATCTCATCCCCTAGGGACACCCTACCTTTTACTTAAAATCAGCTGTCTCTACCTCCTTCCAGCCAGACTGTTCTGTCTTCCAGTGACCCATGCTCACTTTGAACTATGATTTTCCCCTCCGGAGTAAACTTCAGAGTTCTATTCCTCACTCATCAGCTCTTGAGCACCACACCACCTGACTCATGTTACAGGAGTTGTGAAATCCCTCTCTCACTCACACAGGGCAATCCACATGTGATAAGCACCAGTGTCTTCACAAATAGGTAAACCTGTCTGGTCATTCGAGCTCCACTGAGCAGCAAATAAAACTAGCTTTTCATTCATCTACCAGGCACTGGTTGATTAGTAACCAGTGTCTACGATTGTGGGTGACAATGTTTTACTATTGCAATTTATTTTATCCTTTTTATGTTATTATGAGAGAGAGGAGAAAGAGAGAAAAAGATGTGAGAAAGAGTAAAGCACATGCTGGGTACTGAGAAAATGTTTGTGGAATAAATGAATTTTTCCATCTGTGCTTTAAAATATTTGTTGTTTTACCCACATGGAAGGAAATATTTCATATCAAGCATTACCAGTCTGGAAACTCGCCCTAAGTCTCTATATGGTGGGGAGAAGAAGGAAGATAAAAACTGAAATAAGATGGTTCGAAATAATAAATAGCATACCCTACGGGTAGATCTAGCCTGTACATGGCTCAAAGGTGATAAGGAGGATATTGTCTGGGAAGCAGAATGCAGCAGACAACAAAGCTCTCAGACAATAAGAAATATGATAAACCGTTACCCACTTCCATATGCTTTATGTTTTGGGACCATACAGAATCTTTATCATGAAGATACCAGAAGGTAGTATGGCAGATTGAGATTTGGTGCCTCTATTGACCACAGATTCTAAAATTCAAGCCCTAGTGTTATCTCCTCTCACACTACCTCTAGGCTTGGCTATGTGATGAGTTTTGTTCTCATAGAATGCACTTCTTTTTTTTTTTTTTTGAGATGGAGTGTAGCTCTGTCACCCAGGCTGGCATGCAGTGGCACGATCTCAGCTTACTGCAAC
This sequence comes from Homo sapiens, assembly GCF_000001405.40. Classification (NCBI taxonomy): domain Eukaryota; kingdom Metazoa; phylum Chordata; class Mammalia; order Primates; family Hominidae; genus Homo; species Homo sapiens. The sequence goes on from NC_000014.9 coordinate 54,134,975, forward strand.
CTCCATTTCCCTGGTTCAAGCAATTCTCCTGCCTCAGCCTCCCAAGTAGCTGGGATTACAGGTGCCCATCACCATGCCTGGTTAATCTTTTTCTATTTTTAGTAGAGACGGGGTTTCATTGTGTTGGCCAGGCTGGTCTCAAACTCCTAACATTGTGATCCACCTGCCTCGGCCTCCCAAAGTGCTGGGATTACAAGTGTAAGCCACCGTGCCTGGCCAGAATGCACCTTTTTATCCCCTAGCCACCATGCTGTAAGTAAACCCATGCAGCCATGTGGAAAGACCCATGTGGAGCAGACTTGAAACCTTGGCTTACAGCCCCAGTTAAGGTCCCAGCCAGAGGCCAGTATATAAACTGCCAGAGATGGAACTGAGGCCATTCTGAACCTTCCAGCTGTACCCAGTGTCCCTGCTGACACCTTGCAAAACAGAACTGCCAGTCAATAGATTCATGAGAGTATAAATCACTTCTGGTTTAAGTCACTAAATATTATAGTAGTTTGTCATGCAGCAATAGATAACCAAAATATGTAGAGAGTGAAAGCAATAATCTACATATTATTAAATGAGTTCAAAACCAGCCTTGGTACAGTTTTGACTCTCTTGAGTCTCCCCAAGTCCTGAGATCTTGGTCCAGCGTTTTTCAACCTGGCTGTCTGCCAGAATCACCTTCAGAGCTTTTTCGAAGTACATGTAACTGGGCCCACCTCAGAAATTCTGATTCCAAAATATCCAGTAGAGCCTGTCAACTTCTTTGTAAAACGTTCCACTGGTGTGTACCCAATGTCAGAACTCCCAGAAGAGTCTGTACTGACATGACCAGATGTTTTAAAATGGACAATATCACATATGACCTCACATCCACCCTTGACACAGAGAATGGTATCTTAACAACAATCTGTTGTAACCAGTTTCTTTTATGGAGCAATACTGCCCTTAGAGACTCTACAAGAAAAATAAAATGGTGTTGTGTTGGAATATGTTTTCCAAACCTTCGTTGGAAAAAAACAGTCAACTCTATATACTTTAACCACCAAAATGTTCTCAAGGTCAAGCTGAGCACATAAACCTCAAATAAGGAGTTGATGAGAGGGGTTACCTAACAGGAGCAGAGGAGAAAGGAAGCAGGGCAGCATGAGAGTGTCGCTGCAACAATTGCTCCTTCTGTCCACCCTGGCTTAGTTATGGTCAGAGGAAAGGGAGAGGTTGTGCAATTGTGTACATAATGCTGGGTGGGAGTGAGGTGGGTTCAAGGAAGCGGGAGGTCAGGGTGGCCCATTTTCCTCATCTGCTCAACATAAGCATGTGAGGAAATAATAATGTCTTTTAATAATATCAATGAAAGACAAACATCAGGGGAATGGGCATTGAGGTTATGAGGTCCAGCCAGTCTCTCGAACAAGGAGATTCTCCCTTCACTGCCAATCTTGCAGAACCTGTACATGTGTTTATGAAGAGGAGAGAAGGGTTTGGGTCTTTTTATGTGTCACGGCAGCAGTAGCATGAGCAAGAAATAACCAAGGGGAAGACAAAATTCAGGGGTCAAGACCTCCTCCCAATGTGAAGATCTTCCTCCAGTGATAATTTTAGGCAATCTGGATTGACTTTATTAAGGGAGATAAAGGATTTCCCTAAAAAGTAAAATGGATTAATATGTCTGAGAACATGGATAAGAGTAAAAGGATGCTTCATGTCTCCTCCCTGCCTGGACATGTGTTAATTCAAGGCTCTCTTTGTTGCAAGTGAATGAAAACAACTCAAACTGCCTTCAACATAAATCAGAAGATGATTTAAAAAAAAAAAATCTAAGGGTATTGTGAACTCCGTCATGGCTGGATCCAGGTGCTCAATTTTTCATGAAGTTGCCTCTCTGTGTCTTGATCAGCTTTCCTCTTTGCAGGCTCCATTCTCAGGAAGGCTCCCCAACCCCACCACCAGGCCACTGGGGGTGGGGTGTGACAAGATGGAAGCGAGAAGCTCCAGGTCACTTTTTATCCTCACAACAACCTCCACAGAAAGATTTCTCTTTTTCTAACGATCTCCAAGAACTAAGTCTTCTCCACTGTGATTGGGTCACATGTCACTGTGATTGGGTCACATGTCCATCATTGAGCCAATCACTATGCAGGAGAATGTAATTTCCAGTGTGGCCAGCCCTGAAGCATGAGGAGGAGTCAGCTCCACCCAACCTATGTGTTCTGACAGTGAAGGAGGGGCAGTTTCCCATGAAAACTCAAGGATTTGTTTTGTTTTACCAGAAACAGGGTGAATAGATGCTATACAGTTAAATGCCATCTCTGGCTTAAAGCCGAGAACTGGGCCTCTGGAAGAACAACTTATACATTTTTGAAGAGGGAGTTCTGTGTTTTGAAGTAGTGACTGTGCAGGCCCTGCACGCTTGATGGCACCCACAGATGCCTGCCCTGTACCCTCCATGGTAAACAGTTCTTGATCCTTCTCCAGCATCCAGCAGTCACCCTGAAACTGGCTGGGGTCATGGATGCTCAACCTCATCCTCAAAGGCCTAGAACAGAGCAGCTCAATTGCCACTTATTTATTCTGATGAAGTCAGTCAGTCAAAACGCGAGGATTTTTGGTCTCAGCTCCTCCACTGGCTTGTTGCTTTGTGCCTGGAGAGTTCAACAACTGTTAAATCTTTCAGCTTTCACTCAAGTAAAAAAAAAAAAAAGAAAGTCCAAGATTCTTCAAAAAGACATTCTACTGAAATGAAAAACATTTCAAATATACTGTCATCACTCTTACAAGTCTTCTCACCTGAGCCAAGTAACAATGTGTGCCAGATGAATAAAAAGAAGAATGCCAACTTTATAGATTTTACCACCTCATACTTTTTCAGGTCTGTGAAAAATGTTTAACGGGTGAGTAATTTTTTTATAATTCTCTACAAATCTGCTCCACATCAAAGATTGTTTTGGGGAGGGTGTTTCCAAGAGACAGAGCAGAATACTTAAGCTAGGATAGTTTGATATTCACCATTCCTGGTATATTAAAGTATTTGGTGATGTAAGGAATAAAAGTCTCCAGATCCCCAGCTTGGTGGTCAGCATATTTTATAATCAAGCCAGAATCTTGTTAGTTTCTCATAGTATCTTAACATATGTAGTTGAAGGAGTAAAAAGCTATCTCTTCTTCATTCTTCTTTTTCTATTCTTAGCCTCCATCTTGGCCCAACTCCATCCCCAATTTGAACCTAACCAAGTAAATATTACGTGGTGTTATCATTTGTGAGCCTTGCCTCAAATGCATAAGCATAAAAGAATGTGTGATTGGGGCACAATAAAAAGAAGGCACCATGAGAAACATACATCCTGTCTACCTTATTGACAATCCTCTGGCCTCCACACTGAATGGCACTAATAACACGGACAAGCACACAGAGAAAAAAGAGTGAAGAAAGACTCCCCCTTTCACTTTCACTCTCAGAAAGGCTTAGCAGGGTATCCTCTTTGGTACAAAGAGAAGGAATAACCTCATTCCAATTTTTGGTATTGGTGAGACAACCTAAAATCCCCTGGTATAGCAGTTTTTAGATTGTGTTTCATGGATCCCCAAGATCCCACATGAAGAAGAAATTATTTGAATGTCTGTATGTTAAATTTGTGCCTGCCCTATCATTTCGTGCCTCCCCTTTCCTCTCTCTCCAGCCAACACTCCACCAGCTAGGACTGAGATCCAAGCCACAGAAGACAATGCAAAAACTTTCTATAGTCCTGGAAAGTCTGATGAACTGTGAGCTAGACCACAGAAAGTCATGGCCACATGAATCTAGTTTTTGTACCCTCACTTTGATCCTCCTTGCCAGTCTGGCTCTTTGTTTAGGTGACCCTTGGCCTCTGGAGTCAATGTTTGTCTTCTAAATGCTATTTCAACACTAACATCTGGTGATGTCCCCCAGCCTGACATTTGTGAAGCAGATGCTTCCAGTGGCCTGGAGTGTGCCTTCTGGGTCAATGTTTTCAATAATGCCCTCTGGCATTGATCTCTGTGGTACCTCTCCCTAGGTAAGAAAAAAATGCCACTAGGAAATGGCTGAGAAAGAACACTTCAGACCATCTGGAGGTAATCTTGGAATATAAAAACCCAGAAGTTCTTGTATAAAGAAATACCTAGAGGAAGGCAGTAGGGAAAAAAAAATCAAGTCTGTGGTATTTTTTTAAGTTGTACTTTAAATAGTCCAGCAGTTCAAACCTGACAAATCTATGCTTCATTTTAAGGAATGTCTTTCTGTTCAGGGTCATCTCTGCTGAAATGTTGAAGTAACAAAGAATAGAATCTCTTGCTGAGAAAAGCAAGCCCTCTCTCCCTACTCAGTCCCACTCTCCCTCCATGCACACACATGGGCCCACACTTTACAGTACTTTGTAAGAGGCTCCTCTCATTGTGGGCCTAGATAAAACTTCAAGGAACTAGAGCATAAATTCCACTAGCCTACATTTGGACAATGATGTCTTTTCAAATTATGGACTTTTCCTATGTGTCCTGTTAAGCTTTCAAAAGTAGGAAGCTGGTCAATGAGAATTTCTTGCTTCGATTAGATGAAGACTTCTCATCTCCACCACTGTGTCTCGAGATCTGCTCTTACTTATCACCAGAACCACCTACAGAGAAGGTCGGAATCTCCTCAATCTACTCAGGAGTTCAGTATAGGCAATGTACTCATGAGGCTACTTTGTAATATTCACCATACTGCTGTATGGTTTTTCTTTCTAAAAAGCTTAGAATCCATCATTCTCTCATTCCAACAGCCTTTCATGTTCATAAAAATCCTGTTATCCAAATGGTAACAAGGGCAGGGCAGGGTAGGGGGGTGAGCACTACACAAACCAAGTTGAAGGGGTATGGTAGGCAGAATTGTAAGATGACCCCCAAAGGCTCACACGCTTGTATAACCACCTCCCATGAGTGCATGCAAAACTTGTGACTTGCTTCTAACCAACGGAATATGGCAAAAGTGATGAGATACCACTCCCATGATTATTACACCATGTTATATGGCAAAGGTGAAGGGATTTTTGCAAACGTAGTTAAGCTTCCAAATCAGGTGACTTTCAGTTAATAAAAGAAGATTATCTAGGATAGACCTGGCCAATCAGGTGGAGCCCTTTGAAAGACAGTCTAGAGGACAGAAACAGTGGCTCATGCCTATAATCCCACCACTTTGGGAGGAAGAGGCAGGAGGATCACTTGAGCCCAGGAGTTCAGGACCAGCCTGGACAAAACAAGGAGAGCTTGTCTCTAGAAAAAAAAAATTGTTTTAAAAATTAGCCAAGCATGGTGGCATGTGCCTGTAGTCCCAGCTACTCGGGAGGCTAAGGTGGGAGGATCACTTGAGCCTGGGAGATGGAGGTTGTAGTGAGCTGAGATCGCACCATTGAACTCCAGCCTGGGTGACAGAGCAAGACTCAGTATGTATATATGTATGTATGAATGAATAAACGAATAAAGTAAAATAAATAAGGTCTAGAGTCAGAGAGCCCAAGCAAGAAAGACTCTCTTTCTGGGTTGAAAAAGTAAGCTCTCATGTAGTAAGAGGATTTGTGAGAAGTCCACATGGCAAGGATCTGAGGATGGCCTCTATTTTCTAAGAATGATCCCTGGCCAACAGCTAGCAAGAAAACAAGGACTTCAACTATACAGCTGTGAGGAAACAAATAGTGCAAACAAACTGAATGAGCTTGGAAGCACTTTATTCCCAAATCATGTCTCCAGATAAGAACACAGCCTGGCTGACATCTTGATTTCAGCCTTGTGAGACCCTGAGCAGAGAACCCAGTTAAATCATGCCTAGACTTCTGATCTGCAGGAACTATGGGATAATAAATTGGTTATATTTGAAACTGCTGAAGTTTGTGGTAATTTGTTATGCAGCAATAGAAGATTAGTACAAGGGGGTTGACTGGGAAGCAACTCAAATATATAATATCCCATAAGTCAGTCCGCTAACCACTGTGTACTTTATGGAGCTTGGATGCAGTTCTTTACTGAGAATGAGCAGTCCCATGGGACAGAGGAGAATGTGACTCTGCTTCAAAATATAGATGAATGGACGGATAAATAGCTACATAGAGATACACACATACATATAACAAGGACTTACTGTGTACCAGGATCTCTACTGAGGGTGTTAAACATTTGATCTTGTTTAAATGAGGGCTTAGAGTTAAAATGGTGTAGATACTTTTAATGCCAGAAATTTGCTGAAGCTAATGGACTCAAAGGAAATAAAAACTAACAAAGCAAAGCAAAGGACACATGAATCCACCCCTCCCAAAATCACAGGTTAAGATGTATCTCCCAGTCTCTATAGCCCTTCAAGAAGGATATGAATGTTATAGAAAGCAAAGAGGACAAGCTAGATGGCATAATCAATCTGTTCAGAAGAGTTTGATTACAGTTTTAAATTAAGAGTTTGCCAAATTACGCTGTAAATAAAACTAACAGTTTTCCTGGTGACTGATTTTGAGTGGACAGTGGGCAGGTCTGTATTTATACATGTTGGTATGAAATGCATTTAATGGGATGTTTTAAAACTGTTAGTCACAACCTATTAGTAGGTCATGAATCCACAATCAGCAAAACATGAAATCTGCCACTGACATGGAACCCATTGCTGTGTGAGTTGCTAATGTCAGTATTTTAAAGGAAACAGTTATTGTTTTAAGAATGCAACTTACTGGGCGCAGTGGCTCACACCTGTAATCCTAGCACTTTGGGAGGCTGAGGCAGGCAGACCACAAGGTAAGGAGTTCGAGACCAGCCTGGCCAACATGGTGAAACCCCATCTCTACTAAAAATACAAAAATTAGTTGGGCACGGTGTCAGGTGCCTGTAACCCCAGCTACTCTGGAGGCTGAGGCAGGAGAATCACTTGAACCCCGAAGGCAGAGGTTGCAGTAAGCCGAGATCACACCACTGCACTCCAGCCTGGGGGAAAGTGCGAAACTCTGTCTCAAAAAAAAAAAAAAAAAAAAAAGAATGCAACTTACTCTCAACAAAATAGATGCAATGTAGTCATTAGGATAATGTTAACTGCTAAACAGCTAACCCCTAAATCTCAGTGGCTAATTCAATAGAAGGTTATTACTTATTCATATAAGATCTAATTGGCAGGGCATGGGGGTTATATAATCCTTCAGAGACTCAGATGGACAAGGCTTTATCATTTTTGACCCATGACTTCTGAGACTGCTCTAAACATCAACATCCAATCTGTACATGGGAGAAGATTTCGGGTAAGGACCACAGCAAGATCTCAGAAGCAGTGTATCTTCCACCCTCATTCCATTGGCCAAAATTTAGGCAAATAGACCTTCCTATCTTCAAAAAGAGTCTAAAGTCTAGAATAAATTCTCAAACCCACTTTGCTCCCATTGTCTGATCTCCTGCAAGTGCTCCCCTTTGGAGGAACCCAAGCACAAGCCACAGGCCAAGGTGACCCATTGATTCAGTCCATAAAGGTCAGCTTCCTGTGACACAGGCCAAGGTAGAGAATGGCAGCAAGTGAATTTAGAGGGGCCACTGGAAGATATCCAGCACAACGAGATATTACATGGAGCCAATGGACTAGCACAAGTTAATCCTATGAGTGAAAACACCTAATTCCCATAAAAGGTTTTCACTAAGTTAATGACTGAAAATGTTGCTTAAACACAAACTAGGTCTTTATTGGGTGTTGCCTTTGATCTGGGATTTAGAGTGTGGAAAGAACACTAGATTAGAAGTCAGAAGAAATGGCTTATGGTCCTGACTCCAGTTCATACTAGCTCCAAGACCTTAGACAAGTCATTCAACTTGACTGAGCCATGGTTTTATACTGGTAAAAAGTTACAATACTCATACATTTCCCTACCTTAATTATAGACTTGATGTGAGAAGATCCAATGAGAACATATACTTGAAAGCACTTAGTAAATTAGAAATGTGGGTCACAAATAATACTGCTGTGCTTGAGTTGTTGTTGTTGTTGTTGTTGTTTTTACTCAAATTATGGTATTAGTTTGTGAGAAACAAGTAATCCTAATTGAACTGCCGCTCTCCCAGCAACTTTTGCACCAGATATAAGCCAGAAAGATCAAATTTCAATGTAAAATTCATCTCTCCCATGAACCTTCTGAAGGGTTTCCTGCTGATATTTGGGTATATCGCATGGAACATTTCCTTTTAACCTGGAATTGTCATTAAAGCCCATGTATGTATCCCCTCAAACTACAGAAACCTACAAATTAAACAAAGCTGCCCATAGCAGGGTCAGGTACCTTCCTATTGGCTCTACTAGGAGATTTCAGGGCTGGGAAATGAAACCCCAAAACCCACTCACTCCCTTCCTAGTCTACAGAAAAAGACTTGGAATGAGAGAGGAGGAGAGAGAATGAAGTTTGTGGGAAGACAGTGTTCATGGTGAGGTAGCTCCCTCTTTTCCCTCAAGGTTGCCATCCCGGAGGGAACTAAGGGTGTTTCTGGGAGTCGATGTAACATTGTGGTTGCCTACAGAAAGGAACTCTGTTCCTTGGTTGGATATCTGCTTCAACTACGGGTTTGCTGATATGTGTCATGCCTGACTGGGGTGGGAGTGGGTGCACAATGTAAAAGGAGAGGACTAGAGAGAAAAGGCAGAGCAGAGAGAAGGGAAAGCAGAAGAGCAGCCTCCATTACTGCCATTTAGTAGTTGATCTATTTGTCTAATGCATCTTGACCGTCTCCAAGGCAGGGAAAATGGTTCACTAAGCCACTGAAATTTCCATTTCATTCAAACAAATGCAAGCAAGTTTTACCTCTCCAATAATTAACTGAAGGAAAAGAACTGAGAGTGTGTTAACTGATGGAAGCCTCATCATCTGAGTTCATGTTCTATTTTATTTCAGTCATCAGGGTTCCTTTATCCCTATGTAATAGTCACTATTGGCTTTAAGTAAAAATGGCCTTCTTAAAGCAAAACTTAAGACACCTCAATGGAGTATTATTTTCTAACAGGAGGACAAAATTATGATGTAGTCATGAAAGCCCAGACAGCTTCCTCAGTCATATGACTGCCTCTTTTCATTAATATCTGAAATATTAAACCATAAACTTAGACATGTAAACTTTTCTCAATTTCTAATTTTGGGGTACAATTTTTATACATTTGCTGAGGTAAAGTTGAATTGTGTTTAAAAATAAATCTTTTATGATAAAAGATTCTAGCTTAATCAAAACTACTGGAATTAACAAGAGAATTTTATAAAGTAACTGGATATAGGATAAATATGTAAAATCAACATACTTATTTGTAACCAGCAATAAACTCCTGCAAAACAATATGGAGAAAATATTCCATTCACAATCGTGAAAAAATTTAAAATTACTTAGGAATAAGTTATAAAGAATGCCTCAGAGCCAGTATGAATAATGTTATCAAGTGTCACTGAAGGACATAAATAAGGATCTGTACAGTTGGAAAGACAAATGTTGTTTTTAGGTACAAAAACATCAAAAAAGCAACTTCTCCCCAAATTTATATACAATTTAATTCTAATTAAATTTGTAACAGGCTTTTTTTATTTGTATAAAATTAGCTTTAAGAATAAACAAAAGGAGATCAACTTCTGGCATGACATCACACAGAGCAACACAGTCCTGCATCCCAGAAAAACTGGTGAAAACTAATTTTTAAAAAGTTAAAGTCTCTAGAAATGGCCCTAAGAGCATATAGCAAATGAAGACACATCTACTCAAAAAAAAATCTATTAAAATTTGTTAAGAACTAAGAGAGTCTATAGTATTTGAAGCAAGACTGCTCCTTCCCACTCCCCTACAACCTCAGAAAACAGAAACTCCACTCCAGACTGATACAACCAAGAGCAGAGATCTCCCTCTCCCCTGAGATCCTAGTCAGAGGCCTATCTTCAGAGGACGTACAGAGCATTAGCATTTTTCAGCCTGTACCCAGCTGTACAATGCTGAGGCTAAGTTTTGGGAGACGAGAATGTGACCAAGAGGTGGGAGTTCTATTCTGCTCAGCCTCCAATGATGGGGTGGATTCTATGGGATATGAACTGTATCTCAATAAAGCCATTCTTTTAAAAAAGAATAAGTGGCAGAATAAATGCCCAAGAATAGCCAAGAAAACTGTGAAAAAAAAAAACTGACTCCCCAGATATCAGAACATAATATAAGACCACTATTTCAAATCAACATGGTATGAGTATAGGAGTAGGCAAATATATCTGAATTGAGATAAAGGAATAAATCCCTATTCATATGATGATTTCATACATGACAGTGGCATTTCAGTTTAGTGGGCATGGATGAATTATTTTGCCAATAGTGCTAGTGCAACTGGCTCGATATATGGAAGGCAAAAAATACATCAGACTTCTATATTACTCCATATACAAAAACAAATTCCAAATATAGAAAAAGATGTAAATGGGAAAAAACTAAATTTTGCAAGAATATCCAGGAGACTCCCCATACAGTCTAGGGTTAGGGAGGCTTTACCAACACTGGAAACCCTGATATGTTAAAAAAAAAAAAAAAAAAAAAAAAAAGACCTATATTCTGCTCAGCAAAAGATAGTATAGACTGAGAATAGACAAGAGTCACAGAAAAGCAAATCTAAATGTCAATAAATGTAATAAGAAAATTCTTGGAAACTGGAAAAAATGGCAAACAGGAGGCAGAACTAACCTGTAGCTCCCACTTGGATGGACAGAACAGCATGTGGAGATTCACATCATCAACTTTTGCACAAAGAACTACCACAGGAACATAACATGAAAACTGAAAGAATTCACAGACACTTTGAAAGAAGCAGCTTTCTGCTGCAAACTCTGTAGGACAGCCAAAAAACTGTAAGTGCCCACAGTGTGAGGGGAAAAGTCTGCCTCCAAACACACATTCCCACTGCAGAACCTGAAAATCCGGATCACGGGAGAATAATTTAACCTTACCTAGAACTGAAACAAATTTAGGGAACTGAGCAAAATATAAAAAGTGTAAAAAGCAGCAGGAAGAGCCCTGCAGACAGGGCTTCCTTCCCAGTCTCCAGGGAAGCCATTTCTGATTTTTTCTGACAGGGGTCCTTTGGGAGGGCTGCCAGTGGAATTGCGAAAGGACCACAAGGAGAAGAAAACTTCCAGCTGAACCCTATAATAATTTCGACCAAGTGTGAATTTTCCTCGGCAGAAACTGGGATGGGGGTTGAGGGTGAATGGAAATCCAGATACTACCATGGCAGAGAGGGAGAGGCAGGGCCTGAAATCTCTGCTTGCTTTTTCAGCAGGGAGGCTTGTGTCCTGGGGCAAGATTTCAGCTCTGCTCACTGGCTGCCTAGATATGAACTCAGTGCTGTTGATGGAGCATGGTGGGAGTGAGAATGGCCTTGCTGGCTGTATGGGAGCTGGGTGAGGCCTGTCACTGCTGGCTTTCCCCGACTTCCCTGGAAACCTGTATAACACAACAGAGGTAGCCATAATCTCCCTAGGAACATAACTCCATTAGCCTGAGAACCACATCCCTATCCTCCACAGCGGCCACAGCAGCCCCACCCAAGGAGAGTCTGAGCTCAGACATGCCTGTCCCTCCCTCATCTGATGGTCTTTCTCTACCTGCCCTGGTAGCCAAAGACAAAAGATATAATCTCCTGGGAGCTCTATGGTCCTGCTCATCACCTGAGAAACCCAAATACTTATCCAGGTGATCTTAGGGTAAGCTTGTATCCCCACTATACTACCAAAACTGATGCCCTCTTGAAAGTACCACCTCCTGGCTGGAGGCCAACAAACTCAAGTCATTACAGCAACTCATAAAAGAACAATCCTGTTCCAAGAAATGAGAAAACAACAGCTAATTCCACTCTCTGTAACATCCTGGCCAACCAGGGGTCCTGAGTCTGTCCATGTGACAACTTCGCTGCTAGCACAACCAGTGTATTAGTCCATTTTCACCCTGCTAGAAGGAAACACCCGAGACCAGGTAATTTATAAAAGTAAGAGGTTTAACTGACTCACACTTCCACATGGCTGGGGAGGCCTCAGGAAACTTACAATCATGATGGAAGGTGAAGGGGAAGGAAGCACTTTCTTCATATAGCAGCAAGAGAGAGAAGTGCAAGCAAGGGAAATGCCAGATGCTTATAAAACCATCAGATTTCATGAAAACTCACTCACTATCATGAGAACAGCATGGGGTAAACCACCCCTATGATTCAAACACTTCCCACCAGTTTCCTCCCTTGATATCTGGGGATTATGGGGATTACAATTCAAGATCAGATTTGGGTGGGGACCATATCAACCAGTATTCAAGAAAACGAGCACACTAAACAAAACTACAACCAAGGACCCTCACAGAGTCCATTTCACTCCCCTGCTACTTCTACCAGAACTGGTGCTGGCATCCACAGCTGAGAGACCTGAAGGCAAATGAGATCACAGGACTCTGAAGACACTCCCCAGTACTGGCCCAGAGCCCAGTAGCTCCACTGGGTGGCTAGTTCCCCAGAAGAGTGATAACAATCGCTGTAGTCTGGCTCTCAGGAAGCCCCATCCCTAGGGGAAGAGCAGCACATCAATGAATCACCCCATGGGACAAAAGAATCTGAACAGCAGCCCTTAAGCCCCAGATATTTCCTCTGACATAGTCTACCCAAATGAGAAAGAACCAGAAGAACAATTCTGGTAATATGACAAAGCAAGGTTCTTTGACACCCCCAGAAGATCACACTAGCTCCCGGGCAATGGATCCAAATAAAGAAGAAATCTCTGAATTGCCAGAAAAAGAATTCAGAAGGTCGATTATTAAGCTACTCAAGGAGGCACCAGAGAAAAGGTGAAAATCAACTTAAATTTTTTTTAAAAAAGGACAGGATATGGACAAAAACATCTCCAGAGAAATAGATAGCATAAATAAAAAACAATGACAACTTTTGGAAATGAAAGACACGCTTAGAGAAATGAAGAATACACTGGAAAGTTTCAACAACAGAATCAAGCAAGTAGACGAAAGAATTTAAGAGCCCAAAGACAAGGTTTTCAAATTAACCCAATCTGACCAAAACAAAAAGGAAACATGAATTGAAAAAATGAACAAAGCCTCCAAAAAGTTTGAGATTATGTTAAACAACCAAACCTAAAAATAATTGGTGTTCCCAAGGAAGAAGAGAAATCTAAAAGTTTGGAAAACTTATTTGAGGGAATAATCAAGGAAAACTTCCCTGACCTTGCTATAGATTTAGACAGCCAAATATAAGAAGCTCAAAGAACATCCAGGAAATTCATTACAAAAAGATCATCACCTAGGCACACAGTCATCGGGCTATCTAAAGTCAAGACAAAGAAAATAATCTTAAGAGCTGTAAGGCAAAAACATCACGTAATCTATAAAGGAAAACCTATCAGAGTAACAGCAGATTTCTCATCAGATACGCTACAAGCTAGAAGGGATTGGGCCCTATTTTTAGCCTCCTTAAACAAAACAATGATCAGCCAAGAATTTTGTAACCAGTGAAACTAAGCCTCATAAATGAAGGAAAGATAAAGTCCTTTTCAAACAAACAAATGCTGAAAGAATTCACCACTATCAAGCCAGCACCACAAGAATTGCTAAAAGGAGTTCTAAATCTTGAAACAAAACCTCAAAATACACCAAAATAGAATTTCTTTAAAGCATAAATCTCACAGGGCCTATAAAACAATAGCACAATGAAAAAAAATACCAAGGTATTCAGGCAACAACTGGCACGATGAATAGAAGAGTACCTCACATCTCAATATTAATGTTGAATGTAAATGGCTTAAATGCTCCACTTAAAAGATACAGGATGGCAGAGTGGATAAGAATTCAGCAACCAAGTATCTGCTGTCTTCAAGAGACTCACATAAACTTAAGGTAAAAGGGTGGAAAAAGACATTCCATGCAAATGGACAACAAAAGTGGGCAGGAGTAGTTATTCTTATATCTTAGACAAGACAGACGTTAAAGTAACAACAGTTAAAAAACACGAAGAACATTATACAATAATGAAAGGATTAGTCAAACAAGAAAATATCACAATCCTAAACATATATGCACCTAAAACTGGAGCTGCCAAATTTATAAAACAATTACTACTAGACCTAAGAAATGAGATAGATAGCAATGCAATAGTAGTGGAGGACTTCAATACTCCACTGACAGCACTAGACAGGTCATAAAAAAAGAAAGTCAACAAACAATGGACTTAAACTATACCCTAGAACAAATGGACTTTACAGATATTTACAGAACAGTCTACCCAACAACTGCAGAATACACATTCTATTCATCAGCACATGAAACATTCTCCAAGATAGACCACATGATAGACCACAAAAGCAGTATCAATAAATTTAAGAAAATCAAAATTATACCAAGTCCTCCCTTAGACCACAATGGAATAAAATTGGATTTCAACTCCAAAAAAACCCTCAAAACCATGCAACTACATGGAAATTAAGTAACCTGCTCCTGAATGAACACTGGGTCAGCAGTGAAATCAAGATGGAAATTAAAAAGTTTCTTTGAAATGAATGATAATAGTGACACAACCTATGAAAACTTCTAGGATACAGCAAAAGCAGTGCTAAGAGGAAAGTTCATAGCATTAAATGCCCACATCAAAAAGTCTGAAAGAGCACAAAGAGACAATCTAAGGTCACAACTCAAGGAACTAGAGAAATAAGAACAAACCAAACCCAAACCAAGAAGAAGAAAAGAAATAACAAAGATCACAGCAGAACTAAATGAAATTGAAACAAAAAAAAATACAAAAGGTAAATGAAACAAAAAGCTGGTTCTTAGAAAAGATAAGCAAAATTGATAGTCCATTAGCAAGATTAACCAAGAAAAGAAGAGAGAAGATCCAAATAAGCTCAATTAGCAATGAAATGGGAGATATTACAACCAATACCACAGAAATCCAAAAGATCACTCAAGGCTACTATGAACACCTTAATGTACACAAATGAGAAAACCTACAGGAGACGGATAAATTCCCAGAATTATGCAGCCCTCCTAGATTAAACCAGGAAGAAACAGAAACTCTGAGAGGCCAATAACAAGCAGTGAGATTGCAATGGTAATAAAAAAATTGCCAACCAAAAAAGTCCAGGACCAGATGGATTCATAGCTGAATTGTATCAGACATTCAAAGAACTGGTACAAATCCTATTGAAAGAATTCCAAAAAGATAGAGAAAGAGGAAATCCTCCCTAAATCATTCTATGGAGCCAGTATCACCCTAATACCGATATCAGGAAAGGACATAAAAAAAGAAAGCTACAGACCAATATCCTTTATGAACATAAACACAAAAATCCTCAATAAAATCCAACAGCATATCAAAAAGATAACCTGCCATGATCAAGTAGGTTTCATATCAGGCATGCAGGGATGGTTTAACATATGCAAGTCAGTAAATATGATAGACCACATAAATAGAATTAAAAACAAAAATCATATGATCATCTCAATAGATGCAGAAAATGCATCTGACAAAATTCAGCATCCCTTTATGATTAAAACCCTCAGCAAAATTGGCATAGAAGGGACATAGCTTGAGGTAATAAAAGCCATCTATGACACACCCACAGCCAACATTATACTGAATGGGGAAAAGTTGAAAGCATTCCCTCTGAGAACTGGAACAAGACAAGGATGTCCACTTTCACCACTTCTATTCAGCATAGTACTGGAAGTCCTAGCCAGAGCAATCAGACAAGAGAAGGAAATAAAGGACATCCAAATCAGTAAAGAGGAAGTCAGACTGTCACTGTTCACTGATGATATGATCATATATATACCTAGAAAACCCCAAAGACTCATCCAAAAAGCACCTAGATCTGATAAATGAATTCAGTAAAGTTTCAGGATACAAAATCAATGTACACAATCAGTAGCACTGCTATACAACAACAGCAACCAAGCTGAGAATCAAATCAAGAACTCAACCCCTTTTCCAATAGCTGCAATAAATAAATAAATAAAATACTTAGAAATATACCTAACCAAAATGATGTGAAAGATCTCTACAAGGAACACTACAAACACTGCTGAAAGAAAGCACAGATGACACAAATGGAAACACATTCCATGCTCATGGATGGGTAGAATCAATATTGTGAAAATGAGCATACTGCCAAAAGCAATCTACAAATTCAGTGCAATTCCCATCAAAATGCCATCATCATTCTTCACATAACTAGAAAAAAACAATCCTAAAATTCAAATGGAACCAAAAAATAGCCTACATGGCCAAAGCAAGACTAAGCAAAAAGAACAAATCTGGAGGGATCACATTACCCAACTTCAAACTATCCTATAAGTCTATAGTCACCAGAACAGCACAGTACTGTTATAGAAACAGGCACATAGACCAACTGAACAGAATAGAGAACGCGGAAATAGAGCCAAATACTTACAACCAACTGATCTTTGACAAAGCAAAAAAAAAAAAAATAAATAAAAACCATAAAGTGGGAAAAAGACACCCTATTCAACAAATGGTGCTGGGATAATTGGCAAGCCACATGTAGCAGAATGAAACTGGATCCTTCTCTCTCACCTTATACAAAAATCTACTCAAGATGGATCAAAGAGTTAAATCTAAGACCTGAAATCATAAAAATTCTGGATGATAACTTTGGAAAAACCCTTCTTGGACACTGGCTTAGGCAAAGACTTCATGCCCAGGAACCTAAAAGCAAATGCAACAAAAACAAAGATAAATAGATGGGACTTAATAAAACTAAAAAGCTTCTGGACAGCAAAAGAAATAATCATCAGAGTAAACAGACAACCCACAGAGTGGGAGAAAATCGGATGCAAACTATGCATCCGACAAAGGACTAATATCCAGAATCCACAAGCAAATCAAACATGTCAGCAAGAAAAAAAAAATAGGCCGGGCACTGTGACTCACACCTGTAATCCCAGCACTTTAGGAGACCAAGGTGGGTGGATCACGTGAGGTCGGGAGTTCAAGACCAGCCTGACCAGCATGGAGAAACCCTGTATCTACTAAAAAATACAGAATTAGCTGGGCATGCTGGCACATGCCTGTAATCCCAGCTACTCAGGAGGCTGAGGCAGGAGAATCGCTTGAACCCGGGAGGTGGAGGTTGCAGTGAGCCAAGATCACGCCATTGCACTCCAGCCTGGGCAACAAGAGCAAAACTCCATCTCAAAAAATAATAATAATAATCCCATCAAAAAGTAGGCTAAGGACATGAACAGACAATTCTCAAAAGAAGATATACAAATGGCCAACAAACATATGCAAAAATGCTTACCATCACTAATTATCAGAGAAATGCAAATCAAAACCACAATGTGATACCACCTTACTCCTGCAAGAATGGCCATAATTAAAAAATCAAAAATAATAGATGTTGGCGTGGATGCGGTGAAAAGGAAACATTTTTATACTGCTGGTGAGAATGTAAACTAGTAAACCACCATGGAAAACAGTATGACGATTCCTTAAAGAACTAAAAGTATGGTCAGGCATGGTGGCTCACGCCTACGATCCTAGCACTTTGGGAGGCTGAGGTGGGCAGATCTCCTGAGGCCAGGAGTTTGAGACCTGCCTGGGGCCAAAACTGCAAAACCCTTTCTCTACTAAAAATACAAAAATTAGCTGAGCATGGTGGTGCATGCCTGTAATCTCAGCTACTGAGGAAGCTGAGGCACGAGAATCGCTTGAACACAGGAGGCGGAGGTTGTGGTGAGTTGAGCTGGGATCATGCCACTGCACTCCAGCCTAGGTGACAGAGTGAGATTCCGTCTCAAAAAAAAAAAAAAAAGTAGATCTACCATTTGATACAGCAATCCTGCTACTGGGTATCTGCTCATAGGAAAAGAAGTCATTATGTAAAAAAGACACTGGCACACACATGTGTATAGCAGCATAATTAGCAATTGCAAAAATACTGAACCAGCTCAAATGCCCAACAATCAACAAGTATATAAAGAAAATGTGATACACATACATGCACACACACACACACACACACAGAGACACAGCATGGGATACTACTCAGCCATGAAAAGGAATGAAATAATGGCATTCACAACAGCCTGGATGGAGTTGGAGACCATTATTCTAAGTGAAGTAACTCAGGAATGGACAACCAAATATCATATGTTCTCACTTGTAAGTGGGAGCTAAGCTACGAAGAAGCAAAGGCATAAGAATGATACAGTGGACTTCAGGGACTCAGGCAGAAGGGTGGGAGAGTGGTGAGGGATAAAAGATTATACATTGGGTACAGTGTATGTTGCTTGGGTGATGGGTGCACCAAAATCTTGGAAATCACCACTAAAGAACTTGTCCATGTAAACAAACACCACCTATTCCCCCCAAAACTTATTGAAATAATAATTTAAAAATTACTAATACTATTACATCTATACTATTGTTCTATTACAACTTTCGAAATATGTGAATGTAGTCCTTTAATTTTTTAATTAAAGATTTCAACTGGCTGATGAAAAAAGCCATGGAGTTATATCAAAAACAAAAAAAGAAAATTGTCACATTGTAGCTAAAGTAGCAATAAAGCATTATTTATACCTCTTAGAATAGAAGAACTTTAAAAGAGGGGTAACATATCATACTTAAGGTTAATGGAGAAAAGAATGTGCCCATACTTTGCTGGTAGAAATGTTGAGACCTTTTGCAGTCTGGCAAAATCTATTCAAACTAAAAAGACATGTTAATTTGGCTCAGTAATTCTATTCCTTGGAATCTATCAAAACCACCAACATGAAATGAATACATGAAGATGATCATTGTAGTATTTTTTACAGTGGATAAAAAGAACCAAGCCAACCAAATGAATTCTCATCAGTAAGGATTAAATAAATTCATAATTCTTATGGATATCACCAATTAAATGTACCATGTGACTTGGTAGAATTTCTATAAGGTATTCTGAGAGAAGCAAGACACAGAAAACTGGATATATTATTGTATTAGTCAATTTTCACACTGCTATAAAGATACTACCTGAGACTGGGTAATTTATGAAGAAAAGAGATTTAATTGACTCACAGTTCTGCATGGCCAGGAGGTCTCAGGAAACTTACAATCATGGCAGAAGGCAAAGGGGGAGCAAGACATGTTTTACATGGTGACAGGAGAGAGAGAGAGCACAGGGGAAACTGCCAGACACTTATCAAACAACCAGATCTCATGAGAACTCCCTCACTATTACAAGAACAACAAGGGGGAAACCATCCCCATGATCCAATCACCTCCCACCAGGTCCCTTTCTCGACATCTGGGGATTACAATTCCGATTACAATTCGAGGTGAGATTTGGGTGGGGACACAGAGCCAAACCATATCAAATGTATTCCTAGTTTTATTTTAAAATGGCTAAAAAGCATTCAAGAATATATATATGTATGTGCGTGTGTGTGTGTGTGTGTGTGTGTGTGTGTGTGTGTGTGTGTGTGTGGTATATCTTTGTAATGTATGTATATTTTATTTCTTAAAAAACTTTTAGGCTCCGGGGTGCATGTGCAGGTTTATTATATAGGTAATCTTGTGTCATGGGGGTTTGTTGTACAGATTATTTCGTCACCAACTTACTAAGCCTAGTATCCATTAGTTATTTTTTTGCTGATTCTCTCCCTTCTCTCACCCGCCACCCTCAAGTGGGCCCCAGTGTCTGTTGTTCCCTTTTTTGTCCATGAGTTCTCATCATTTAGCTCCCACTTATAAGTGAGAACATGCAGCATTCGGTTTTCTGGTTCCTGCGTTAGTTTGCCAAGGATAATGGCTTCCAGCTCCATCTGTGTGCCCATAAAGGACATGTTCTCATCCTTTTTTATGGTTGCATAGTATTCCATAGTATATATGTACACATTTTTTCTTTTTTTTTTTTTTTTCTTGAGATGGAGTCTCATTCTGTCACCCAGGCTGGAGTGCAGTGGTGTGATCTTGGCTCACTGCAACCTCCACCTCCCAGGTTCAAGTGATTCTCCTGCCTCAGCCACCCAAGTAGCTGGGATTACAGACGCCCACCACCACACCCTACTAATTTTTGTGTTTTTATCAGCGATGGGGTTTCACCACATTGGCCAGGTTAGTTTTGAACTCCTGATCTCAGGTGATCCACCCACCCCAGCTTCTCAAAGTGCTGGGATTACAGGCGTGAATCACCGCACCCGGCTGCACATTTTCTTTATCTAGTCTACCACTGATGGGCATTTAGGTTGATTCCACGTCTTTGCTACTGTAAATAGTGCACAATGAACATTCACGTGCATGTGTCTTTATAGTAGAATAATTTATATTCCTTTAGGTATATACTCAGTAATGAGACTGCTGAGTTGAATAATAGTTCTGTCTTTAGGTCTTTGAGAAATCACCACAGTCTTCCACAACGGGTAAACTAATTTACACTCCCACCAACAGTGTATAAGCATTCCCTTTTCTCCACTACCTTGCCATCTGTTATTTTTGACTTTTTAGTAATAGCTATTCTGACTGATGTGAGATAGTACCTCATTGCGGTTTTGATTTGCATTTCTCTAATGATCAATGATGTTGAGCTTTTTTTCATATGCCTGTTGGCTGCATGTATGTCTTCTTTCGAAAGCTGTCTGTTCATGTTATTTGCTCCCACCTTTTTTTTTTTTTTTTTGAGACAGGGTGTTGCTCTGTCACCTAGGCTGGAGTGCAATGGCACAATCTCAGCTCACTGAAGCCTCTGTCCCTGGGTTCAACTGATCCTCCTACCTCAACCTCCCAGGTAGCTGAGACTACAGGCGCACACCATCACGCCATTTTTTTTTTTTTCAAATTCTGAGTAGAGACAGGGTATCGCCATGTTGCCCAGGCTGATCTCAAACTTCTGAGCTCAAGTGATCCACTTGCCTCAGCCTCCCAAAGTGCTGGGATTACAAGTGTGAGCCGCTGCATCCGGCCTCACTTACCCACTTTTTAATGTATTTTTTTTTCTTGTAAGTTTATGTTCCTTATAGATGCTAGATATTAGGCCTTTGTCAGAGGCATAGTTTGCAAATGTTTTCTCCCATTCTGTAGGTTGTCTGTTTACTCTGTTAATAGTTTCTTTTGCTGTGTAGAAGCTCTTAAGCTTAATTACATCTGATTTGTCAATTTTTGCTTTTGTTTCAATTGCTTTTGATGTCTTTGTCATGAAATCTTGTCCATTCCTCTATCCAGAAAGGTATTGCCTATGTTGTCTTCCAGGGTTTTTATAGTTTTGGGTTTTACATTTAAGTCTTTAATCCACCTTGAGTTGATTTTTGTATACATAAGAAAGGAGTCCGATTTCAATCTTCTGCATATGGCTAGCCAGTTATCCCAACACCATTTATCAAATAGGGAGTCCTTTCCCTATTGCTTGGTTTTGTCAGCTTTGTCGAAGATCAGATGGTTGTAGGTATGCAGACTTATTTCTCACCTCTCTATTCTGTTCCAAGTAATGTATGTATATTTTCATTTGACTGAACAAGCATACAGAAAAAATATGGTAAATTATAAGCCAGGTTATTACTGTTACAGGGCAGAAGTAATGCTCACATTTATATACATATTTTAAATTGTATTTATGCATATAGATGTAAGTTTCAAAATAAATTTTTTAAATGCTGTAAAAATGCTAACTCCGTTAAGACATAGCTCTTAATGGCTAGAAAGGACAGACAGAAAATCAAACTCTCTGTGGTTGCATGTTTAATAGAAGCACTTGTTTCTATCACCCCAAATCAGCTGTCTTTCATCAGTGACATCTAAATCTGATCTCTCGAGCTTTCTTACCTTGACCTCTGAAATTATGCACAGTAGCCCCAACCCTTGTCTTACTGCTCCCCCATCTTCACAAAAGCTAACACTTCATCTCTGCTCTAGAGACCACCATCTCCTGCCCTTTCCAGCAACTATCATACATGTACTCTCTTCTGTCTCTTCAGTCCCTTCCTCCAGCTATGGGCTCAAATCTCTTCTCCCCAAGATTCTTTTCTACTTGAGAACTCCTTGCACAGTCAGATTTCACAAGAGTAAAATGGTCTGTTTTAATCATCTATTGATGACTTTCAAACTTCAATCTTTTTTTTTCTAGTCTAAGCTCCCTATATCCAATAGCCTACACATCATCTCCACCAAGGCATCTCAAGGCATTTCAGACTCAGCATGTCTGTTAGTC